>NC_000008.11:40466163-40769193 GCF_000001405.40 Homo sapiens
CAGGCCTCCTTCTATCCCAGGCCCCAAAACTGTCAGCAGAGGAGTGTTCTGATAATTTTTAAAAACTCTTAAAGTTAATACTGAATCTCATTAAACTTTTCTTGATTTTATGGGGAATCCCAAATACCCTGTCATGGTTCAGTTAAACTTCACAGATAATTCAGTTGTTCTGGAAGTTGTGCCTGCAAACCAAGACAGCTGTGCATGTGATCTTCGTGCCTGCTTACATGGCAATTTCTCTTGCCTTCCTTTTAATTAAGTTGGTTGGTATAATTTTTTGTTGTTCCGATAAGTGAGGCAGTGTTATGTGAGATGCTAACATTAGGGGAAGCTGGGTGAAAGGTATATGAGAAGTCTTGTACTATCTTATTTCCCTGCTGTAAATCTAAAAGCATTTCAAAATAAAAAGTTAAAAAGTAAATGGTAGAGGACGTAGAGCCTGGTGACTCCTACTGTGAATCTTTAGGCACACCATAGCTCTGCCACTAATTAGTCTATGACCTTGCTTTTCCTTTTGGAGCCTCAGATTCCTCATCTGCAGGAGGCTGTCAGAATGACAACAGTTATATATGATCATTTTGTGAGGATTAGATTAAATAATGAATATTATGATTTTAGCAGACTACCTAGTAAGTGTTCAAAAAATTATAGCTCTATCATTATTATTACTGTAAATAGAGGCCTGTATCTGAATCCATGGAAGACTTCAGAGAATTTATAAAAACCCTAAAGCTCCACATAAAATTGCCTATGTAGGCTCATGTGCACTGGGCAAAAAGCCTATAGATTCCATTAGATTATCAAAGAGGACCCTTCCAAAGTGATCTTAAGAACTCTTGGTTTACAATATCCCTGATGAACATAGATACAAAAATCCTCAACAAAATACTAGCAAACAGAATCCAACAGTATATCAAGAAGATAAAACACAATGACCAGATGCATTTTATTCCAGGAATGCAAGGATGGTTCAACATATGGAAATCAATAAATGTGATTCATCACGTAAACTGACTTAAGGACAAAAATCTTATAATCTTCTCAACAGATGCAGAAAAAGCATTTGATAAAATTCAGCATCTCTTCATGATAAAAACTCTCAGTAAACTAAGCATAGAAGGAACATACTTCAAATTAAAAAGGCCGTATATAACAAACCCACAGCCAACATCATACTGAATGGAGAAAAGTTGAAAGCATTCCACCTACGAACTAGAACAAGACAAAGTTGCCCACTTTTGCCACTCCTATTCAACATAATACTGGAAGTCCTAGACAGAACAATCAGGCAAGAGAAAGAAATGAAAGGCATCCAAATTGAAAAATTGGAAGTCAAATTATCTCTGTTCACTGACAGTATGATCTTATAACTAGAAAACCGTAAAGTAAGCTTGTCTATCCCATGACCCATGGGCCATATGTGGCCCAGGACAGCTTTGAATGAGGCCCGATATAAATGTGTAAATTTTTTTAAGACATTATGAGATTTATGCATGGACTTCTTTTTTTTAAAGCTCATCAGCTATGGTTGGTGTTTTTGTATTTTATATGTGTCCCAAGACAATTCTTTTTCCAGTGTGGCCCAGAGAAACCAAAAGATTGGACATACCTGCCCTAAAGATTCCTCAAATGAATTTGGTAAAGTTTCAGGATACAAAATCAACATACAAAAGTCAGTAGCATTTATACACACGAATAACAATCAAGCTGAGAACCAAATCAAGAAGTCAATCCCACTTACAGTAGCTACAAAAAAAAGAAAGAAAGAAAAAACTAGGAATATATTTAACCGAGAAGATGAAAGATCTCTACAAGGAAAACAATAAAATATTGATGAAAGAAATTGTAGATGACAAAAACAAATGGAAGAACATCCCTTGCTCATGGATTGGAAGAATTAATATCATTAAAATGACCATGCTACCCAAAGCAATCTGCAGATTTAATACAATTCCTATAAACATACTTCCACGTTTCACAGAATTAGAAAAAACAATTCTAAAATTCATATGGAACCAGAAAAGAGCACAAATAGCTAAAGCAATCCTAAGTAAAAAGAACAAAGCTACAGGAATCACATTAACTGACTTCAAATTATACTACAAGGCTGTAATAGTCAAAAGAGTATGGCACTGGTATCAAAGTAGACATAGAGATCAATGGAACAGAATGGTGAACCCAGAAGTAAAGCCACATATCTACAGCCAATTGATCTTTGGCAAAGTCAACCAAAACATACACTAAGGAAAGGGCACCCTTTTCAACAAATAGTGCTTGGAAAATTGGATTGCTATATGCAGAAGACCCCTATCTCTCACCACATAAAAAGTCATCTCAAGATAGATTAAAGAGTTAAATGTAAGACCTAAAACTATAAAAGTACTGGAAGAAAACCTCAGGAAAACTGTTTTGAACATTGGTCTAGGCAAAAAACTTATGACTAAGACTTCAAAAGCACAAGCCCAAAAAGCAAAAATAGACAAATGAGACTTTATCAAACCAAAAAGCTTCTGCACAGCAAAGGAAATAGCCAACAGAGTGAACTGCCTGTCAGAATAGGATAGAGTATTTGCAAACTATAGATCTGACAGGTGACTGATATCCAGAAATTACAACGAATTCAAACAACTCAACAACAACAAAAAATAACCCCACTAAAAAGTGGGTAAAGGACATGAATAGTCATTTTCAAAAGAAGACATACAAATGACCAATAAGCATATGAAAAATGCTCAACATCACGAGTCATCACAGCAATGCAAATTAGAACCACAATGAAATATCATCTTGAACAAGTGAGTATGGCTATTACTAAAATATCAAAAAATAACTTGTTGAGGACAAAAGGAAATTTTTGTATATTGTTGGTAGGAATGTAAATTGGTACAACTTCTATGAAAAACAGTATGGAGAGTTTTCAAAAAACTATAAAGAAAATTACCATTCAATCCAGCAATCCCACTATTGGGTATCTATCCAAAGGAAAGGAAATCATTATATTAAAATGATAACTGCACTCATATGTTTATCACAGCACTACTTACAGTAGCAAAGATATGGAATCAAATTAAGTATCAATCAACGGATGATTAAAGAAAGTGTGTTTTATATATATACTGGAATAATATTCAGCCATTAAAAGAATGAAATTATGCTTTTTGCAGCAACATGGATAGAACTGGAGGCAATTGTCTTAGGTGAAATAACTCAGAAACAAAGTCAAATACCGCATGTTCTCACTTATAAGTGGAAGCTAAATAATGTGTATACATGAACATGGAGCATGAAATAACAGTCACTGGAGTTTCAGAAGGGTGGGTGAGTGAAAGGAGAGTGAGGGATGAGAAATTACTTGACGGGTATACTGTAGGTTATGCAGGTGATGGTTACACTGAAAACCCAGACTTTACCACTGCACAAAACTATGCTTGTACCCCTTGATTTTATTCCCATAAAAATCAAATTAAAAAACAGAACTCTTGGTCTAAAAGAAGAGCTTTGAAGAATCTAAGGAGAAAAATGAGGGACTTCTCTCCAAAGTATATTTTGTGTTTTGGTTTTGTGTGTGTTTATGCAAGTTTATGTTTGCTCAGCGACTGTGCTGCTCAAGTTTTTTCTACATATAGATTTATTTTTCCCCTAGGACAGGTTTTGCCTGAAGAAGTAGGACAGAGCATAGGATTTCCAAAAGTGAAGGCGTACACATACAAGGGTCACCTCCTCAGGGAAGACTGACTGAACCTTCTGAAGGAGCCACTTCCGTCACCCTCATTCTGCCTGCTTTACCCTTCTTAGTGATATTTATCACTGCTGGGCATATCTACCTGTGCATTTATGACAGTCTGTCTCCCCACTAGCCTGTGAGCACCAGGAGGGCAGGCAGGAGGGCAGGGATATGGGAATTTTTTTTTTTGTTCATTGCTCCATGCTCAGCTACTAGAACACAGCCAGGCATTCCCAGACACTCGGTAAATATTAATGCAGTAAATTGAGCTAGCAGTGTGGGGATTGCAGGGAGAAGGGCTTCAGCGAAGTAAAGCTGGGAGCAGCTCAGCTCCCCCTGGCTCTTTGAATTGTCTGCAGGAAGCTGGGCCTGCCCATCTCTCTGCTCGGATTCCACCCTGGGGCGCATCTAACAGTCTTTTCCCCTCTCAGCTTGCATGAGGCCCTCCAGGACGTGGAGGACCACCAAGGGGCTCCTTCCAGCACTGCCTTTCCCATCAGTATTTCTAAGAGATGCTCTGCTTTTGTAAAGCTAAGACCACAGAGGGATGTTGTTATGGGCAAAATTATCCCCCACCGGCAAATCTGTAAATTCATATCCTGAAGCCCTAGCCCACAGTACAGAATGTGACTCTATTGGGACATAGTGTTTTAAAAGAAGTTATTAACTTCAAATAATGTCATTAGGGTAAGCCCTAATCCAATATGACCAGTGTCTTTATAAGAAAAAGAGATTAGGACATAGACACATAGAGGAAAGGTCATGAGAGAACACAGTGAGAAGGCAGCCATCTAAAAAGTGAGGAGAGGAACCCCAGAGGAAATCAACCCCACTGACACCTTGATCTTGGACTTGGAGTCTCAAGAACCATGAGCGAGTAAATGTCTGTTGTTTATGCCATCCCATGTGTGGTATTTTGCTATGGCAGCCCTATAAAACAAATAGAGGTGTTTATCAGTATTTAGGATGTAATCTTAGGCTTCTGTTGAGAGTTGAGCCCTTCAGACAAAAAGATGGAAGTTCTTGTCTTCCTTCATGTGGTGTGGGCAGTGGTTCTCCAAGTGCAGTGCTCAGACCAGTAACATTGGCATCAACTGTGAATTTATTAGAAATGGAAATTCACAGGTCCTAACCCAGACCTATAAATCAAAATATCTGGGGATGGAGCCCAGAATCCTGTGCTTTAAAGAGCCACCCCAACCTGCTCCACATGTGAAAGTGTGAGGATCACTGGTGAAGAAGCTGTTGAGCATGAGTTTCATTTCCAGGAATTTGCCTCAACCATTTTACTTGTCACAGTCTTTTTCAAGGTCTGCAAGAGTAAAATAGTGAAAAGAGTGTTGTTATTTGTGGCTTCCCTTGAAAATAAGGATGCAGGGCTCTCTAATGTTGAAGAAAGACAATGAATTCACCGAGGAGTACAATTTTATTTATCTATGTAGATATATAAGTAATCGGCCTGAGGAACCACACTGCTGGTAATTCAGTCAAGAGAATCAATCACAATTAGTGTTTTCCTAAAGGAAATCAATAAAAAATTGAGCAGAATATTTCAGAAACCTCTGGTACTCCAAACCTTTTCTAGCTGCAGGACTCTCAATGGGTCTCATTGCTCAAAGACACTTCTACATTCCTTTGCCAAGGAATATGAACTCAAGTTTGAGGCTTCATAGTCTTTTACCACTTTCCGGATGGGCAATTTTAAGGAATGATTATGCTGATAAATTTTGTAATTCCTGGGAAGATGAAAGGCCAGTGCAGCTTTCTGGCAAAGCTTTGCAAACAGTGAAGTTTGAAAAGGAATACTGAGGTTTCCAAAGTCAGTAAATTCACAGGACCTTGTTTCATTCTATGCCCGCTCACTGTGCATATGCACAAATGGGCTGTGTCTCCCAAAGAGCTTGACAGCTTTGCTTATACTGCTCATAGGTGGCAGAAAAGGCTGGTCTCTTTTTCAGACCAAAAGGCAAGTAAAGTCCACACCTTCTCCCTCTCTGGTTTCCTGGACAATTCTGATCATTTCACTCCCAGGATTTCAACCACCACCTGCACCAAATACCAATCCATATCTTCAGCTGTGACTTTCCTGATCCATTTTATTAATCAGTTCTGGTGGTCTCAATATGAATATCCTGTGAACTATTCAGATTCCATATGTCTTGGGCTTCAGAATCATTAGTAGCTACAACACATTCATAATTTCAAAGCCAAGCGGCTCATTCTGTTTACCACTTCATATCTTTTTACTCTCTCAAGGCATTGGTCTTGGGAGGTTTTAAGTCTTTCTTCACTCTTCAGTCCTCATTTATCCCCTAGCCCAGCTTAAAATTATCGCTTGCTTCGTTGTCTTCAACTGCCTTGACCCATTATCCCATTGTCATCATCAACCTATCTTTTGTTAAAGTCAACTCTCCTCCACTCAATACCTGCACCACATAGATGAACCTGGCCAGAGAGCAAGCCCCAAATCACGCAAACTGGTCTCACATTCAATGTATGAGCACAAAACTCAATGTGCCCCTTAGTAATCACGCTACATTTTATTCCTTCCCTTTCCAAGATGATTGCTTCATGTCTTCTGTCTCTTCTAACATCCAGCACTCCCTCCTTTCTCATGCTCAGTTGATGATTGCTTCCCATTTCACTGAAGAAATAGAAACAATCAGAGAGAATTTCCATAATCTCCTGCCAGCTGCTACTCATCTAGCTCTGTCTATGCCCTTATGCCATGCCCTCTTTCCTACTAAGGGTAAACTTGCCTATTCCTAAATAAGCCTAAGTGAGTGCGTGATCCCACTCCCTTTTACCTACTCAGAGACATGTGTCTAGAAATTATCCCCTCTCTATGCATCATCCAATGCTCTCACTCTTCTGGGGGTCATTCCTATGTTCTTATAAACATATTATTATTTCTCCATGTCAAGAACAAAAGAGGCTGGGAGTGGTGGCTCACATCTGTAATCCCAACACTTTGGGAGGCTGAGGTGGGAGGATTGCTTGAGGCCAGGAGTTTGAGACCAGCCTGGGTGACATGGCAAGACCCCATCTCTACAATAGATACAAAATTAGCCAGGCATGGTGGTGCACACCTATAGTCCCAACTGCTCAGGAGGCTGAGATGGGAGAATCACCTGAGCCCAGGAGATCGAGGCTGCAGTGAGCTATGGTGGCATCTCTGTACTCCAGCCTGATGACAGAGTGAGATCTTGTCTAAAAAGAAAACAAAAAAAGAAAAACAAGGAAGGAAGGAAAGGAAGAGAAGGAAGGAAGGAGAGAGGGAGGGAAGGAAGGAGGGAGAGACGGAGGGAGGGAGGAAGAAAGGAAGGAAGGAGGGAAGGAAGGAAGGATGGAAGGAAAGGAAAGGGAAGGAAAGGAAAGGGAAGGGAAGGGAAGGGAAGGGAAGGGAAGGAAAGGGAAGGAAGGAACGAGGGAGAGAGGGAGGGAGGGAGGGCTACTTCCTGCCCAGGCCATTCTCTTTTCTGCAGGTGTGGGTTCCAATGTGACCCACTTCTGACTCTGTCAGTATTCCCTATCCCTGCTCCTGATTTCTTCTTTTTCATAGCCGTCGCCTTAACACACATTCTACATTTGACTTATTTTTCTTTTTAATCATCTACGTCCCTCCACTAGGCTGTAAACTACAGGATGACAAAGGTTTTGTCTGTTTTTTTCATTGCTGGCTGTTCAATATCTAATCTAGTGCCTGGCATGTCATGGACAATTAATAAATGTGAACACATAATTTTAAAATAAACAATATATTAAATGATAGAGGAGAGGTCTGGAGGGGTAGAAGTGCACCTGGCCTAGCTAGCTCCCTCCTGGCTGGCTGGGCAGTACTGAGACAACATCTGAGCCCCTTGTCGGCTGAGTGCCCCCAACCTGCCTTCTTGGCAACACACCCTTTCTTGGTGGGAACAGAGTGAAACTTAGAAACTTGGACTTTTGCAGCCACACAAGCAAAGAGCAGTTGTAGGCTTGAAAAGGCAGTATCTGCTTTAAGAAGCTGGGCCTATTTCCTCTGGCTCACCTACGCACCAGCTATGCCAGCAAAGCTGATAAGATTAGAGACAATCACCCCATCCCTGCCTTCCCTATCCCTCTCATAGGGAAAAATGGAAAGATAAGGGTGGCATTTTAGATTTCCCTTAAAAGATTTTAGGAGAGAGAAAAATGGTGGGTCTGAGCTCAGGGTCGGTGATTTCACTTGTTAGGTGGGGAGTGAGGCAGCTTCTGGCAAGTGAGTGGTGGAACCCTTGTGTGTCATTTTTCCCCAGTGATGCCTTATGGGATGGGGGTGGCATAACATTGCACTTGAAATGAAATGTCTCTAGAACTCAAATTGTAGGATTATAAGGCTAAAGTGAATTGTTTTCTATCTGGTACCACCAAGCAATGCCTAGCCAATGAAGAGGATGGGAAAGAGAAAGAAGAGAACATTCAGTTTCCCAAAAGAGGATTCCAAACCACTCCATGGGAACAGTCAGTCAGGCAGCAAGGCAGCAGTGTGGCCAGGAGTCATCACATCGTGGGGTTCAGAGCAAGTGAATCACAGGCAAACCCAGAGGGCCCTGAGCTGCATGCAGCTGTTCACAATGCCTGGGCGCATTACTTGCAGCTCAGTCTACTGATTTTAAAGGGCTAGGCAAGGAGAGACACCTGGCACACAGTGTGGATAGAAATGCACTCCTGCCTGTCTTCCCCACCTCATCTCTCCTTTTTTCTTCTTGGCACTGAATGTGAGTTCTCTGGTGCCAACAAAACAATAGTTTTAAGAAAATCAAGTTAAGAAGCTCTATGGGAGCACAAGGTCCTCTGAGTCACACCATGCAGGTAGCTTTCCTCATGCTGATGCGTGGAGTTGGCTGTGCCCAACAGCTGTGCTCAGTTTTTTAGAAGCCCTGGAACTCATTGAATCCCAGGACACCCCAGTGGATCTCATTTCATGCTCATAACAAGGGCAATAATTTGACCTTAATGAATGAAGATTTGGCTCCACATATCATCAGGAGCTGTGGAGGGAGCATAGTTTCCCAAATCTATCAGCTACTGAATGAAAAGAGACCCGTTTAGCAATTGAGGATCAATCCATCACATGTCGGCTATTCAGGCTGCAATAAAGAAGGAGAAAAGATGGATGTCAATGTAAAATAACCTGTGAATTTTGACATCCTTGGCCAATGACCATGTGGAATAGTGTCCTGGTAGGCAGTCATTGTCTTCAACAGCCACTGTATTCAGCACAAGAGCCTGAAATTGAAAGACTTCACAACCTTTTCAAAGAAAGCCCACTTACCTGTTTGCTGCCCCATCTGAAGATAAACGAAATGCTTTCATGCTAAGAGGTGGCACATGCCTCCTTGCACCCAACTCACCATTGCCTGTGCTAGGTCACCTGCAGGAAGGTAGGTAAAGACCTGTGATCACAGCCTCACCCTCTTCTTTTCTTCTAATTCATGGACTCTATATTTAGTGATAGGATTTCCAAACTAGCCTTGGACATCATCTGAAATTGAGTATGGAGACTTCCTCCTCTGATTATACCACACCCCCGCCCCCCGCAAAGATTGACAGTGATTGTCTCTGGGAGCTGAGACTATGGTTGATCTGTACTTTTATTTCTTTGTATTTCTCTGGATATCCCAAATTTCCCAATAAGAAGGGTAGACTCTTTTTGTAATTAAACAAAACTATTAATTTTTAAAAGAAGGGTGGGGGGATAAAAGAGAAAATGAGGAATTTCTTCTCAATGAAAAGAGAAAAGTTGACAAGATATAACCACAGTTGACAGAAGAAAGCCTAACAATCTAAAGGCGACAGACCAGGTTCAATGCCAGCTTCTCACACACAACTGTGGTCTTGTTATTCATTCCTGCATTGTCTTGCAGCTCTGTGAAGCACAGTAGCTCCTGCTTTCTTTTAGTCACTCTATCAAGGGAGGACAGAAAGCAGGGAGAGATGGACAGCAAGTAGAAAGTGGAATCTTGAGAGTTCTGTTCAGCCCCTTGGTCCCCATTACAGACATGCATCCTCCTGCCACAGGAGGGGATCGGGGCCTGCTGATGGGTGCACCAGTTCCTGAAGGAAAGCTGTCTGCCAGGAGCACTGCACTGGTGTCTCCATTCCCTGCCTTGCCTGTCTCCCAGGTGCATAGACAACACCCACACTGCCCAGACCTGTAACTTCCCTGTCTGTTTAAACAAGTTGATGTTTCTTGGTTGAATTTTAACCCAAACTCCTTCTCAGCCTTGAAAACTTCCTACAGGTGCAAACCCTCCTAGTATCACCCGCAGGCTCCTGTACCTGAGGAAAATGAGCTCCCCTTCTCAAATTCTGATTTTAGGCAGAAGGCAAATCCCTGGGCATGGGTTTACAAGCCCTTCCCCATCCATCTGCAGTTTAGAATTTCAGTTTTACTTCAACTCCACTCACCTGACATTTCAATTTTCCAGATGAGTAACAGCTGCCTGACTTCACCGTGTGCTTTTATGCCTCTATCTTTGCTGCTGTTTTCTTCCCTTGTGTCAAGAATACAGCTCCTTTAAGTTGTTATCCATTTGCAAAATTTTGATGCATCCGCCTATAGCCAATGTTCTCAGATCTCTCCCAGATCCGAGGAGCAACCCTTCCCATCTGATTGTTTATTTGCCTTATCATATTTCTAGACTTTGTGATTCACACACAGAAATTGTGCATTCATCTCTGTGTTCTCAGTAGCCACATAGCAGCTATTCTCTAAGTGTTTGATGAAGAAATAAATGCTTTCTTTCACCAAGCTTTATCATGCTCTGTGATTATTCATCCAAGCCCAATCACAGTGGAATCTGTTTGCTTGTTTTCAATGTATTCCTCTGTGGCTGGGCTATTTTGGTTTTTCTTTTTTGTTTTATTTAAGGGAGCAAATAATTATAAATTTAAACAAACAAAATATGCAGGTGAGTATATACCATTCCATCAATGAACAAGTATATATTGAACCCTCATTTTGAGGCTAGCTTTGCACTGGGTCCTGGGGAGACATGTTTCTTGTTAGGCAAGAAAGAGAAGGAGCATATTGTCTGAGATAAAGCTGAAAAGATGGATATGTATTTATTTTGGTTAATTAAGATTAGTAAGGTGAATATGATTCACATTGCATTTCAGTAGTGCCTGCCTATACATGCATTAATTCAGAGATAAACGATATCAGTGTGCATAGGAATACCAGGAGAAGGCCGAATGAAGAAAATGAGCAGTAGTTGCTCCTTGATGTGTCAAGCTTTGCACACACGTATGTGTGCAAAAATGTGTGTGTCTACACTTCAGAAAGAGAGGAAGCCTTTATTTTCTCTATGTAATGCTGCCTTTAACACACGGGGCCATCTCATGCTCAACAAATTTATTCACTTTCTGCAGGGTTTCTCAGCTTCAGCACTACTGACACTGGGATGGGATAATTCCGTGTGGTGGGGGTTGTCCTGTGTGTTTAGAATGTTTAGCAGGATCCATGATCTCCACCTACTATATGTCAGAGCATCCTTCCCTCCCCCAGCCCCATCATGTCAATCAATATTTTCTCCAAACATTGCCAATTATCTTCCGTGAACAAAATTCTCTAAGGTCCAGTTTTGGCAAACGTGCTTTTCAGATTGGCTTTGGAGGAGTATTCTTAATTTTTTGTTAGGATTCTTGCAGGGGAGGGGAGGGAGAAAAAAAAGGGAGAGAGGTGAGGGAGAGAGAGAGAGAACACCACAGGGTAACAAGAAGATAATTCCTAAAGAGTTGGTGCTTTTGTTTTGTAAATAGCTAGCATTGGGGAAACGAAGAAAACACACTATTCATTGTCTATTTCCTAGTGTTTATTACTCATCCAAGATGAACCAATAATACTCTAGAGTGATATTAAAATCGTACCCAAGGCCATTGAGTATGACTTTGAATTAAGCTTTGGAAATATTCCTAGCAACACATTTAATTAACTAGGATACTTGGTTGATATTAAATCCACATCAACTAATATTAAAAACATATATATTGAAGCTTAACAGCTTCAGGAGAGCTCAGGATCTGATTGTGATGTTGTTCATCTCAATGTACAGGTTCATTGAATCTTTCCAAATGGAGCACTGGGGACTAGAACATTATCACTGATTTGGAGAGCAAAGTGGGGAAAATTAAGTTCTTGTGTAACAATGTTTATATTCTAAGCAATGTTTATAACGAGCTATACAAACAGGTTGGGAGAACTTGCTCCATTGATGGCAATATCTTTCCTCTACCTCAAAATGCTTGAGTTTCAAAAGCAAAATTAGAACAAGCAAAGGGGCAAAATGACCATGGGGTGCTACTCTCCTTATTTAGAGGATGAAATCTTGCCCCTCTAGCAATGTCAACTTCAATGTCCATGATTTTCACTAAGGTTATCCTTTTTTTTTTTTGATCTGGGCTTGGAAGAAGAAAAACAGACCAGTATCTAAAAGCAATTTGTTCCCACCTATCTGAGATGGGATAGGCATCTGATAACAGGATTGGGGAGATTATCCAGTCAGGGAAGATGCTGGTAGATTAAAAAAATAGCAAAAAGAGTTTCCCTTAATGTTTCGTCCAACAAATGTGTTAATTATCAGTATATATAATCTGATCTATAAAATCCAAATTTTATGGAGTCAACCCTCTTACTTATTCCATATATAAGTCATCAGCTGCTTATTAATAGTTTCTTGTGTGTCAGTTTTGTGTTCCAGGAATATTAAAATATTCCTAAAGACTAAATTAGGAAAGGGAGCAGAGCTGGTGAAGTAGCAAATTTCAGCTCCCAAATTCCTACCTGAGCCCCATGCTCCTTCAGGAATCTGTTGTCCTGATCCTGGAGAATATCCATGGACTTGCCATGCTCATCAACATGAGGCCCCATGGTGGGTGCTGGGATCTCACTTTTGAGCCCATGTGTCATTAAGCACCCATTTCTTAGCCTGTGCCCACTTGCCAGAGCCCAAAAATGTCAAAATAGCAAAACCCTGATGCCAGCCTCAACATCACCCCACCAGCACTCTCTTCCTCTTCTCCCGTGGGTGCCTGCCAGGATGTTTTCCCAGACACGCACCATTCCTACCACTCTGACAAGCTACAATTATTTTTTTAAAAATACAACAGTGCCTGTGGGTTTTTCCTCCTGGTTAAAAGGGACAGCGAGATTTTGTATCAATAAATTCCTATAAACCTGCATTTTTTTTTTCCTGAGTGAGGTTGCTACTTCACTCCTCATCAATCAGTGTTTCAAGTCAGCCGACCCTGGATGGGATCAATATGGCTACGTGCAGGTTTGGCTGCTCCACCGAAGTACACAAGTATCTTTGTGCTTGCCTGCTAATCAGAAGAGAGGGCCTGGATGGGTGGATGGGATCTAGTCTTATTCTTTTCATTTAAAAAAATAAAATATAACGGTTCCAATACTTTGCACTCAGGGTAACTTACTGTTGCTAGAGACCATGATGACAAAAAAGCAGAGAAGGGTAAAGGCAATCTGAAAACATGGAGGCATATTAAAGGCATTTAACAATGTGTTATTATTTTTTTAATTGCCAATCTCACATCTTAATAAACAAGACAATGTCCTGAGTGTGGCTGTATTTGTTCTCCGGAGAAAAATGACCAATAGGATATATATAAATAAGTAGAGATATACAAGAGGGATATACCATGAGAATTGATTCATGTGATTATGAGGGCCAAGAAGTCCCACAACATGCCATCAGCAAGGTGGAGAATCAGGGAGGCCAGTGCTGTAAGTCAGGCCAGGTTCAAAGACCTGAGAACCAGAGGAGCCAGTGGTGTCATTGTCAGTTCAAGGCAGAAAGCCTGAGGGACTGGAGGCCTACTGGAGTAAAGACCCAAGAACCTGCAGCTCTCATATCCAACGACAGCAGGTGCATGTCCCAAAGAGACAGTGAATTTGCCTTTCCTCTGCCTTTTCTTTCTATCCAGGCTCTCAATGGATTGGATCATGCCTGCCCACAGTGGGGTCAGATCTTCTTTACTCAGTCTATTGATTCAAATGTTAACCTCTTCCAGAAACAGCCTCACAGACATACCCAGAAACACTGTTTTATCAGCTGAGTGTCTCTTAATCCAGTCAAGTTAACACATAAAATTACCCATCACAGTGGGATTCTGAGAGGTTCCTGTCCACTTTAAGATCTAGTTTTGGCTGAGACTTGCCTCTCTTGCTTATTTCTTTAACCTGATGCACTTTTTGAAACCTTTGAATAAAAATAAAAGTAGCCACTGTATCAAGTACCTGACAGCTCTTGTCTCCTGACTCAAATCTTGGTAAATAATGATGCCCTCAATCTTTGTCCCTAAGACTGTCATCTCCCCAAAGTTCTAGGGTTGAGCAGCGTACCTTCAGGCACATCTGACAAAAAGTGCGAACGGGGACTGATGGTGGAACAGTGATCATAGGTGGGAACGGCTCACCACAGAGCTCTAGGAGCGCTCAGGTAGTGTCTCTGCTCTTTCTCTGCCAATCTTTCTTTTTCCTGCTCCAAAAAATATTACGCCAATGCATGACCTTCAGAAGTCCAAAATTCTGACTAACTGAAAGCTCTGGGGTAGCATGTCTTGATTGCATCTTGACAAGATTTACTGCCGGGGGGAGAAGTTGTCTTAACATTGGCTGCAAAGAAATGCTGCTATGGAGGCAGAGTTCCCTGCACTCGGGTCCGAGCTTCCATCTCTCACTGGAAAGAACCTGAGGACTTTCACAATGAAAGTTGATGTGTATGTGACAGGCACAACTATATCTGTTTCCTCTCTTCTCTCTTAATTAATTACATCTCACAGGCATACACATTTGAGAAATGTATATATAAGTGAATATAAATACAGAGATTAAAAGCTACCATCCAAAGAGGTGTTTAGAGTTATGTATGTACTCGTTATAACACCTATTAGTTAAAACTAAGAAAAGTCCATTAAAAGCTAACTTCCTTTCACAGAGTGACCAGATTTGAGCTTGAGTTTCGTCAAGGCAGCACACCACAGCGCTCTGATTTGCCATGGCATTTCGCTTCTGACCACTTGCTGTATTGAGTATTTCCCCAGGCAAAGGGGCACACACCTTAGTAACTGGGCTGGAGTCTCACATCTGCCCAGTAGCACATTTGCAAAAAAAGATTAGCTCCAAATAGGTCTCCCTGGCTCTTTGGGGGTCATGGGGCTTCTCCCAGGTACTTGTAACCATCCTGTCCTATGTGGCATGGCTGTCCCACACCCTCCACCATTGTTCCAGGTGAGGCCAGGGTGAATCTCCAGTCTTCACAGTAACATTCTCTCCTGCTGCTGAAGGGCAAATTTCCTGCTTTGTGCTGGCTATGTAGGTTCCCTGGGCACTGACCAGTTTACAGATCAGAACTGCCTTGAGCTCTCGGCCTGTGAAACAGACTTTAATGGTGTCATCTGTTCTGTTTTGTCAAAGCCTCCTCTCTTTGCTCCTGCTCCTGCTTTCACTCTTGTTTCCCTTAGGGTGATTTTCTTGCCATTAAGCTTCTCAGTGAATGCTGAGGGGTTTCTCCTGGGTGGCCACCAAAAAACCCTCTTAAGTCTAGCCTCAACGCCCTCTGTAGGCCCCATGAGACTTAGCTCCCTTGCCTTCTGTAGCTCTGGTCAGGGTGGGTTATTGTTGTCCACCTACATGCATGTCTCCCCCAAACTACAACCATGAGCTCCTGGAAAGTTGAGTCTCATTCATTCCTATGTGTGGATTTGTGTCTCCTACCAAGGGCATGATATTTCCACTTGGGATAACAGATAACCTTCCAAACATAGCACCTACAAAATGAGGCTCCTGCCTTTCGCCTCAAGCCTCTTCCTTCCCAAATGTTCTTCAACTCAGTAAACAAAAATCCTGTTCTCTAGTTGCTCAGGTCAAAAACTGGGGACCATCTCTGATTCCTCTTTTTTCTTATAACCCATATTTAGTTCAACAGCAAATCCTGTTAGCTCAGCCTTCAGGATACACACAGTATGTGAACACATTTCACAGCCTCCACTGTTTGGACTAGGTTTAGTCCAAGCCACCTCTGTTTCTTGCCTGTACAATTTTCAGAGCCTCCTAAGGGGGACACGGCTTGCTTGCCTGTCTGTCATCTATAATCCATGCAGCAGGGGGCAGTGGGGTGAATGGAGGCCTCTGAAAACACACATCCATGTCCTAACCCTCAGAACCTATGAATGTGATTTAGTTCGGAAAAGGGGTCTTTGTAGATGGGATTATGCTAAGGATCCAAAGATGGATTATCATGGTGGGCCCTAATCTCAATGACAAGTGTTTTATAAAAGACACCCAGAGGAGAGACATGGGCAGAAGCAAAGAAGATAATGAAGACAGAGGCAGAGATTGGAGTGATGTAGCCTCAAGAAAGATCAACAGCCACCAGAAGGAATTAAGGAATGTCCCCTAGTGTCTCCAGGAAAGGACTAGCTCTGCTAAGATCTAGATTTCAGACTTCTGGCCTCAAGCACTGTAAGAGTATACATTCCTGTTGTTTTAAATCACCCAGTGTTGGAATTTGTTATGGTGGCCCTAGAAAACTAAACACAGCCCAAAGCACTCTTCAGGGTGTTACACCCTCTATGTCCCTCCAGGGTTCTCTGTCCCACCCTTGAAGGTACATTTCCCCAGCTTCCTAGAGAAAGCTGAGACAAGTCCTTCTTTAAGAGAGCCCAGTAAGCATCCTAGCCTCACAGGGAGGTACTTCCTACCCCTTTCCAAAAGCAGCATCAGCAGCGTCCTGAGCACCAGGTGAGTATCAGCTGTTCAAGAGAATCCCCAGGACAACAATGGCGGGTCAGACAGTGGCAAGACCAACCCCAGATGTTTCGGAGGCATTGCTGGTGGATGAAGGACCGCAAGGGGAAGGGCAGCGAGCATTAGTCGTGCCGGCAGGATGCCCCAGGGCCTCTGAGAACCTGTCCTTGAAGAAGGCAGTGATGGTCCACCCAGTGATTCTGCTTTGTGGATTCTCATACTGCTGCAGGGACACCTTGAAGATTTGCCCTCAGCCTTGCATGGACCAGAGAATTAAAAGAATGAGGAATTTCCCACCTGCCTGGCTCTCTCCATTTGCAGAGCCCTGAACTTTATGTTATTTTACTGGAAACTAACAACTACCCAGAAAAAGTGATAGAAACGTCCCCCTGCCCATTTTGTTTTAATCTTACAGATGAGAAAACAGAAATAGAAGAAAATGACTTCCCTGAGGTTGAACTGTCGGTAAGAGGTCAAGCCAGAGCTTAAACCTGGCATCTAGAGCATTTCCACATTTTTAAAAGTTGTCTCAAACATGCCTCAAACTTATTTCTTCAAGCCTATACCAGGCTTTGTTTTCTAATAGGAAAATATAACCAAACAGCTTGAGATATTCAGAGTCTGTCTGAAATTTTGTTCTTGCTGTTATCCTGGGCTAATTAAAAATTTAGTATTAAAAAGGAAATGTCCTTATTAAGTTTCCTTTTGACATTCCATAAGAAATCCTAAGTACTCTACTTGGAAAAGACACTACTGATGTTCACAGTCAATGCATCAGGACACATATATTTGGACCAATCAGGAGACTTTTCACCGTGAATTTGATTGCACTGTTTTGCTGGTCAATCTAGTAGTGGATACATTAAGAAGGAAAGATTACAAGAGAAATATCACATGCAAATCATGTGTAACTCTTAGGAAGGTATACACAATCAGGCCGGTTGTGGTGCCTCACTCCTGTAATCCCAGCACTTTGGGAGGCCGAGGCAGGTGGATCACTTGAGGTCAGGAGTTCAAGACCAGCCTGGCCAACATGGTGAAACCCCATCTCTACTAAAAATACAAAAATCAGTCAGGTGTCGTGGTGGGCACCTGTAATCCCAGCTACTTGGGAGAGGTTGTAGTGAACTGAGATCACACCACTGCACTCCAGCCTGGGTGACAGAGCGAGACTCTATCTAAAAAAAAAAAAAAAAAAAAAAAGTATACACAATCAAACTTGCTCTAAGTTTTTGTCTTTTTTGTTGGCTTCCAAACAGAGTATGGAGGGAGGGAGGGCAGGGAACTAACCTGATGAATTTCTTCTATGTTCTGGTCTTAGTGCTTGGAGGCTAAGTGCTTGTGGTCTTCATACAGTCATTTTATTTAATTTTCCCACATTCTACTTCGTTGGGTTATTTATTTATTTATTTTGCATATAAAAAGAAACAGATATGAAGAGGTTAAATATCTTACCCAAAGTCACCCAGCTTACAAACGACCAAGAATTATTTTGTTTGTTTGTATGGTTATTTTTTGAGACAGAGTCTTGCTCTGTCACCCAGGCTGGAGTGCAATGGCACGATCTCAGCTCACTGAAACCTCTGACTCAGGGAATCAAGTGATTCTCCTGCCTCAGCCCTCCGAGTAACTGGGACTACAGGCGCACGCCACCATGCCCAACTAATTTTTGTATTTTTAGTAGAGATAGGGTTTCACCATGTTGGCCAGGCTAGTCTCAAAATCCTGACCTCAGGTGATCTGCCCACCTCGGCCTCCCAAAGTGCTGGATGAGAGGTGTGAGCCACTGCACCTAACCAAGAACGTTTTAAAATAAGCCATCATCACAGCTTGTTTCCCCGCACCTTGGGTGCAGCACGTGTGTGCTATGGAACACTGTGGGAAAATGAGAGTTCCTCCTGAGGATTCCCATGAAGATCTTTTATACAGAAGGCATTTTTTTTTTCACAGATTGGGCAACCTGTCTTATTGAGCAAACAGCAGCAGCATCTGATGTTGAGTAATGTCTGGGAGAAGGGAGAATGTGACAGCTTCCTTAACATCATTACTAGAAGAGTTCTTAATTAACCTACCGATAAAGTCAATAATGGAGATCCCTGTTGTTTTAGAAATGAAGCCTATTTGATTACTTCTTCCTCTGGGACATTTTGGCCATTTGCGCTCCTGGAAGTTTGGTTCAGAATTCTAAGACTACCCTCTAGCCAACTGTACTTTTAAAATGGCCCTTTCTGGTGCTTCTATAGCTTACCAAACTTTTTGCATGTATTAATGCAGTCAACCTTTGTGACAATTTTAAGGCACACAAAAATATGTTAATTTTCCATATTAGTAAACAGAGATTCAGAGAATTTGAGCACCATGCATAGAAATACAAAAATATTAAAGACAATACGAGCACCTTGCACAGAATTGCACAAATGGTAGAGAGTAGAAGCAGGATTTGAATTGATGTCTTGGACCCCCATTCTGGTCCCCTTTCCTGTTCTTATCCACCAAATGCCTTGGGCTTCCAACTATGATAGAGGCTATTGGAATGTAGCCGCGGTGTTCTCTAGATACCATATCTAGCTTTCCAAGAAGAAACTGAGGGTGAGCAAACATCTTACGGTGCCAAGGTTCGCACAAGAGCTTGCTACATATCCACATCCTCATCATTCTTGAACCTTTCTTTACTCATAGCCAAGTTAAATGACTCTAAAGCTATTGGATGCTATTTTTTTCTATAAATGTTCAACAGAAAGACATGCTGGCTGTGAAACAGGAACTCAGATGTTTGCTTTTGAGTTTTCATCAGATGGTATCCAGGACCTTGGGAACACAGAATACTGTCTCATACTTTCCTACTTACCACATATTTGCTCCTTTCTATGTATTTGTCTATTAAGTCTATTTTATCAAGAAGGAACCAGAATCACGAAGCTAAGGACTAAGAGCTCCATCTCCACGTTGAAAAGTAGCTTTCCCATCAAATGGCAAATGCTTCCTCTCAAAGGTTGAATAGTACAGCACTTAAAAAAGACTTCCAGCTGGTTACATTTAAGGGACTGGAAAAAAGGCTGCTCCCAGAATATCTACTGGCTGGAACCCGTGATGTATTTTTGTTTGATATTGAATTGGAAACATTTTCTCTTGTGCTCTATTCCTGCCCCTCGAAATTGGGTCCTATGGCTCGCAGGCATGAAAGCCTCGGTGGCACCCAGAGCTGCCATAAAGGCTGCAGGAGCTCCCAGCCCTCATTATCGCGGCCGCGCTAAGAGGGTCTCCACTCAGACTCATGCCTGAGGATGTGCACACAGAACCAAAGGCTGTCTTCCAACATTATTTTGCAGTCACAAACTCTTTCCCAAGAAGAGGTTGTGAAAATGGGCAAGAGCAGGCCCTCTAGAGCAGGGGAAGCAGGTTCAAGTCTGTCTTCAATATCTCTTAGGATTTGTCACCTCTGATCACCCAGCATGCTGCAAGCTGTCCTGGGCTCCGTCACGTGGCCCTGTGTCTTCTCTTGAATGCCACCCCAACTACTCCGGGATCATTTTCTCCTTCGTCTCTCTCCCCTGCCAACCCCTGCTCCTCTTCCTTTACCACCCTCTCCTCCTCCTTCTCCTCCTCCTCTTTCTCCTTCCCCTCCTCTTCCTTCCTCTTCTCCCTGTCCTCCTCCTTCTCCTTCCCCCCTTCCTCTTCTCCTTCTCCTCTTCCTTCTCCTTCTCCCTCTTCTCCTCCTCCTTCCCCTCCTCCTCCTTCCTCTTCTCCCTCTCCTCCTTCTCCATCTCCTCCTTCTTCTCCTTACCCTTCTTCTCTTCTTCCTTCTCCTTCTCCTCCTCCTCCATCTTCCTCTCCTCTTTCTCTTCATTTTCTCCTCCTCCCTCTTCTGTTTCTCCTTCTCTCTCTCCCCTTTCTCTCTCCCTCTCCCTCTTCCTCTCCTCCTCTTTCTCCTTCTTTCTTCCCCTCCTCTTTCTCTTATTTTCCTGATGTTAGACTTTGTCAGGCTTTTAGTCTCTGCTTTTAAAATCTCTGCTTTTCTAAGTCTCCTCTTCTCAAAAACTATTGAAGTAGTTTTTGAGGAGTGCTCTGTTCCATCCCAAACATAACTCCTTCTCACAGTGTCTCATATTCAAAAGGTAAAACAAATAGAAATGTTCTGTGGTACAGTTTTGCTGTTAGATCTCCTTGCTGACTCATTTCTTCATGTGTATCTGAGCCTTACTTCGGCGGTAACCATAGTTATGTGTTTATCTGTGGAGATGACACCAAAATTGGAATGTCTCACCCTGACCTCCGGTGTCAGCTTCAATATGGAAAGTTAAGCCACCTCCTGAACATTCTGAATTCTTTGTCATGCTTTTACCATTCACCATCATTGAGGGAACAGTGGTAGTCATACATCTCACAGGAATTCCTTGCAACAAAGCAGGGATTAACTGGCTCTGATAGCAAACAAAGACTGGTGGTATCCAGTCAAGAAAGAAAAACTAAACATCTCTGGAGAAGGACCAAGATCTCAAATCACTTTCTCTAGAGCTGTCACAAACACAAATCCACCCCACACTGGCATCCACGGTTAAGGGATTTGATTTACTTGGGACCAGAGGATTAAGTGGCAGCAGCTCTTGTTATCAGGAAGATACCAGCGTGATAAATCAAGGAGGAAAACCTAAATGAGGCAGACAAAGCCAGAAGCAAGGTGCAGCCCTGGGGAAAAAAGACAACAAGAACTTGACAAAGTGTCCATTGAAGTTTAACTTGGTCTCAGAAATTACTTCTAGACCCAGTGCTGACCTGCAGTAGGAACATCAAATTCCAATGCGACGAAGAAAGTAAGTCAGGTGAACAGGGCCCTCAAAGTGTCAAAGAGATGTAGGGCTGTAGGTTGGGCCCTGGGACTAGCAGACCATGGAAAAGCCTCCTCCTCACTTGCAAGAAAGAGCTCCTGAAGAGCTTGATGTTTGTGTTCTCGGTAGTACAGAAATTAGACAAGGCTGAGTCTGTGAGATGCAGGCCTTTTGTGCCTTTGGCCAAGGAAGGCAGGGACAGGGTTCAGGGTGAGCAATGGCTGATGGAAGTCTCACCTGCTTGAACTGGACGTCTTTCTCCAATACTCCTCCCATGTTTATAAGTCTCTGCTGCTATTTTCTCAGACATCGCATCTGAAAGCTTTGCTAGATTTGACTTTTTCCACCTTTCACTCTGTCTTATCTATGCCATTATTAAGTCCTAATTAGACCTGTGTTTGATCATTAGTGACATTTTCATTATTTTCAAGAATTGGTAGCCATGTTGGTTAAGCAGTTTCCATTTCAATGAATCCATTATCCACCCCAGTTTCTCCCCATCGGTCTATCCTGCATGGTACCAGAATCATTTTTCAAAAATCTAAAAATCCTTATTTTTTAATCATACCATTCCCCTCTTCAACAGTTCTCAAGGACCTGACATTATCTACAGAATAAAGTGTAAATCCTCTAATTTAGCATGGAACCATTGCATGATCTGGTCCCAGCCTATTTTTTTTCTCACCTTACCTTTTACTCAGTCTTAACGAAACTGTCTCCATGGAGACAAGACTACCTCTTGTACCAACTCCTGCTAGCTTTCTTCTTGCAGCCTCTGCCCATGTTGCTCCCATTGCTTGGACGGTGTTCCCCACCTTTCCTCTCCCTCATCACTGCGCCCACCAGCCTGGCTTCACTTGTTAAAATCCTGCTCAATTACAAAAAAGAGCTAATGCATGCTGGGCTTAAAACCTAGGTGATGGGTTGTTAGGTGCAGCAAACTGCCACAGCACATGTTTACCTATGTAACAAACCTGTACATCCTGCACATGTACCCTGGAATTAAAAAATAAAATAAAATAAAAGGCCAGGTGCAGTGGCTCATGCCCATAATCCCAGCACTTTCGGAGGCCGAGGTGGGAGGATCACTTGAGGTCAGGAGTTCAAGACCAGCGGATGGAGAAACCCCATCTCTACTCAAAAAAATACAAAATTAGCCAGGTGTGGTGGCACATGCCTGTAATCCCAGCTACTTGGGAGGCTGAGGCAGGAGAATTGCTTGAACCTCGGAGGTGGAGGTTGTGGTGAGCCGAGATCATGCCATTGCACTCCAGCCCAGACAACAAGACCGAAACTCTGTCTCAAAAATAAAATAAAACAAAAATAAAAAGTAAAATCCCGTTCAACTCTTCTCTCAACTTCCTTTGAATCTCAGCCCTCCAGGAATTTTCTTAGTATTTCCCGCCTATTCCACTATTTTGGTGTTTTTTGTTTGTTTGTTTTGTTTTTTAATATAGCTACTCCTCTAGTTAGTTATTGTTAAATGTTTTTCCCGCTACATTCTAGTAGATAAGTACCACTGGGGATACTACCTCGTGTTTATTGATTTTTACCAGAGCACCTAGCTCCCTGGTAGGTGTTCAACTTTTTTCAATGAATAAATGTTTTTCTTTTTAACACTGAGGTCTGCAAACTGTCATGGCTGCTATTCCACTTAATGCATTCAATGCAGTGATCAGTTCTACTTTTCTAATACATAGAACCTACTTTGAGCTGCATTCCCTCTAGTGGGAATGGGTTAGTATGGAGCCATTTACATTCATTCATGAGGTTTCCCCTGTGACCAATAAAGGGGATTTGCATGATAGCATCCCAAGGTCATAACTTCTGAAAAGATTTTTGCTTCTATAGAGCTAGCTGAATATAATGGACTTTGAACCCACAACCTTGGCCTTTTTAACAGAATGAATTTAACCCTCAGAGGGACATGGGTCCTGACTGACTTCAGTTTGGTTCAGTTCTTTTCATTGTAAATGATTCCAATTTCAGACATGCCCACAGATATACTCATTACGGGAGACATCCCTTCTCTCCTCCTACCCCATCCCTGTATTATTACGTTCCACTTAACAGTTGAGCCTCAAGCCTCCTATAGACCCTTGAGGGTACAGGGCTAAGGCTGGGCCATGAACACCCAATGGCAGCAAAATCTTTGAGGAAGGGAAATGAATAACGCTTTTTTCTCTGTTTTAGTTTTGAGCAAATTCAGCAGTTAGGCAAATAGAAATAGCTGCCAAATATAACCATTTTACTGGTAAAGTCTATATGGAAATACATGATTTTTATATATGGGCAGTTGTCTTCTTTTTTTGAGATGGAGTCTCACTCTGTCACCCAGGCTGGAGTGCAGTGGTGTGACCTCTGCTCACTGCAACCTCCACCTCCCAGGTTCAAGCAATTCTCCTGCCAGAAGTTCACTTCACCATGTGCCAAGCTAATTTCTTGTATTTTTGGTAGAGACCAGGTTTCACCATGTTGGCCAGGCTGGTCTCAAACTCCTGACCTCAGATGATCTAGCCACTTCAGCCTCCCAAAGTGCTGGGATTACAGGCGTGAGCCATTGCCCCCAGCCTAGGCAGACTTTCATGCCTGTTAAGTGCCAGGACCAGACTGGACTAGGGTAGCCCTCAGTGCCTGAGCCGTATCCGATGCCTTGCTACGACAGAGGCCATCCTTGGAGGTGAACTGTGGAATATGGGAGGAGATGAAGCAAGCAAGGTGGTTCCTTTTCCCCAAATTTCCCAATCAAATTAGCCACTCCACTTTCCCTACAAGAGAGGAAGTGAAGGAGCAGGAATGTTTTACTCCCTGAGCTTTCCTACCTGGGAGGAAACATCGGAAGTGGGAAGGAAACCCCACACTCCACAACAACGGATACCCTTATGCCAGACCTGAACTGAAAGCGTCCACCCATCTTATCCCCACTGAAGTTCAGAACACTTCCAAGTCACTTTTTTCTCATCTCTCCAGCAATCAGTTATTCACCTAATTAAGGTCAGAGCAATATTTAATTTAGGACTGGAAGTTTCAAGAGAACATGTATGCTAGATTCAAAAACAGGGTCTGGATAAAAACATGAGTAATTCAACAGCTCCATTCCAACTTCTGGAAAGAAGCTTATGCAAACATGACAATAGCTCAGTGAGGTCACTTGGAGTTTGAGCCACACAGCAGAACCGCACACGTGTGAGAAGCAGCTGGAGGTCTGAGAGCACTAATTCTGAGGGGCTGGTGCTATGGCATCTTGCTAAGTCTGCTCCAAGCTGTGGCTTGGAATTTTCTTTTTCTTTCTTTTCTTTTTTTTTCTTTTTTTTTTTTTTTTTAGATAGGGTTTTGCCCTGTCACCCAGGCTGCAGTGTAGTGGTGTAATCATAGCTTACTGCAGCCTTAACCTCCCAGGTTCAAGCAGTCCTCCCACCTAAGACTCCTGAGTAGCTGGGACTGCAGGTGTGCACCACCATGCCCAGCTAGTTTTATAATTATTTGTGTGTGTGTGTGTGTGTGTGTAGAGATGGGGGTCTCACTATGTCTCCTGGATTGGTCTCCAATTCCTGGCCTCAAACAATCCTCCCACCTCAGTTTCCCAAAGTGCTGGAATTACAGGTATGAACCACTGCACTCGATCTTTTTTTTTTTTTTGAGGCTGGAGTTGCAGTAGTGCAATTATGGCTCACTGAAGCCTTGAACTCCTGGGCTCAAGCAATCCTCCCACCACAGCCAGCTGTGCAGCTGGGACGCATACCACCATACCCAGCTAGTGTTTGTTGTTGTTGTTGTTGTTGTTTCTTTCCTTTTCTTTTTTTTTTTTTTTGAGATGGAGCTTCCCTCTTGTTGCCCAGGCTGGAGGGCTGGAGTGCAATGGCATGATCTCAGCTCACTGCAGCCTTCACCTCCTAGGTTCAGGTGATTCTCTCACCTCAACCTCCTGAGTAGCTGAGATTACAGGCGCCTGCCACCATGTCTGGCTAATTTTTTGTATTTTTAGTAGAAACGGGGTTTCACCATGTTTGCCAGGCTGGTCTTGAACTATACTTTTTTGTAGAGACAGGATCTCCTTGCCTCAAGCAATCCTCCCACCTTAACTTCTCAATGTGGTAGGATTATAGGCATGAGCCACGGTACCTGGCCTAAGCAAGGATATTAAATTGATCTAAAGGCTAAACTTTCCCAAATTAATTGCAAAACATAGGAAATGGAGCACCTATTCATTTCTTATCAAATCTGTATTTGTTTGTTTTCAATTATCTGTGTGTCTATATGTTCTGGGACTGATGTGCAGCTTCCTATTCCTAGAGATTGAACCCCTTCTAGGTGCCAGTCACTGTGCTGGGACTTATGTATATTAACTCATTCAATCCTTACAAGAAAAGTTTTGAAATATGAGGAAAACAGTTCCCAAGATAGCAACATTAAAGAATGTCCTCCAGGTCACAGAGCCAATACGCATTTGAGCTAGGATTTGAGGCAAGGTCTTAGTGGTTTCCAAACCCATTTTTTCCCACCATGTTAGATCAAAAAACCCAGAGTCTAACAGAAAGAGGTTGGCCATTTGAGTCCCACCTTGCTGTGAATGCAATGAATAACCCAGGGTGCACTACTGCCTGCTCCAGTCCTGTGTCCTTATCTGTAAAGTGTCTGTCACTCTGGGCTGTTGCAAAGACTAAAGGAAACCCCTTGTGAGGAAGCATCATGTCGACTGTAAGGAAGCCCAGGAGGGAGCAGGACTCTGCTCCAGGAGACTGAATCTGCAGGGCTCTGACCTGGGCTCCCTAATGGTCTGTTCTCTCACTCCTGTGTGACCCCAGCTCCTTCTAGCTCCTCATTCTCTCTCTTTCTCCTCCCAGTGTTGGCCAAGCAGGTGGGGACAGACGTTTGACATAGGCTTGACCTGTAGAGACAGAGCTTGAAGGCAAAGACCTTTTTGTGTGTGTGTGTAGAGGTGGGGGTCTCACTATGTCTCACTGATTTCGCTTTTCTTTGGAGCATGTGCAATGTGGGTGGAGGGAGGTCAGCGGAGGAAATGACTCAGGGAGATACGATACCTGGGGTGATGAATTCACTCCCCTCATGTGGATAAATCAAACACAAAACCACTCCTGACTCGGGTGTTGGTCAAGTTAATCCCACGCTTGCCTTTCTCTTGGTTTGTGGATGCATTTCCTTGGATTAATTCCTTTTCCAGTTGAGTCTCTAATAACATGTTTCTGATCTTAAAAGCCCAGGAGAAAAATAATTCCCTTCAAAGGGAAAAAAGAATCACGTGCAATAATAAGTATAAAATGCCAGGAAATTCAACAACAAAGTGCCTACCAAAAAGAGCCAGGAAATAAACATTATCCAGGGAGAGACTGGTGACCCCCCTGAGAGGAGGCCAAGGCACTGAATATGATACAAGAGGGGTTGTAGGGCAGATGGCATGGGAGTTCCCAGGAGGATGGGCTAAACTGCAAAGACAAGGCTATGGCTTGGAAACCTCAAAGTGAGAAAGCTCTTAAATACCCGAAGGTGACTTCCCTGCCTACTTGGTGGGAGGAGGGCTGTGAGTCCATAATAAACTGGTGTTTTAATTTACAAAATGAAATATTTATCATTGTGCATTTTGTGCGATATTCCTTGCACCCCTGAGTTTGAGAACTGAAAACCAGAAGAGAGACTCACAGTGATTTTAAAATAGAAATCGATCTATATGAAAATAGTTGCATTTTCCAATATGGGAAGAACAACTATCTTTACATTAATAAAGGGTAGGATAGAACTAAATTGCTTTAAGACTGAAAATTCTCAAATATGGGTTAGAAGCAAAGCAGGTACTGGGTGCAGCTGTTGGACTTTCTTCCAGGATTTTCAGATGTTTTATTTGTTTAGCATGAACAAATTCTGCCGAGGAAATAGGTTCACTCAGTGTTTTCTAACCCCAGACTCAGGCAGCATAATGGACTAAAAAGGCCTCTGAGATGCAGAAAAGAGACCTGGGCTCAATGAGAAGCTCTGACTGAAGGGCCTGTGTCCAGACACTGGGGCCACATTTCCCCATCAGCACATGAGAAGTTTGGATTAATTCACTCTCAAGCAACTGTACCTTGAGGCAGGCCGAGGGTAGGGGTCACACCAGTGCAAGGAAAATGTTATCACTGGCATTGTTTAGAATTACCTATGCATGGGTAATAAAAAGCAGACTTTTATTCCTTTTTCTGTTGTTTTTAAGTACTTTTCAGATAATGCACCCATTTATTGTCCACAGTCGGGGAAGCTCAGACCATTCTCTCCATCCCAACTTTGTTCCCCGTGCACCCAGTTCCTGAAATCTATGGCTCTTCTTTTTCTCATCCACATCTAAAGGCACCTTCCATTCTTCTCCTGTTATTTTTCTGTAGGGCTGGGAATAATAACAAACCAGGACTGCATCAGGTTACCAGGAAGGAGATGATCTTGCAGATTGGCAGGGAAAAACGCAGGATGAGCCTGCCAAATCGTGAGTGTCACTGAAGGATGTAAAATACTCCATGACTTTGATAATGGGAAGAAATGGCTTGATGCGAACTCTAACTGCCAGCCCAGCAGAGGGAGTGACAGCTGATCCATTAGGCCTTCTAGTTTCCAGGCACGTAAGTTCTCATTGGTCCCCTGTGGCTTATTCAGAATCTGGCTTGAAGTATTAATTTGCAACCTGCTAAGAGCCTTGTGGACTTGGATAAATACAGATAAATACCAGTCAGCTCATTTAAAAATGCTCTTTCCCTTGTTTTGTTGATTTCCTTCCGGTGGGTATAGTATTTCAAAGAGCTCTGAAGTTGCTGTTTTCATTCCTTATGCATGACTTTTATTAGCCCTGCTGGCCACGAAAGCCCCTGGATGCTGAGAGGCAGCGACTTGAATTCTAGCTACAGAGGCTTCAGAGAATGGGGAGTGATGTGACCGAGGACAGAAACCCTCAGAAGTGGACAACCTCAAGTCAACTGCAACCCCCACTCATCTTTGCTATGACCCACCCTAGAGCTTAGAAACTATATGTGCAAGGCTCGCTGTTTACAGTGGGGAACAAGAAGAAGGATTGAAAAAGGGGCAGGAAAAATCAAAACCCACTCTCAACACTCTAACCTCCATTCTAGCTATTCATTTCTGCTTCCCTTTTAATCTTTTGGATAGTTCAACATTTTTGGTTTGGGAGTCTTATTCACCTTCCAGGTAAGCTTAACTCATCTCTCTGTTGTTCGATCCAAACTTCTTACCTTTTTTATTTTCCCCACAGTCCTGAAGTTAACTTCCCTTTAGCCATCCACCATCTCAGGGTCATATCAGGATTTCAAATCCCCATCACGTCCCTTGGCAGTGACCTCAGAGCCCAAGGCAAACTCACACACATGGAGAGGTTAGAGATCATTGCTGAGCCTGTGAAGCCAGGAGCGTATGGGTGAACTGGGGAATGTGAACAAGAGGGGATGAAGAATGGAGGATGGAAGATAAAGGAAACCATTTAGGAGACAGCATTGGCTCTTATCCTGTAAAAGAAGGCTGACCTAGAGTGGGGCCTTGGAGCACCAGGAAATTTCATGGGCTGAGGCTGAGCAAAGAATTATTATGTTCTCCAGGCTGGTGTGGTTTGGAGAACCAGCAGTTGTCGGGGAAGATTCTACAGGCAAAGTCTCTTTAAACAGGGTAGCATCCATATTTAATAAGTTTTTATTGAATTTCCATGAGGTGCAGGGCCCCATGCTGGGCACCATGTTGAACATGACAGACAAGGTCACTATTCTCATGGAGCTTACATTTCAGTGAAGAAGACAGACAATTTCACAAGCAGCTACAAATGTGACACATGTTACCGAACAGAAGATACCAAAGACTGTTGGAGCATCTAATGTTGGAAGAACATCTTGACCTTACCAGAAAAACAGTAATAAACTTCAGAATGTCTCACCAGTGAAAGCGTGGGTCCAATAACCAAAGGATTTGAACATCAACACATCACACAGTCTAACACTGCCAGAGGCCAGGATGGCTTTGACTAACAGATAGCCCTGTCTGGATTGGCCTTGTCCACATTCAAGGTGTTACCTGCATGGTATGCAATTTCTACCTAGGATACCTTGGCCTGATACCAGTATGTTCCCACTCCCAAGGTGCACTTGCATCTGATTCATCTCAGAGCAATATCCTCCTAAGGGTAGATGCTGCAGGAAATCAAACATCTACAAATAATTTTTTAAAAAATCAATATTAACCATGTTTGCAGTGTTATGTATTTTTGAACTAAGTGTTCCATTATTCCACATAGATTATTCAGAGAGGACAGAGTGATAACACTGTTGACTCTATTCTTTTCTTTTTTTTTTTTTAAGTATTTATTGATCATTCTTGGGTGTTTCTCGGAGAGGGGGATTTGGCAGGGTCATAGGACAATAGTGGAGGGAAGGTCAGCAGATAAACATGTGAACAAGGGTCTCTGGTTTTCCTAGGCAGAGGACCCTGCCGCCTTCCGCAGTGTTTGTGTCCCTGGGAACTTGAGATTAGGGAGTGGTGATGACTCTTAACGAGCATGCTGCCTTCAAGCATCTGTTTAACAAAGCACATCTTGCACTGCCCTTAATCCATTTAACCCTGAGTGGACACAGCGCATGTTTCAGAGAGCACAGGGGTTGGGGGTAAGGTTATAGATTAACAGCATCCCAAGGCAGAAAAATTTTTCCTAGTACAGAACAAAATGGAGTCTCCCATGTCTACTTCTTTCTACACGGACACAGCAATAATCTGATTTATCTTTCTTTTCTCCACATTTCCCCCTTTTCTATTTGACAAAACCGCCATCGTCATCATGGCCCGTTCTCAATGAGCTGTTAGGTACACCTCCCAGGCGGGGTGGCGGCCGGGCAGAGGGGCCCCTCACTTCCTAGACGGGGAGGCCGGGCAGAGGCGCCCCCCACCTCCCGGACAGGGCAGCTGCCAGGCAGAGACACTCCTCACTTCCCAGACGGGGCGGCTGCCAGGCAGAGGGACTCCTCACTTCTCAGACGGGGCGGCCGGGCAGAGACGCTCCTCACCTCCCAGACGGGGTGGCGGTCGGGCAGAGACACTCCTCAGTTCCCAGACAGGGTCGCGGCCGGGCAGAGGCGCTCCTCACATCCCAGATGGGGCGGCCGGGCAGAGGCGCTCCCCACATCTCAGACAATGGGCGGCCGGGCAGAGACGCTCCTCACTTCCTAGACGGGATGGAGGCTGGGAAGAGGCGCTCCTCACTTCCCAGACTGAGCGGCCGGGCAGAGGGGCTCCTCACATCCCAGACGATGGGCGGCCAGGCAGAGACGCTCCTCACTTCCCAGACAGGGTGGTGGCTGGGCAGAGGCTGCAATCTCGGCACTTTGGGAGGCCAAGGCAGGCGGCTGGGAGGTGGAGGTTGTAGCGAGCCGAGATCACACCACTGCACTCCAGCCTGGGCAATATTGAGCACTGAGTGAGGGAGACCCCGTCTGCAATCCCAGCACCTCGGGAGGCCGAGGCTGGCAGATCACTCCCGGTTAGGAGCTGGAGACCAGCCCAGCCAACACGGCGAAACCCCGTCTCCACTAAAAAAATACGAAAACCAGTCAGGCATGGCGGCGGGCGCCTGCCATCCCAGGCACTCGGCAGGCTGAGGCAGGAGAATCAGGCAGGGAGGTTGCAGTGAGCTGAGATCGCGGCAGTACAGTCCAGCCTCGGCTCGGCATCAGAGGGAGACCGTGGAGAGAGAGGGAGAGGGAGGCAGTGGAGGGAGAGGGAGATGAAGGAGAGGGAAATGAGGGAGAGGGAAATGGAGAGGGAGAGGGAGAGGGAGAGGGAGAGGGAGAGGGCGATTCTATTCTTTTCACAGAATCATATACTATCAGAGCTCCAGGGGTTTTTAGAAAGGATTTAGCCTGATGGTTCTCCTCTGGGTCAGGGTTTCTTCATCTCAGTGTCTGCCAAGATTGTTCAAAGTTCATACCCGTCTATGCTGTACCCCAATTCTGATACATTTGGGTTGGAGTTGGTGCAGGAGGCTCACATGCTATTTAGAATATGATCCCGCATAGATTCTGGTGCATTTTGTGAAGTTTCCCCCACCCCATGTACCCTGTCCTATAAGGAAAATCATTGACCTAATCCAGCTCCTCATTTTACAGACTGCCTAGAATCAAAGAGGCTAAGTGACACTGACACATTCTATTTAGTAGTAAAGCTGGAACCAGCACGCAAGCTCATCCTATTTTTATTGCCTTTCTATGCTGTTGCTTTGGAAGGCAGGTCTAGCCTTGAAGGCAGGCAAGGGAAAGTCATAATTAGAGGGTACTGCCCAGATGGTCCCAGTGGTGGAGCACTGGCCTTTTGTCATGAGTGAAAGACCCAAAGCAGATCCCTTACCATCACTGGGTCCTGGTGGGGTCTCCCTGCTGCAGGCACCCCGCAGGCTCTGCTGCAAGCTTGCTGTGTCCTGGGCCTGTTGCGGCTGCCACGTCTGCCCCTGCCAGGCCTACCTGCCTGCTGGTGATCCTCATTACACAGCCAATGCAGAACATGTTTCACTTCTCTGGAGTGGGCTGGACTCGGGTACAGTAAGCAAAGGACCCTCAGGGAGCCTCTGCTTCTCTTTTAGGGGCCCTTCAGTGCTAGAAACCCAAACTAGACATTAGGCCGGCCCTTGCTTGGGCACCAGGTCCTGCCAGGTCTGGCTGTGTGAGCAGGCAGAGGCCATAGGAGAAAGACCCAGAGATGCCAGGGATAAGGTTGCTAACTTTGCTGAAATTCGGTGTCAGTAATGGACCCCCTTTCTTTTGACCTCGCTTCAGGAGAAAAATGTCACAGACTGCAGAAGGGCCAGCAAATAGGCAGGGAAGAAGATCTGGAAACACTGTCATTATTTTCAATTCATGCACTAACTCAAAAACTCTGTATCTTAAAGGAGAAGATGTTTACCCACAGGAAGAAGTCTTAAACCTGACAGTGCAAATTCTTCAAAATAGGTTGATTTTCTTATCATTTCTAGTTACCATGACCCATCCATTCCACCCTTGGCTGGGTGTGGGGGTCACTGGCAGACAAAGAGCCTGTGTGAGTTCTCTGTAAACCCGAATTAAAGTGAAATCCAGAAGAGAGAGAGGCTAGGAACACAGCGGGAAGGCAAGAGGGGCTGGGGACAAACTTTGATCTATTTTGCAAAATTTTCCTCGGGCACTCCAGTGAAATTATTTCAAAAACGCTACCCTGGTCTGCTATGGAAGCAGGGGTTGGTCAGTAAACTATAGCCCAGAGGCCAAATCTGGCCCACTGACATTTTCTGTAGGCTAAGAAAGGCTTTTCCATTTTTAAAAGGTTGAAAAATATCAATAGAATAATAATATTTTGTGGCATGTGAAAATTATACGAAATCCAGATGTCAGTCTTCATAAATACAGTTGCATGGAGCACAGCTAGCTCAGCTATTTATGTGTTGAATATGGCTGCTTTCCTACTGTACAGGCCCAACTGAGCAGTTACAAAAGAAATGGTAGGACCCACCTAGCCTAATGTCATTACTATCTAAGCCCTTTAGAGCCAAAAGTTTGCTGGCCTTGTAGTTGGGGTTGTAGTGAAGAGGAGAGTCGTAATAGGAGGAGGGCTGTTCTCCATCGCCTAAGGTTGGCATTAAGGAAGTTTCCCTGGTAGAACACTTATACCCACTTCTACTTGTATGATTTATTCTCATCACTATTATCCTTTGTTCTGCCTGCTCCTCCCACCGGTGGGAGGAGGTCAGTTTTTCCTACTGAAAGAAAAGAGGAAGGGCGGCAGTTCTAATGCCCATAACTATAGGAAGATTAGGCACTTATTCGAAACAGCAGGAAACAGCTCAACCTTCACATGAGAAATTCTCTGCAGGCCAATGAATTTGAGAATTTGAATATATTCTGAACATTCAATACAAAACAGGAGGATGAGCATGCGGGACATTGATTGGCCAGTTAATTTAGCTCTGCCTTTCTCCACCTCTGACCTCCTCAGCAACCTCATTTCCCCAAAGGTCATCAGCCCTCTGGATTGGGCCCCTGTCACATGTGATTTGGACTGCATCCCACAAAGACAGTCAGCCCAGTTCTGGGGAAGAGGAGAGATGCACTTTGATTCTAACTCTCTACATGCCTTTGAGAAATAATGCTGTTCTTTGTAGAATGACAAATGGGTACATTATCTCATAAGAATCATATAAAGGGGCAGGGCGTGTTGGCTCACGCCTGTAATCCCAGGACTTTGGGAGGCTGAGGTGGGCAGGTCACCTGAGATCAGGAGTTTGAGACCAGCCTGGCCAACATGATGAAACCCCATCTCTACTGAAAATACAAAAATTAGCCAGGTGTGGTGGCAGGCACCTGTAATCCCAGTTACTTGGGAGGCTGAGGCAAAAGAAACGCTTGAACCTGGAAGGAAGAGGTTGCGATGAGCCAAGATCATGTCACTGCGCTCCAGCCTGGGTGACAGAGTGAGACTCTGTCTAAAAAAAAAAAAAAAAAAAAAAGAATCATATAAGGGAAGCATCATTAGTTTCATTTTACAGATGAGAAAGTTGGGTAGAGAGTCATTCAATCCACTGCCCACTTACCTAATGAGTGATGAAATCCAAATATACTCACCTCCAAAGACTGCGCTCTTTTTATGTTTTTTAAAAAAGTTATCTCTCTGTTCCTCAGTTTCCCTACCTGTAAAATAAGGAGATTGCACTAAATTCACTTCAAGACTCCACTAGCAAAATAAATTTTGTTGATCCTGAAGCCCCTAAAAATTCTATTGAGTCATTTTGTAAAGCATCAAGGTATATATTTTCTATAGACTGAAAGAAATCCACATAGGTCCTGCAGAAACAGCAGTGAGCCAGATAGACATTACTCCTGCCTTCATGGAACTAAAGTCCAGTCTAGGCTGGATTTCTCCCTATATGTTGGGCTTGGATTTCAGATAATTTTTTTTTTAATAGAGCGAAAAGAAGTATATTTGAAAGCAAGGTAAAACATTCATGGAAAAAAGAGATTATCCCAAATTTCTACTTCTCATTCTCACCAAAAATAGGTTCCAGGCTGTATATTTACTTAGCTTTCAACTGGGTATTACGCCAGGCAAGGTTTGCATCCTGCTGGGAGCAAAAAGTACTAGAGAGAAGGAAAGGAGGGTCAGAAAGGAACTAGGAAGCACCAGCACCACGCTCAGGGAGGAAGCTGACCTTGGAAAGTTGAGCCTACATAGGCTCATTCTGGTGAAGATAATCCCTTCATTCCAACACTGGTTTCACCCTTCCCTACCTTTCCACTGGAACAATCTTGGAAGTTGAAAAGACAAGTTAAGTTACCATTTTATCTGGAGATAAGAACATTGGCGAATGGTCTTGTACAGAGAAAAACATAGAGGAAGCTTTGAGATACAACTTGGCCATGTAGCCACAGAGGAGGCCTTCATGACTCCCTTCATGTTTCCCTTCTTGAGAGACAAGGAGCCTTTGTCAGCCAGCAGTCTAACAACCATGTTTCTCATGTGAAGCAATGATTTTTGCAGTACCTGAGGCCTTTTCAGTCTTTGATACTCTCCCACCTATGCACACATTCCTCAATTTGTTTCTTTTTCTGAAAATCAGTCCCTCTTTCTGAGCACTTCCTTCCTGAGAATCAAATGCCCAGTAATGGCCAATATGGAAATAGCTCCTGATTACAGACATGGGACACCCCCTTCATTGCAAAAAGTCCTACTGGACAGAGGAAGAGTCTAGATAAATGGGGCTGTCTTGCATCTTGCAATATTAAGAATATAATTAACAAGTGGTGTAGATAGGAAGACCCATGGTAGAGTCATACATGGAGGATTGTACTTTTCATTTTCTCTATCTTGTAAGAAGAAAATCATAGAATGTTTTAATATTATGGGAATAAATTCAATGTTTCATAGCCAGATAACTGCAGAGTATGAGCAGATGAATCTCACTCTAGAATAACATCATCCAGTAGGACTTTTTGCAATGATGGGGATGTCTCAGGTCTGCAATCAGGAGCTACTGAGCACTTCAAATGTGGCTAGTGCAAATTAGGAGGCTAAAGTTAAGTGTATTTAATTTAAATTAATTTATAGCTACACGTGGCTACTGGTTACTCTATTGAACAATACAGATCTAAAGGATACACACTAGACAAATAAATGCTAGGCACCAGATCTATGGCTAAAGCAAATTAAGTTAAATAAACTCATAATGTCAGTATATCCTGCTGCTTGAGATCAAACAGATAATTCAAACAGCAAGAACAGGGGAGCTAGGAAATTCTATTCGTTTTGAGGGCAAGCAATAGACCCTAATTGCTCTGGCCCCTATTTAGGGAGAAGGAGCAGTGAAAAGAAAATATGCATTGGGCCTAAGGATATATTTTTGATATAAAAGAGGAAACACATTGTATCATCTAGTACAGGACACACAAAAATATATTTTGAAAGCTGTTGCTTAAATTCTCAATCTTAAGAATGGGAACACTTTATAAAAGGAAAGTTGAAAGATTAGCTGTTGAGACACAAGTTGAGATGAAAAAAAACCTGAGAATCAGAAAGAGATATAAAAAGTTGTTAGGTAAAATAAGGAAAGATTATAGACAATTGAAATGCAATCATAGAACTGCAATCTGCTTTAGAAGTCCCCAAAGACAAAATCAATACTGCAAAAATCAAAGGAGTAATCTAGAGCAGGAGCCTTAAAAGTTCCACTTGACTGTAGATAAAAAGGCAAACATATGCAGACAACCAAAGTTAAGATGAATAAATGGAACAAAAGCAATAATAAAATATATAACCAGAAAAAAAGCATTTATAAATATAACATCAGACCCAAGGCACAGATTTTAAAAGGTCACTAAAAGGAAGTAAAATGAGTGAGAAGAAGCAAATAGCCAGGTGTGTGTGTATGTGCACGTGTGTGTGTGTGTGTGTGTGTGTGTGTGTATTTAGACAAGGTCTTGCTCTGTCACCCAGGTTGGAGTGTAGTAGTCCTGTCATACCTCACTGCAGCCTCAACATCCTGGGTTCGAGCAATCCTCCACCTTAGCCTCCTGAGTATCTGGTACTACAGGCACTCACCACCATGCCTGGCTAATATTTTAAATTTTTTTCTAGAGACGGAGTTTTGTTATGTTGTCCAGGCTGGTCTCAAACTCCTGGGCTCAAGATATCCTCCTGCCTCAGCCTCTCAAAGTGCTGGGATTACAGGCACGAGCCATTGTGCCCAGCCAAGCCAGACATATCTTAATACAAGTTTTGCATCTCAGTAGTCAGTCAAAAACTCCAAGAGTTTTCAGATAAACCTATCTCTCTTCTACCAAACCCAAAGAAAAAGTAGAGGAAATATGGCAGAAGAGCAAATGTCAATATTTCTGTATGGTGCCCCAGTGCCATACTCAATGGGCAATGCCTATGGGTAAAAGCACAGAGCTTGCTCTCATCTTCAATCTCTTACTGGTTATAAAGAACAGGATCTTTCTTAAAATGGTAAAGTTACTTTTAAAATAATAAGATAATAAGGTAACTAAAATACTAATATGTTTGAAAGGATGTCAATTTTTTTCTCAGTATTCAAAATTCCATCAATAAGATCATTTATTTCTTATTAAAATAAAGGACAGTATAGCCTCACCAGCATTTTTTTTTCACAGACTATGCAAGGTAATCACATCTTGAACCCTTCATAAAACTACATTTTTAACAATATTCACAAATTGGTCTAAAATGGGCTATCATTTTTCATATTTGTATCTTTTATGGTGGCTAAAACTGTTAAACTTTTATGTAATGTGATAAAATTAGATCAGAAAATTGTTCAGGTCAAATCTTTCATTTTATATCTTGCTTAGAATCTGGACTGTGATTTGCACCAAGTAGGAACTTAATAATAATTTTAATATCCCCTAAAACTTTCATTTTCCAAGTAATGATGCACTGCCTGACATTAGATTTTGTTTATTTTTAAGCATCTCTTTTCTGGAGAATCTTCTGAATTTGTAAGTTCAAGTACAGCAGCTCCCTGGGAATAACAGTAATTGCTCAGCACTGATTTAAACTATTTCCATGATTTTTCCTATTCTCTTTCATCTTACAGACCCTACATCTTAAACCTCAGTCCATGGTAATGAGCAGAGCCAGGCCTGGGCAGTTCTTCCCAAGACCACTTATTTATACCAATGCAAAGTGGGGAAGAACAAGTTATTCTGCCCGGGCTGTCCACAGTCAGCTTCTCCTCTCATCCCCATGAAGACAAGCTGCCTGTTGTGTGAGACGAGCAGAGCAGACTAGTGATGAAGAAAGGTCGAGAAGGTGCAGGCCCAGTTTCCTGGGCCCTACCTAGAATTTCTTCTTTTCAGTCCTGAAGCCCATTGAGTTCTCTTTTTGGTTCTGCTGAATTCTATAACTGCCACCTGCTACTAAAAGAGACCTGGTTAATAATTACAAAAATAAATAAAATTGAAAAAATCATACATAAATGTAGATTTTAAGCTTATCGTTTGTTAGAAACAGGTGCCTATTATTACAATTACTTAATTTGCCATTGAAATCTATTCTCCTAAGCAGCTACCAATAACCTTTTATATTGTTTTATAATTGTCCGTTTGTATGCACTTATCTCTTGGTAATCTATTTCTGTGTAACAAACTATTCCAAAATGGAGTGGCTTAACATAGACATTTTATTCTTTCTCACAATGAAATGGATCAGGAAATCAGGCAGGGCTTGCCGAGAGAATCCTTTGCTCCATGTGGGGTCCACTGGCTCACTTGTGGTATTCAGCTGGTGATAGGTCTATCTGGCAAGTTCAGGCAGTTTCACTCACATTTCTGCACTTAGTGGGGAGGGCTGGGAGGCTGTGTTCTGCTGGGAGCCTCTTCCTTTTTATGCAGCTTCACAGTCTCTCTATGGTCTCTCCAACAGAGTGGTCAGACTTATTATTTGTGGCTCAGAGTTCTGTCAAAGAAAGGCACTTGGAATTGCCAATCTATAAGGCCTGAAACTGGCACCATATCACATCTGCCATGTTCTAGTGGTCAAAGCCTCAAAAAGAGGGGACACCAATCCCACCTATTGGTGGGAGGAATGTCAATGAATCCATGACCATGTTTTCTGCACTGTACACAGTATTTTGTGAGCATCTTGAAAGCAAGAAATATGCCTTATTGATCTTTGCATTCCCACGTCAAAAAATCCAGCCAGAAATACAGTGATGAAAGATGGAGAAGAAGGACACTCAGAATCTGGATTCTTGGGTTATCTTTTTTTTAAGAGACAGAGTCTCACTCTGTCTCCCACACTGGAGTGCAGTGGCACCATCATAGCTCACTGCAGCCTCAAACTCCTGGGCTCAAGCAATCTTCCTGCCTGAGCCTCCCAAGTAGCTGGAAATTCAGCTATGCAAGAATCTGGATTTTTTAAGACATCCTTGAGCAGCTCTACTATTCCTCGATTACTCACCTCTCAACTTCTTGCTACATGAAAAAAAAAAAAACTATGTGTTTAAAATATTGTTAATACAATATCAGACTGGACTTATACTTCTCTTGTTTATCAGATCTCAGAACACAATTCAGCAATGTTCACATTAGGGTTTTCTTGAAAGGGAATAAGAGGATGAGACAATTTTGACCTAAATCATACTGATTTCTTAAATTCAGATAAGATAAAATTAAATGATACTCAATTTTCTAACTTTAAAATTTAAGAACTATAGTTTTAAATATATTCTTCAAAAAACTTAAAGATAACCATTAAACAATTGAAATTTTATTTAAATTACAGATTTCTAGAGAAAAAAAGAAGAAACATAGTGCCTATAACAGAGTACAAAAGAAAAGGAAGGTAACACGTAAAAACACAAAGCAAAATGACTTCAGACTAAATGTTCTAGGAATGCCAAAGCCTATAACAGCTTAGTTTTTCTGGTAAATGACAAAGACTCTCAGCAAGGATTAAAACAAAAACGAAAACACAATGAAACCAAGTAATATACTTTTACAGGGGACACATCTAAAATAAAATGACACAGGAAGCTAAAAGTTGGGGAAACTGAGAAAAGATAAATCAAAGTAAAATTTAATAAAAGAAGGATGGGGTCATCTTAATAATGGAAAATAAGGCATAAAGTATTAATCGAAGCAGAAGTTTAGTTCATAATGTTAGAAATATTATTCATGGCCAGGCGCGGTGGCTCATGCCTGTAATCCTAGCACTTTGGGAGGATGAGGCGGGTGGATCATGAGGTCAAGAGATCGAGACCATCCTGGCCAACATGGTGAAACCCCATCTCTACTAAAAATAAAAAAATTGGCTGGGTGTGATGGCATGCACCTGTAGTCCCAGCTACTCAGGAGGCTGAGGCAGAGGTTGCAGTGAGCCGAGATCACGTCACTGCACTTCAGCCTGGTGACAGAGTGAGACTCCGTCTCAAAAAAAAAAAAAAAAAAGAAAAAGAAAAAGAAATATTATTCATAACATACATATAATAGTTGTGACACTTATGACCGAATCATTCTGAAATACTTTTGGTGAGAATATAATGGTACTAAGCACTTTTTACAAATACTATTTGATGGAATCCTCACAACTGTATTTTTTAAATTATTATACTTTAAGTTCTGGGATACATGTGCAGAAGGTGAAGGTTTGTTACATAGGTATACTTGTGCCATGGTGATTTGCTGCACCCATCAACCCGTCATCTACATTAGGTATTTCTCCTAATGCTATCCCTCTCCTTGCCCCCTACCCCCCGACAGGCCCTTGTGTGTGATATTCCCTTCCCTGTACCCATGTGTTCTCATTGTTCAACGCCCACTTATAAGTGAGAACATGCAGTGTTTGGTTTTCTGTTCCCGTGTTAGTTTGCTGAGAATGATGGTTTCCAGCTTCATCCATGTCCCTGCAAAGGACATGAACTCATTGTTTTTTATGGCTGCATAGTATTCTATGGTGTATATGTGCCACATTTTCTGTATCCAGTGTAACACTGATGGGCATTTGGGTTGGTTCCAAGTCTTTGCTATTGTGAATAGTGCTGCAATAAATATATGTGTGCATGTGTCTTCATAGTAGAATGATTTATAATCCTTTGGGTATATACCCAGTAATGGGATTGCTGGGTCAAATACTATTTCTAGTTCTAGATCCTTGAGGAATCGCCACACTGTCTTCCACAATGACTGAACTAATTTACACCCCCACCAACAGTGTAAAAGCGTTCCTATTTCCCCACATCCTCTCCAACATCTGTTGCTTCCTGACTTTTTAATGATTGCCATTCTAACTGGCGTGAGATGGTATCTCATTGTGGTTTTGATTTGCAATTCTCTAATGACCATGGATGATGAGCTTTTTTTTTCATACGTTTGTTGTTTGCATAAGAAATGTCTTCTTTTGAGAAGTATCTGTTCATATCCTTTGCCAACTTTTTGATGAGGTTGTTTGATTTTTTATTGTATATTTGTTCAAGTTTCTTGTAGATTCTGGATATTAGCCCTTTGTCAAATGGATAGATTGCAAAAAATTTCTCCCATTTTGTAGGTTGCCTGTTCACTCTGATGATAGTTTCTTTTGCTGTGCAGAAGCTCTTTAGTTTAATTAGATCCCATTTGTCAATTTTGGCTTCTGTTGCAATTGCTTTTTGTGTTTTAGTCATAAAGTCTTTGCCCATGCCTATGTCCTGAATGGTATTGCCTAGGTTTTCCTCTAGGGTTTTTATGGTTTTAGATCTTATGTTTCAATCTTTAATCCATCTTGAGTTAATTTTTGTATAGGTATAAGGCAGGGGTCCAGTTTCAGTTTTCTGCCTATGGCTAGCCAGTTTTCCCAACACCATTTATTAAATAGGGAATCCTTTCCCCGTTGCTTGTTTTTGTCAGGTTTGTCAAAGATCAGATGGTTGTAGATGTGTGGTGTTATTTCTGAGGCCTCTGTTCTGTTCCATTGCTCTATATGCCTGTTTTGGTACCAGTACTATGCTGTTTTGGTTACTGTAGCCTTGTAGTGTAGTTTGAAGTCAGGTAGCATGATGCCTCCAGCTTTGTTCTTATATGGGCTTTTTTTTGGTTCCATATGAAATTTAAAGTAGTTTCTTCTAATTCTGTGAAGAAAGTCAATGGTAGCTTGATGGGAATAGCATTGAATCTACATATTACTTTGGGTGGTGCGACCATTTTCACAATATTGATTCTTCCTATCTATGAGCATCAAATATTTTTCCATTTGTTTCTGTCCTCTCTTATTTCCTTGAGCAGTGGTTTATACTTCTCCTTGCACATCCCTTGTAAGCTGTATTTCTAGGCATTTTATTCTCTTTGTAGAAACTGTGAATGAGAGTTCACTCATGATTTGGCCCTCTGTCTATTATTGGTGTATAGGAATGCTTGTGATTTTTACACATTGATTTTGTATCCTGAGACTTTGCTGAAGTTGCTTATCAGCTTAAGGAGTTTTTGGGCTAAGACAATGGGGTTTTCTAAATATACAACCATGTCATCGGCAAAAAGACATAATTTGACTTCCTCTTTTCCTAATTGAATACGCTTTTTTTCTTTCTCTTGCATGATTGCCCTGGCCAGAACTTCCAATACTATGTTGAATAGGAGTGATGAGAGAGGGCATCCTTGTCTTGTGCCGGTTTTCAAACACAATGCTTCCAGGTTTGCCCATTCAGCATGATATTGGCCATGGGTTTGTCATAAATAGCTCTTATTATTTTGAGATATGTTCCATCAACACCTAGTTTACTGAGTGTTTTTCGCATGAAGGGGTGTTGAATTCTATCAAAGGCCTTTTCTGCATCTATTGAGATAATCATGTGGTTTTTGCCATTGGTTCTGTTTATGTGATGGATTACATTTATTGATTTGTGTATGTTGAACCAGTCTTGCATCCCAGGAATGAAGCTGACTTGATCATGGTGGATAAGCTTTTTAATGTGCTGCTGGATTCAGTTTGCCAGTATTTCATTGAGGATTTTCATATCAATGTTCATCAGGGATATTGGCCTGAAATTTTCTTTTTTTGTTGTGTTTCTGCCAGGTTTGGTATCAGGATGATGCCGACCTCATAAAATGAGTTATGGAGGAGTCCCTCTTTTTCTATCTTTTGGAATCGTTTAAGAAGGAATGGTACCACCTCCTCTTTTTACCTCTGGTAGAATTCAGCTGTGAATCCTTCTGGTCCTGGGCTTTTCTTGGTTGGTAGACTATTAATTACTGCGTCAATTTCAGAACTTGTTTTTGGTCTATTCAGGGATTAGACTTCTTCCTGATTTAGTCTTGGGAGGGTGTATGTTTCCAGGAATTTATTCATTTCTTCTAGATTTTCTAGTTTATTTGCATAGAGGTGTTTATAATATTCTCTGATGGTAGTTTGTATTTCTGTGGGATCAGTGGTGATCTCACCTTTATCATTTTTTATTGTGTCTATTTGATTCTTCTCTCTTTTCTTCTTTGTTTGTCTGGCTAGTGGTCTATCTATTTTATTAACAGTTTCAAAAAACCAGCTCCTGGAGTCATTGATTTTTTGAAGTGGTTTTTCATGTCTCTATCTCCTTCAGTTCTGCTTGATCCTAGTTATTTCTTATCTTCTGCTAGCTTTTGAATTTGTTTGCTCTTGCTTCTCTAGTTCTTTTAATTGTGATGTTAGGGTGTTGATTTTAGATCTTTCCCACTTTCTCTTGTGGGCATTTAGTGCTATAAATTTCCCTCTAAACACTGCTTTAGCTGTGTCCCAGAGATTCTGGTTGTGTCTTTGTTCTCATTGGCTTCAAAGAACTTATTTATTTCTGCCTTAATTTCATTTTTTTACCCAGTAGTCATTCAGGAGCAGGTTGTTCAGTTTCCATGTAGTTGTGTGGTTTTGAGTGAGTTTCTTAATCCTGAGTTCTAATTTGATTGCACTGTGGTCTGAGAGACAGTTTGTTATGATTTCCATTCTTTTGCATTTGATGAAGAGTGTTTTACTTTCAATTATGTGGTCGATCTTAGAATAAGTGCTATGTGGTGCTGAGAAGAATGTATATTCTGTTGATTTGGAGTGGAGAGTTCTGTAGATGTCTATTAGGTCTGCTTGGTCCAGAGCTGAGTTCAATTACTGGATATCCTTGTTAATTTTCTGTCTCATTGATCTGTCCAATATTGACAGTGGGATATTAAAGTCTCCCACTATTATTGTGTGGGAGTCTAAATCTCTTTGTAGGTCTATAAGAACTTGCTTTATGTATCTGGGTGCTCCTGTGTTGGGTGCATATATATTTGGGATAGTTAGCTCTTCTTGTTGCATTGATCCCTTTACCATTATGTAATGCCCTTCTTTGTCTTGTTAGATCTTTGTTGGTTTAACGTCTGTTTTAACAGAGACTAGGATTACAACCCCTGCTTTTTTATTTTTGCTTTCCATTTGCTTGGTAAATCTTCCTCCATCCCTTTATTTAGAGCCTATGTGTGTCTTTGCATGTGAGATGACTTTCCTGAATATGTGTGTCTTTGCATGTGAGATGAATTTCCTGAATACAGCACACTGATGGGTCTTGACTCTTTATCCAATTTGCCAGTCTGTGCCTTTTAATTGGGGGCATTTAGCCCATTTACATTTAAGGTTAATACTGTTATGTGTGAATTTGATCCTGTCATTATGATGCTAGCTGGTTATTTTGCCCATTAGTTGATGCAGTTTCTTCATAGTGTCAATGGTCTTTACATTTTGCTTTGTTTTTGCAGTGGCTGGTACCATTTTTTCCTTTCCATATTTAGTGCTTCCTTCAGGAGCTCTTGTAAGGCAGGCCTGGTGGTGACAAAATCCCTTAGCATTTGCTTGTCTTTGAAGGATTTTATTTCTCCTTCCCTTATGAAGCTTAGTTTGGCTGGAAATGAAATTCTGGCTTGAAAATTCTTTTCTTTAAGAATGTTGAATATTGGTCCCCACTTTCTTCTGGCTTGTAGGCTTTCTTCTTTTATTTATTTATTTTTTTGAGGTGGAGTCCCGCTCTGTCGTCCAGGCTGGAGTGCAGTGGCGTGATCTCGGCTCACTGCAAACTCTGCCTCCCAGGTTCACGCCATTCTCCTTCCTCAGCCTTCCTAGTAGCTGGGACTACAGGCGCCCGCCACCACACCCAGCTAATTTTTTACATTTTTAGTAGAGACAGGATTTCACCACATTAGCCAGGATGGTCTCGATCTCCTGACCTGGTGATCTGCCTGCCTCCGCCTCCCAAAGTGCTGAGATTACAGGTGTGAGCCACCACACCCAGCCCTGGCTTGTAGGTTTTCTGCAGAGAGATCCGCTGTTAGTCTGATGAGCTTCCCTTTGTGGGTAACCCAACCTTTCTCTCTGGCTGCCCTTAACATGTTTTTCCTTCATTTCAACCTTGGTGAATCTGATGATTATGTGTCTTGGGGTTGCTCTTCTCTAGGAGTATCTTTGTGGTGTTCTCTGTATTTCCTGAATTTGAATATTGGCCTGTCTTGCTAGGTTGGGGAAGTTCTCCTGGATAATATCTTGAAATGTGTTTTCCAACTTGATTCCTTTATCCCCGTCACTTTCAGGTACACCAATCAAATGTAGGTATGGTCTTTTCACACAGTCCCATATTTCTTGGAGGCTTTGTTTGTTCCTTTAGATTCTTTTTTCTCTAATCTTGTCTTCATGTTTTATTTCATTGAGTTGATCTGCAATCTCTGATATCCTTTCATCCACTTGATTGATTTGGCTGTTGTTACTTGCATATGTTTCATGAAGGTCTCGTTCTGTGTTTTTCAGCTCCATCAGTTCACTTATGTTCTTCACTAAACTGTTTATTCTAGTTAGCAATTCCTCTAACCTTTTATCAAGGTCCTTAGCTTTCTTGCATTGTCTTAGAACATGCTCCTTTAGCTTGAAGGAATTTGTTATTACCTACCTTATGAAGCCTATTTCTGTCCATTTGTTCAACTCATTCTTCATCCAGTTTTGTTCTCTTGCTGGCAAGGAGTTGTGATCTTTTGGAGGAGAAGAGGTATTCTGGTTTTTGGCATGAATTTTCAGCCTTTTTGCTCTGGTTTTTCCTCATCTTCGTGGATTTATCTTCCTTTGGTCTCTGCCGTTGGTGACCTTCGGATGGAGTTTTTGCATGGTCGTCCTTTTTGTTGATGTTGATGCTATTGCTTTCTGTTTGTTAGTTTTCCTTCTAACAGTCAGGCTCCTCTGCTGCAGGTCTGCTGGAGTTTGCTGGGGTTCCACTCCTGACCCTGTTTGCCTAGGTATCACCAGCGGAGGCAGCAGAACAGAAAAGATTGCTGCCTGCTCCTTCCTCTGGAAGCTTTGTCCCAGAGGGGCACCCACCAAATGTCAGCTGGAGTTCTCCTCTATGACGTGTCTGTTGACCCCTGCTGGGAGGTGTCTTCCCGTCAGGAGGCACAGGGGTCAGGGACCCACTTAAGGAGGCAGTCTGTCGCTTAGCAGAGCTCCAGTGCTGTGCTGGGAGATCTGCTGCTCTCTTCAGAGCCAGCAAGCAGGAACATTTAAGTCTGCTGAAGCTGCAGCTACAGCCGCCCCTTTCCCCAGGTGCTCTGTCCCAGGGAGATGGGAGTTTTATCTATAAGCCCCTGACTGGGGCTGCTGTCTTTCTTTCAGAGATGCCCTACCCAGAGAGGAGGACTCTAGAGAAGCAGTCTGGCTACAGAGGCTTTGTGGAGCTGTGGTGGGCTCTGCCTAGTCTGAACTTCCTAGTGGCTTTGTTTACACTGTGAGGGGAAAACTGCCTACTTAAGCCTCAGTGATGGCAGACTCTCCTCCCCCAACCAAGCTGGAGCCTCCCAGGTTGATTTCAGACTGCTGTGCTAGCAGTGAGAATTTCAAGTCAGTGGATCTTAGCTTGCTGGGCTCTGTGGGGATGGGATCTGCTGAGCTAGACCACTTGGCTCGCTGGCTTCAGCCTCCTTTCCAGGGGAGTGAACAGTTCTGTCTCACTGGTGTTCCAGGTGCCACTGGGGTATGAAAAAAACCTCCTGCAGCTAGCTCAGTGTCTGCCCAAATGGCTGCCCAGTTTTGAAACCCAGGGCCCTGGTGGCGTAGGCACCAGAGGGAAGCTCCTTGTCTGCAGGCTGTGAAGACTGTGGGAAAAGTGTAGTGTCTGGGCCAGTGTGCTCCATTCTTCATGGCACAATCCTTCACAGCTTCCCTTGGCTAGGGGATGGAGTTCCCTGACCCTTTGTGCTTCCTGGGCGAGGCAACGCCCCACCCTGCTTCAGCTTGTTCTCCATGGGCTGCACCCACTGTCTAACCAGTCCCAATGAGATAAGCCAGGTACCTCAGTTGGAAATGCAGAAATCACCCACCTTCTGCATTGATCTCACTGGGAGCTGCAGACTGGAGCTGTTCCTATTTGGCCATCTTGTCCAGGAATGGTTCCACAACTGTATTTTGAAAGAGGAATTATTATTCTTAAATTATAGATGAGGAAATAAGACATCTGGTCTTAGATCTTAGATGACTGCACAGAGGTGAAGCTTTGGAAATGCAAATGGCAGATAAGAAAAAGCATGGGCTGAGCTGGTGTCATTCTTTAAATTCTGTCAAAAAGAAAAGAATTGGCAGGAATAAAGTTAAGAGCTGGCCTTCGTTCAGATGGCTGTTAGGGAGAATTCCCTCCCTTCCTCCAAATTCCATGGTGGAATGGTAACAGAGATTCTCAGGATGCCCAGGAGACCCAGGATATGGTGTGGTGGAGGGCGGGGTTAGGCAGCTAGAGCTCAGCATATGCCCACAGGAAGAGTGTTTATGTGGGGAAGGAGGAATGGCTGGGAGTTGATGGAGGGGAATTGCTGTTCTAACCTCCTACCTTCTCACTGGTTCCAGGACAGGGCCCAGCTCTGTTCATGAGAACAATTCCAGGGATACTCAAGTAGCCAAGCACTGGCAGCATTCTGGGTACCTCCTAGTACCAGTTGGTGGGCTCCTGGCCCCAGCCAGGGCAGTGTGAGACAGCTTTGCACACTCTTTGAACAGCTAACAAATAGCTCAGGGCCAATTTTTTGCTGGGTACAACTCAGCTACTAAAACTTTCCTGCTTCCTGACTTTTAAATAGTAATTTGCAGAGGGATAAGTAGGGATACACACAAGAAAAAAGAGCGTCTGATGAGGTTGCCACCAAAATATGCAGTCTTTTGCTCATACAATGTAGCCCAGGCATGATCTTTGTTGGTTCTGTTAGTTGAATTGTTACATTTGAACTTAGTATTGAAGTGTTTCACAAATATCATAAAACTCAGCAGGCCCAATAAATACCAGAGGAGAAGGTGTGGAATACACCAACACAAAGGGATGTTTTATTAGGATTAAAAAAAGTTAACTCAGAAAAAATAATTAAAAGTGGATATTTTTGGCATGACAGATACTTCGTGTGCTTATGGAAATGAACCATTGGACTGTTGCAATGATTCTGGAGGTCAGAGAAAATTGTGCAACATGCAAAGCATGCAGTATGGCAGCAATGACCAGGAAAATTTATGAATAAGAAAAGGACCAAATGGAGCTCAGGAGATGGGTGGGAGTTTTTGCAGGACTCAGCGAAATGGAATGGCTACATTCCGTGAGCCCATGGTAGTACGTTGGTTGAAAGACAATGTGAATGGAATAGCTCACCTGTTACATTTCTAGGATCTTCAGTATTTTTACAGTGTGTACAAACTGCTGTACTTCATAAAAAGAAAGTCTGATATAATGTGCAGGTAAGCAAGAAGAAGTATCTACTGATATATTTGTGAAAGGGTACTCTCACCTTCTTTTGGAAATATAAACTGAGGTTGCCGGTTAAACCATCATTGGTTAAGGATAACAAACATTTTGGAGACTAGTATATTCTTTGGGGGTTTTTTTGTGGGGGAGGGGTGGGGAGGGCTTGGGTCATGAGTTCTCAAACCTTAGGGACACATAAAGCATTCTCGGGGCCTGACTCAGGTAGAGGGATGCTGAGCTGTGATATGAGCCCTTTGTCACCTAGACCCCAACTCGAGTTTGAGAAGAACCAAGTATCATATTTACAAAGTGAACTTACAACCCAGAGTCTGGCCCTAATCCTGCACTTGCAGCTGGGACTTCAGGCAAGTTATCTACCTTTCTTTGACTCCTTTTAGTCAGCTATAAAATGGTACACTCCAAGGACATCGGAATCTGAAGAGAGCAGTGATGTTGCAAGGGTCTGTCCTTAGAGAAGGACGTTTGGGGAGCTGGTTCCACTCTGGGCGCCCCTGTTCTAGGTGGGGCTTGCTTTTTCTATTTGGCTCAGCCTCTTGGCACTGCCAATAAAGTTATGACTTTGTTCTTTTTATTTTTTTTGTACATGCCTGTGAATAAGACTTTCGTTCTCTCTGATTCATTTTTAAGAGACTCTGACCAAATTCAATAGGCATGTCTTAGTTATGATTTTGTTAATTACTTCTTACCATCTATCACTTGCATTACACATCTGATGGCCTTCATATTTCCAAGACAGCAATTACTTCAACAAATGGGTGGAAATAACCAGTTTTCTCCTTCTGCCTCTCATAGAAGTCATTTTCACTCACTTTTAGAGGAGGATTAATGAGGTCTAACTAATTTTCTTTTGCCAAAGTTACTATGATTAGCAGACTTTCCTCATTGAAGGAGTCCATGGATGATCTATAGCTTTCTACAAATGTATGAAGAACAAACTCATTGTTCCAGCCCATAGAGTGATTTGATTTCATTTATTTCTCAAGATCTGAGGTGGATTTTTTCTGAAGGAAAAGGGTAGATATTCCAAAAGTGGTTTAAAACCTTTAGATCCTTCAGAGTATTGGCTGACTCATGTTGATGGCTTGAACCAGCCTGGCATATTTCATAAACTACCAGAGGAAATTAACATGACAAGTTATTTTTTGGTGAAGAGCAAGACACATTGGCCTTTAATCAAATAGACAGCACTTTCATCTATGTTTTTGAGAGCTTCACATTACTTTAGCACAGCCTCTCAGTACAATAAGCAAATTACATTTTTCTATGCACGTAAACTCGAATACCAATGATGTGATTAGCAATTGCACTTCTTTTATATGTATATATATATATATATATATATTTTATTATACTTTAAGTTCTAGGGTACATGTGCACAACGTGCAGGTTTGTTACATATGTATACATGTGCCATGTTGGTGTGCTGCACCCATTAACTCATCATTTACATTAGGTATATCTCCTAATGCTATCCCTCCCCACTCCCCACCACCCTACAACAGGCCCTGGTGTGTGTGTGATGTTCCTCTTCCTGTGTCCAAGTGTTCCCATTGTTCAATTCCCACCTATGAGTGAGAACATGTGGTGTTTGGTTTTTTGGCCTTGCGATAGATTGCTGAGAATGACGGTTTCCAGCTTCATCCATGTCCCTACAAAGGACATGAACTCATCATTTTTTATGGCTTCATAGTATTCCAAGCAACTGCACTTCTAATTAGAACTTTAAGTCTGTGACAAGCACGGGTTTCTCCTTAACCTAAGAGAACGTTTCTATACTGTATTTTTAGCTTCTGAAATGCATTGAAACTAAATCTGCAATAGTGTGACTTGTGCCCACAATATAGCCCTTCCTTTTGGTGTTAATTTGAGAGTAGATCAAAGAGCCTATGTTAACACCGTCAATGCAGAAAAATGACAAGTCTCAATCATTTTAGGACATTTATTTGCCAAAGTTAAGGAGGCACATCGGGGAGACAGGTCTATTCCTTTCTCCGAAGATGATTTTGAGGGCTCCAAATTTAAAGGGGAAATGTGTGGCATATGAAGTACAGAGTTTTCAGGTAGGAGGGGGTAGGGAAAAATAGTCCTTCCTGCCTTTGTCTGGCTTAGTGAATCTGCATTTTTTTTTTTTTTTTTTTTTTTGAGATGGAATCTCGCTCTGTTGCCCAGGCTGGAATGTAGTGGCGCGATCTCAGCTCACTGCAACTTCTGCCTCCTGGGTTCAAGCGTGAATTTGCATTTTTTTTTTTTTTTTACATAAGATACCATGAACAAAATGGGTCAGGGAAACAATCAGATATGTATTTGTGTCTGGTGGGCCAGGGCGACTGCACCTGCAAAGGTAAGCTATCAATTTCTATTACCATAGTAAAATTTTAATAGAAACAAATTAGGGCAAATATCTTGCAGCTCACTGGAATTTCCTTGTAGACAAAATATGGCGGAGGCATGCAGCTTTTCATCTTGTAGCCATCTTATTTAGGAACCAAAAGGGGGAGGCAGGTTTGGCCACCCAGTTCCCAGCTCAACTTTTCCCTTTGGCTTAATGAGTTTGGGGAGTTTTTTCACAACACTTACATGCAGCCTATATCCACCTGCCGCTCTTGGCTGCAGTCTCTGTTCCCCAAATTCTCTAAGCCAATATCTTGTGAGGGCATTATTCAGCAGCAGCTTCAGGCCCACTGAGCCAGATCCTGTATTACCCATATAATCCCTGCATCTCGGCAGCTGAATGCCATGGCTAACCTGACCATTCTGGCCATGATGGACTGGAACAGAAATCAGATATTTATCCTATCACAAGCAGCTATGGGTGGAGAAAACTGAAATAAAGTTAGAGTAGCAACCAACAATCAGGCAGAACTTTGTGGGTGCTTGGGGAGCTGATTCTGCTCTTGCTGCCCCTGTTCTAGGTTTGTCTACTTGGCTCTGCCTCTTGGCACCTCCAGTGAGGTGCTTTTTTCTGGATTCTGTTCTTTCTTCTGGCTTCTAACTCTCTGCCTCGTCACTGCATGTGTGCCCTCTCCTGGCTTTCACTCTTGCTCAGCACCTTCTCAGTCCAGGGATGGCAGGTTGTAGCCACCTGCTGCCTCCTCCAGATTCATCCAACTTGGGTCCTGTTTTTGATGCAGTCCCTAAAGCACCAGCTGAAAGCCAAGGCAAACCCCCGGCAGCTCACCTCCTGTCCTGACCAGCTCTTGATGTGTGTTTTACTCAGATGGCTACATTCTAGTCTCTCTCTTTCCAGCCTCTTGGCAACATTTGCCTGGCCATGTGGTCCTTTTCCCTTATCCACATTCAGATTGTGCTCCACTGGATGGGAACACTCCCAAATCCCACCAGAGTTTGCAAGCTTGTTTTGGAAATCACTCAATGGTCCTTCATGCAATTCTTGCTGTCATGAGTCCTTGCCGTTTGGTCAGTCTCCTTAGTTTCCGTCCAGATTCAGCTGTATGTTTGTTTCTGCTGATGTATGATGTTCAGGTCTCTGGGTATCTCACTTGGGAAGGCATTCAAGATGTGACAAGTCTCATTATTCCAAGGCAGTGCCTCATGGCAATAGATTTCCACTGAAGATTGGCAATGATCAGTAACCAGAAGGTTCCCTCAGCATCTCCTTTCCTGAAAGGTCTTGTTCAGAGAAAGTATGTACACTTGAGGCAGAAAGTTAACATCAAACAGAGTGAGTTGGCCAACCCTCTCAGTTTGTTTTGCAGAGAAGTCAGGGCTTGATTTGATGGTTTTTCTGATATATCCAGAGAATAGGTAGGAGGATGAGCTGGAATGACTGACCAAAACAAATACCTTATGGATCATCTCACACCAATCCTACGTTTGTTTGTTTTGTTTTGTTTTGTTTTTTGAGACGGAGTCTCGCTCTGTTGTTCAGGTTGGAGTGCAGTGGCACGATCTCTGCTCACTGCAACCTCTGCCTCCAAGGTTCAAGCAATTCTCCTGCCTCAGCCTCCAGAGCAGCTGGGACTACAGGCACATGCCACCACACCCAGCTAATTATTGTATTTTTAGTAGAGATGTGGTTTCACTATGTTAGCCAGGCTGGTCTTGAACTCCTGACCTCGTGATCCACCTGCCCCAGTCTCCCAAAATGTTGGGATTACAGGCGTGAGCCACCGTACCCGGCCCAATCCTACATTTTATAGACTAGAAAGGTAAGGCTTAGAGAAGGTCTTTCCCAGAGTCTCAGAGTTGGTGGCAGAAATGAAACTAGAACTCTGGTGCCTGAGCTTTTTGTAAACAATGGCGGGAGGTCAGGGGGATACCTTGAAGGTCACCTCCAGGCATCATGCAAACTGGTGGCCTGTCCCCCGTCTAGGTGACACAAGAAAGGTAAGTTTTCAACTTATCTTCTTTATATGAGTATCAAGTGGAATGTCTAAAGAAATGTCAGAAAACTCACACTTTTCCTTCTTCCTGAAGCCCTGGTTTTGCCTGAATTCTACTTTCCCATCCTCCTTCTGTTCCTATCCTCTCCCACCGCAATCTAGAACCTTTGCTGAGCTACAACAGTTTTGCAGAAGCCAGCCCTCTCCTCCCTGCCAGGAAGGGGCCAGTCCTCTCCCCTACCCAGGAAGTAGAACTCACATAGTGCCTTAATATCGGGAACATTATCATCATTTGATATGCCAATGTGACAATGGGCGGTTTGCCAATCTTGTCATTTTAGAAGCAAATTGGCTTAAGTAATTACCTAAAACATCCCCTTCCAAGGGATGTTTTTTACTCCACATAGGAGACAATATCTGTCATTTCCAACTGTGAGAAACAGAAAATATTTTCCCTACTAAGTGAAATGAGGGATGTTTTTGAGGCCTTTGTGGGCCCTCTGTTTAAATAAAGCTCTTTTTTAACATAAAAATTCAGTGCACACTCACAGGATCTCAGTGTTTTCAAATATTCAATTTAAACTCCCTGTTATTTACATTCTCCATCCTAACAACCATTATTATACCAGAGTTTTCCCTGCAGTGAGCATTCATCCATTGCGGGGCTGGTGTTATTACCGGAGCAATTCTCTTCACTGTGCTGTGTTCCAAAGCCCTATCCCCATTGTTCCCTTTGTCCCATCCAGCACCAAGTGGGTGTTCTCCACAACAGCAGACAAAGATTTCACATTTTTCAATAGTGGGTAGATTTAAATGGAATTGATCGGAAGGGACGGGAGCCTGGAAGCCACCCCGGCACTGTGCTCGGGGATGGAGAAGGCTCCATTTCCCTTGCCCTGCTCCCAATTGCAGCTTCTGATGTGAGAAGAGACAGCCCCAGCCTCTTCTCTTTCTCATACAGACATTTGTTAGCATGCCTCCAACCAGGCTAAGGGATGCTGCCTCATTTTTCAAAGAACTCTCTGGCATGTACTGTTTCTCTCTGGCTCAGGGGCCAGGAGGTAGAAGAAGAACATTCTGTTTGGGCTGTACTCACAGAGGCCAGTGGTGATGACTGACTCCTATTAATGATTAGTGGCTACACATCTGTGGGTTTTTTTATTTTGTTTTTTTAATTTTGTTTTCAATTGATACATAATAGTTGTACATATTTATGGGATACAGTGTGGTGTTTTGATACACGTGTACATTGTGTAAAAATCAAATCAGGGTAATTAGCATATCCATCACCTCAAACATTTATAATTTCTTTGTGGTGAGAATATTTAACAGTCCCCTCTTCTAGCTATTTTGAAACATGCAATACAAAATTGTTAACCATAGTCACCTTAATGTGGATAGAACACCAGGACTTATTCCTCCTGTCTAGCTGTGACTGTGCACCCACTGACTAATCTTTCCCTATTCCCCCTTCCTCCGACCATCTCCATACTCTGGTAACCATCATTCTACTCTCTATTTCTATGAGGTTAAATTCTTTAAATTCCACATGTAAATGAGATCCTATGGGGTATTTTTGTTTCTGTGCCTGGCTTATTGCACATAACAAAACATCCTCTGGGTTCATCCATGTTGTTGCAAATGACAGAATTTCATTCTTTTTTATGGCTGAATAGTATTCCATTATGTACATATGGACATACCTCGGATATACTGTCAGTTCATTCCAGACCATCACAATAAAGCAAGTCACACTTGCTTTATTGGTTTCTTGGTTTCTGAGTGCATATAAAAGTTATGTTTGCACTATACTGTGGTCTATTAAGTGTGCCATAACATTATGTCTAAACAAATGTACATATCTTAATTAAAAATACTTCATTACTAAAAAATGCTGACACGAAGACACAAAGTGAGCACATGCTATTGGAAAAAAATGGTGCTGATAGACTTGCTCTACACAGGGTTGACACAAACCTTTAATTTATAAAAATCACAGTATCTGCAAAGTACAATAAAGTGAAGTGAAATACAATGAGGTATGCCTGTATATCACATGGTTTTTCATCCATTCATTCATTGATAGACATTTAGGTTGATTCCTTCTCTTGGCTACTGTGGATAGTGCTGCAGTAAATGGGGGTACAGGCATCTCTTTGACATATAATTTCAAATCCTTTGAGTATATAGTCAGTAATAGGATGGCTGGGTCATATTTCAAATCTTTTGAGTATATTATATAGTCAGTAATGGGATGGCTGGGTCATATGGTAATTCTATTTTTAATCTTTTGAGGATCCTACATACTGTTTACCATAATGGCTGTACTAATTTACATTCCTAGCAACAGTATATAAGCGTTCCCCTTTCTCCACATCCACACCAGCATTTGTTATTTTTTGTCTTTTTGATGATAGTCATTCTAACTACAGTGAGATGACATTTTATTGTGGTTTTGACTTGTATTTCCCTAGTATTTAATGGTATTGAACATTTTTTCATGTACTTGTTAGCCATCTGTAAGTCTTCTTTTAAGAGCTATCTATCCAGACATTGCGCCCTTTTTTTTTTTTTTTTTTTTTGAGACGGAGTCTTGCTCTGTTGCCTAGGCTGGAGTGCAGTGGCATGATCTCGGCTCACTGCAAGCTCCACCTCCTGGGTTCATGCCATTCTCCTGCCTCAGCCTCCCGAGTAGCTGGGACCACAGGCGCCCACCACCATGCCCAGCTAATTTTTTCTATTTTGTAGTAGAGACGGAGTTTCACTGTGTTAACCAGGATGGTCTCAATCTCCTCACCTCGTGATCCACCCGCCTCAGCCTCCCAAAGTGCTGGGATTACAGGTGCGAGCCACCATGCCTGGCCTGTGCCCATTTTTAAATTACATTGTTTTTCTGCTATTGAGTTGAGTTCTTTATATATTCTGAATATTAGCTTCTTGTTAGAGCATAGTTTGCAAATATTTTCTCCTATTTTGTAGGTTGTATTTTCACCTTCAGTAGTTGATTGTTTTATTTGCTGTGCAAAAGATTTTTAGTTTGATGTAATCCCATTTGTCAATGTTCACCTTTATGACTGTACTTTTGGGGTCTTATGCAAAAAATCTTTGCCTATACCAGTATCATGATGTGTTTCCTCTGTGTTTTCTTCTAATTGTTTTATCATTCCAGGCCCTATATTTAACTCTTTAATTTTGAGTTGATGTTTGTGTATTGTGAGAAAAAAGGGGTCTACCTTCATTATTCTGCATATGAATATCAAATTTTTCTAGCACTATTTATTAAAGACAATATTCTTTCTCTATTGTGTGTTTTTGGCATCTTTGTCAAAAATCAGTTGGCTGTAAGTGTGTGGATTTATTTCTGGGTTCTCTATTCTGTTGCATTGATCTATGTGTCTATTTTTATGCCAATTCCATGATGTTTTGATTACTATAGCTTTGTAGTATATTTTGAAGTCAGGTACTGACTTCATATTGCTGTGAAAAATGTCATTGGTATTGTGATAGGGATTGCATTGAATCTGTAGATTGCTTTGGGTAGTATGAACATTTTAACAATATTAATACTTTTAATCAATGAGTGTGGGCTATCGTTCCATTAAGTTGTGTCTTTTCAATTTCTTTTGCCAGTGTTTTATAGTTTTAGTGTAGAAATCTTTCATCTCCTTAGTTAAACTTACATCTATGTATTTTTTGTAACTATTGCAAATAGGATTGTTTTCTTGTTTCCTCCTTTAGATAGTTCGCTATTAAGGTATAAAATGCTACTGCTTTTTCTATGTCGATTTTGTATCCTGCAACTTTACTGAATTTGTGTATCAGTTTTGAATTTTTAGTGGAGTCTTTAGTGTTTATATATATATATATATATATATATATATATATATATATATATATTAGTGTTTTCTATATAGATATACAATATTATGTCATCTGCCAACGGGGACAATTTAACTTCTTTCTTTCCAATTTGGATGTCCTTTATTTCTCTTACCAAATTGCTCTGGCAAGGACTTCCAGTACTATCTTGAATAAGAGTAGTGAGGGTTGGCATCCTTGTCTTGTTTCAGATTTTAGAGAAAAAGATTTCAACATTTTTCCATTCAGTGTGATATTAGCTGTGGGTTTGTCATATATGACCTTAATTGTGTTGAGATACATTCCTTCTATGTCTAATTTGTTCAGCGTTTTATTGACACTTCATAACTATATATATTTATGGGGTACAGTGTGATATTTCAATACATCTATACATTGTGTAATCATCAAATGAGAATAATTAACACATCCATCATCTCATACATTTATCATTTCTTTGTGGTAAGAACATTCAGAATCCTCTTTTCCAGATATTTTGAAATATGCAATAAATTATTGTTAACTGTATTCACCCTGCTGTGCAACAGAACACCATAGCTACATGTGCATGGTTCTGACAACACTTAGGCTGCAGAATACTCTGTCACTGTGGCTGGGATGAGAACTTTCCTTCTGCTCCCTGTAACCTACATATTGATTTGATCTTGAAGTCAATGTTCTTTTTTTAAATTGTTTTAATTATTTAAATTGCTTTACATATTTGGTTACAGAACTAAGGCAACTCTGTCACTGTAAACTGAAACCAGGGACATATTGGACAATTGCACATCCGCAATAATGAAAAGTAAATGAGTCAGAAACCATATTATATGAGAGGCCAGTGGAGATGGCATCAGAGTAAAAGCTAAGGGCACAGGGTAAAATTCCAGAAACACCCTGGACACATTTGGAAGTTGATGCTAGTATAATATTCCAGACAAAATCATTGCAAATTTCATTTACTGATGCAGGCAGCATCAGTGCTATCCTCGTGTGCTCTTTTCAAATTCACTTTTCTGAGTTGTTTTAATTCACATTCTTAAATACTGAAATTAACTTAAAGCAGGCTGTACTACTTTGTTATACTGTATGGCAGTAAAAATGCACAGTCACTTTCTTTAATATTCCATTGATTTCAAATATACTAGGCAGTAACTGGGACCATTAGATCCATCTCCCCCTAGTTTTACCTTAAAAAGTTGGGGCTGGAGAAATAAAAGTAACTTGCTTTACAAAGTTCCAAGTTTCTCTACTGGGGGAACATGGCTAAAACCACTGTCTCCTAAATTTCAGTTCCCTTTTTGTGACTGCATTTTGATGCTCCCAATTCATAGGCAGAGTTTCAAATTACATTCATTTTTAATTCTGTGAACGATTTATTTAATCCATTCAGATACCTGAACCAATGAAGCTGGTTTTTTTTATAAAAAAGTGTGCAGACCATATAAACTCATGCTTCCATTGTTTTTCTCTACTTGTTGGACTGTCAGTATCCTGTCCACAGTTGATGAGAAGACTCCTAGCATGAAAAAGGTTGGAAGCTTAGTAATTGCTGGCATAAAAGAGCTAACCAGAACAGAACTCACCTCTGCAGGGGAAAATTAGTAGCACACCTTATCAAGATTGAGGGGGCTGGTGAAATAAACACAACTTCCATTTAGGGACCAGGCTCCAGGAAAAGGGACTTAGGAGTAGAGTGCTAGACAGAGCAGTCATCACTTGGGGCACATGTTGAGGACTGTACAAGGAGACCAAAGCCAGATACGTGAATACGTAGCAGTGTGAATAGCACAGGAACCCCAGGTTCTAGGTAGAAGGGCAACAGTATATTCCCAGACCTCTCTCATTGCCAAGCAGGGCTCTCATTGGCTCAGGGACTTCCTAAACCTATCATGCTTCGCACAGAACTAAGCAGAAATAAGTAGGCTCCAACCCACAGGAATTCACTGTCCACCCCCCATCATGAGGATTCTGTCTACACACCAACCACATGCCTGCTTCTCTGGTATTCATGACGTGAAGAACTCCTTGAATCACAGGGCAAATTTCTGAACAAAGACAGCATTCTAATCAGTCAACAGTAAAAAAAAAATCAGGGTGTCAAGCTGCAGACATATTTGGAAGACTGGGTTGTTGGAGCTTCATGTCCGTTTGTAGTGAGCCAGCCTTCTGGAATTTGGGGCTAACGTGTAGAAAGCTGATTTATGCAGTGAGTTAGGCTCAAACTCACTGAGTTTATGACTCAGCAATGTCTATCTGACATTTATTACCACTCAAACAGACTGGTGGTCATAAATCCAGCTTCATGTTTAGTTAAATGGCTCCTATCATGAGACAAAAGAACAAAGGGGAGACATCCACAGCTGTGTTATTCATCCTGCACCTCACTAAAGAACAGGAATGTCAAAATAAATAGGCCGTGCTGTAGTCGATTTATATTTATATGCATATATGCATGTATGCTGCATACAAATACTATATAAGAACTTATGTTGAACTCTGCTCTTCCTGTGGGAAAATGTTGCAAAGCAGCATGTCTTTTCCTTCTGTGCTGGAGTAAAATTGATCTCAGGCCCTCCTCGCCATCTGCTCCCAGACACCAAGAGATGGTAGCTTACATAAAGAGGTAGGAGAAGGGCTTGTAACTGGCCCATCTCCTTACTTGAATATTCTTCAGCCACATGCAAGGGTGAGGTCCTCATACTGATTAAAAGCCTGACTGGCTGATGGCAGAGAGGCATGAGGCTTGAGGGGTAGGAGGGGATGCTGGCAGAGATACATGAGTGAAGATGAGGGGAAGGAGAAAACAGGTGCCTTTTGGGAACTCACACTGACAACTTCTGGAATACTTTGAGTTTTGCCTTTCTGGGGAGCTATTTGCTACAAGAGTTATACTAGAGCTGATCCTCTCCTTCATAAGTTTCTATTTCATGGCATATTTTTAACAACTAGAATGTTCAAAATAAGGGAGACGGATAACACGGTCTCAAAGATCTCTTCCAGCTCTCCATTTAATGGTTCTGTATTAGACTGCACAGTTATTAGCTAGTTTGATGGTGGAGAAGAGAAGAAGAAATGCATGTAGTAAGTTTGCTTCCTCTTTACGACTCAAGAAGAAATTCTATTATCCCCACTTTAGATATTAGGTAACTGAAGCTTGCCCGAGATCTCAAGGCCAATGAATGGCAGAATCATATTCTAAATATAGGTTTTCAAACTCCTGTACCATTTCCTCTATAAGAACATTCTTTGAAACTTTATATTCAATAATTAATTACTTAATATGTAAATATATGATAAACATAATATAATGATCCTTTTACTACTTGTTATAAACTGGATAACTAGAGTTTAGCACAGAAATGGGTTTTATTATTGGTTTTTCCCTTTTAGGGGTACCCATCTCAATTCTCAGAGAAAGTTGGCTAAAGAAGATAATTTCAAAAGAAAAAGGATATATTTGCCTCAAATCGCAGCAATAAGTCAGAGAGTATCAGTCATTTCCTACAAGTGGGGGCTGTATTCCTTCTTGCACTGCACATCTACAGAGAAGAGACCCTAAAGTAACGAAGATGTGTTACTAAGTATAAATGGAGAAAGACTGAGTCAATTCCACATAAAGAAAGCTTCGCCATGCATAAGGAAGATGGGCAGTTTTTGAACTCACGAGTGACTAGAAAAATAAAAGCTCAAGCACTTAGTTCATTTACAATTCAACACTATCAAAGAAATAAATGGTTGATACAAATCCCCAGGGGGAACATCATTTTATTACACACCCCCATAGGTGGCTTTTAAAGGGTACTTGATTAGGTTTCATCACAATTAAACTCTCTACACCTAAAGGACACCAAAACATGGTAGCTTATATAAAGATGTAGGAGATGGGCTTGTAATTGGCCTTCAATTAAGTGGTAAAGAAGGGGATAATGAAGAAAGAAGCTTATAGACATATAACTAGTTGAACGTGGAAACCTGTTGGCTTTCAAAAAAATACATCTCCAAAATGGCAAATATCTTCCATATACCGATTGTATTGTCCTGTTACCAGTCACCTTTTTAATAGCAATGTGCTCTGGTTAAACCAAAGAGTGGTGGAAAAAAGGACTAAACACCCCAACGTTCTGAAAATGGGGTCCTTAGAGCCAATCAATATGAAAGCCACCAAGTGGATCTAACAAGTGACAAGAAGAATTGATTCACAAGAAGGATGACAAACTTAAACCATGTATGGATGGCCCTAAAGCCAACAGTGGATGCCCTCCGAATGGGGACAGCTGAGGGTAGGAGCTTTGGTTTCACGGCAGGGTGTGCTGACTCTGAGGCTCTGAGGATAGGGGCTGCTGTAGAATGCCTTCCTTGCATAGTGACTGTCCGTGATTCCATTATTCTCAAAATCAGCCAAAAATATTATAATTTTGAAAAATAGAGAAATATTCCGGCTTCTCTGCTTACACATATCTAGTATTAATGAGTTCCTTGGAACTAATATCAGGGAAACAAATCATATCCCCTGATTATGAGATTCTTAGAGACTATTTACAGTCAGAGTAGTGGATTAATGGGATATGAGGTTGACTCAACATGGTAATTCTTTGAATTATCAACAGTAAAATCATTAGCACTAATGTTATTCACCCTGATTAACACCCTATCCAACAATAAAGACAATTTCAAGAAATATGAGGATTTTAAAAAATTGATCTCAAAGTAGACCCCTTGGCCACTGACTTGGTAACCCCAAGGAAAACTCATATTGCTAATTTTGGATGGTCTTAGTGTCAGACACTTAATTGAGCAACAATTCAAGTGGAAAATGTGCTGAGAATTCTCAAAAGAGAGCTGTGAGTAAGGATACAAAAGGGAATCCATTATTGTGTGTACCTTTTCTCATTTTTCTTTAATTAAAAAAATAAAATGTACCAGTCAGATGTGCTACATCACACATTACCTCAACTCTCTGAAGTTGGAGCATCCCTACCTCTCACTGAACCTACTGACCCCCTGAAGGATGAGGGAACTTTAGCCTGGATTTCAAACAACCACCGTTAACTCAAGTTTGACACTGTACAGTAGTTTCACGGTATCCCAGAAACAATGTAAGCCGCTATGGGTGGCTGGTGGTGGGAGACAGGTAAAATTGGATTTTTTTCCCTTTGCTCATATAATCTGAAGACTATAGAATGTAGTTTTTAAAGGTCAGAACGAATTGCTAATTAAGTGGAGGCATTTGAAATTAGCAAATAAAATTGCTACTCAGAATAGTGACTAAGGAGTAATTAATCATAAGGGGAAAATGGAAGCGCAGTTCAGCCAGCAGTAAAATCATCTTTTAACTAGTTACCATAGAGCCTTCAGATGGTGTTACTAAGAAACTGTTAGATATTAATTTCATTCTTTTCTCTTTAGGCTATATCATTTAAAAAAATAGTACTCAACATTTTTCTATGAAGACACAAATCAAGTTGGTCTGCACAGTCTCTCTTGCAGGTATTTAGAAATATGTGGACTAGCTATGATTTCCCTTTACCTTTCACTCAACATTGGAATGAAGTAAGGATTACATTATCATAGTCTTCACTTTAAATCCAGTCTACTTTTTATATAACTCATTGATGAATCTTGGCATTTTAATTATTAGAACACAGAATTACTTAATATACTCCTCAAACCAATGCTGAGACTCCCTCCTTTCCTTCTTTTAAAATACTTTTTTAGTTTGTTTGTTTGTTTGTTTGTTTTGAGACAGAGTCTTGCTCTGTCACACAGGCTGAAGTACAATGGCGCAACCTCGGTTCACTGCAACCTCGGTTCACTGCAACCTCCGCATCCTGGATTCAAGCGATTCTCCTGCCTCTGCCTCTGGAGCAGCTGGGATTAAAGGCATGCACCACTACAGCCAGTTAGTTTTTGTATTTTTAGTGGAGATGGGGTTTCACCATGTTGATCATGCTAGTCTTGAACTCCTGACCTAAAGAGATCTGCCAGCCTCAGCCTCCCAAAGTACGGGGATTACAGGCGTGAGCCACTGCGCCCAGTCAAAAATGCCTTCTAAAAACATTTTGGTTTGGTTTCCAGGTGCTTTTTGTTTCCCTAGGTGCTATATCTGCCAGTCTTGGGTTAGATGCTCTCAACCCATGCTAGGATTCCATTTCACATCAAAATTTTTATATCTTAAATTTAAAGCCAAATTTACAAACATGAATATTACAATCAAATATTCAGACAGTTGATTTGACATGCACATCTTAAACTAGAAAACAAATTAAGGCAGGATTTATACAGAGATCCATATTTTTAAGCACTTGATATTTATTAATTAGCGAATCCACACCAGAATCCTATGAGGTAGCCTAGCTTGTCTTTATTATAAATAAATTAGGTAGAAGCCAGAAAAAAAAAAAAAAGGCTATCTCCACAATAATATGTTGATTGGACCCTCCTTATTCTGGTCACAAAAGAAAAACAGTTCCTCATATAAGTGGGTCAAGTGAACAATGAATATTTTGTTTGGATGGAATATAGAGAGAGTATAGTTATTTTATTACCTGGCAGTTTAAAAAGGTAATTTTCTTAGTGGGGCTTTAATATTCTGTGTTCACACTGACTTGTCAGAAATTTCCGACTCAAAATATCAGCTTTGGAAGAGTTAGAATGCCCCCACACTCCACCCCCAGCCCCAACCAGAAGGCTCAAATTTTCCTATGGGAGTTTTAGTATTTTTCATGTATCTTAAATTTTTCATCCTTTGGTCTGGTTGACCTAATAAACTCATGTCAATAAAAAAGTGTAAAGACTCTTTCAGTTCCAATTTATGCTTATATATGTCGTCTAACAGGCAAGTGAAACACAAATCCTATTTGTCTTTGTAGTCAAGCAATTGCGGATGAGAGTTTTATTACTACCTTTATCAGCCAAAGGAATCACTGTAGTCCCCTTTACTTAGCAGATTACTTTATGACTATATTTATTAGTTCACTGGGCTTGGAGACTAAATTTAATGAAGACTCATTAATTTGGGTTTCACTACCGTGGCGTTTGTGGCCTCTGGCACAGGTGCTAGCCTGAAGCTTACCTCTGTACTGACGGAGAAAAACTTTTTGCAAAGTAAATTAACTGCATGACCAAGACTATAGGAGTGTTTTATCTTCTTAAGAAGACAATTTCAACCACGTAACCACTAACCTTTTAAATACAAATAATTTTACTCTGATATAGTATAAGGAGTCCATTAAGCTTGTGTGTTATGTTAATTTTGAATAATTTTTCCCTCACTGCAGCAAAACTTTAAATGGGCAGTATTTGGTTAGTTTAGTTAACATTATTATAAAAACTCTGGAACAGTAAAAATACTTTAAATATTGATAATTTGAATAGCTTCACTCTTTCAAATATATGGGTTCTTTCCTAGGTCCTTTTAATTAACATTTTACAGAAAATCACTTGACTCATGTTCTCAGCTGGCCCGGAGTCTCTGCTGGGACCACGTGTCAGCAGCTCCGGGTGGACTGGACGTAAGACAGGGACACACCTGGGTCTGTGTGGGTCTCTTTCCTCTCCTTCAGAATTGATTTGGTTATTTGAAAACATTTACCTTCCATCCCACTCCCATCCACTCATAAAAAAATGGGAAGGTAAGATATGACTTAGCTGAACAAACACAACCACAGCAAACCAAACAGAAAAGACAACCACAAACAGCTAGCTTCCCAAGTAGGAATCTTTCCATTCCAGAATTCCCAAAATATAAACAACATTAGCAGCCCCTTCCTGCCTAAAACTAAATATGTCATCTCCAGGGTACACTAGAATGATAATTTCCACTATCTGCATGGGCAAAAATAAAGAAATTTGAAAACAAACAAACACACAAAACCTCTGGCAGGGTATTCACTTGCATTTGACAGGTTGCCAAGGAGCAATGGTATTTAGATGAGGAATTCTGAAATAATCTGATTATTATGGCCGGAAGATTATCTATAAAGGGTTTGGCATAGCCTCTCTGTAAAGTAAAAGAAATCTATGTTCATAGACTTTTCTATATTAGGTTATTTTAAATACACACACACACACACACACACACACACACACAGCACTTTAGGGCATAAGCTCACTCACTAAACCCAAACTGAAACAGTGTTTTGTTGTTGCTGCTGTTTTTACTCGGACAATGCTTATTTTACAGCGGAATTGACAAATAAAGCCTTATTTTACACATCCGAAGAAACACCATCACAGGAGGTTTGTAGGTCGGCTGTGTGCTTTCCAAAACAGCAAAATAGATTCTTCCCATCCAACCCCCTTTCCTCTTGTAGAGTAGGGTGTGGCTCGTGGGGCTTCGTCTCTCTGCAGGCACAGAAACTGGCAGACCTGGTCCCTCCTGAGCGGGCCCTGCTCAAGGGAATGGTGCCAGATTTTGAACACAGGTAAACAGGCTCCTTCATAACAACACTGTGCATTTCTGTGTCATTTTGTTTATTGCTCACTGAGTTGTTGCCACCTCAGCTCTTGGTGGAAAACAGTGGGTGTCCAGAAATTGCTGACACAAGAAGATGGATTGCCTATGGTCGTTAGGGACACAGGGCAGCCCCAGCCAGATCCCAGCTGGTCCATGCAGGGCATCGTCAGTAGAAGCTCAACGTCCCACTTCGTAACCAGGCTACAAGACACCAAGTCCGGTCACCATGGAAAAGAATTAAACCTAGAGAAAGAGCCTCATGATCTGCACTCAGACGCTCCCCATCAGAAAGGAACTGTTTTCTTTATCGGTCATGCTCTTTCCAGAGTGACTGAGTCTTGGCTCAGCAGTAGGACTTCAGTGAGAAACAGAAGAAATAGGGGACCCCGCCTAGCCCAAGGCCGCCATTTCTTCAGAATTTTCTCACTTCTTTCCAAACGATCAGTATCCCCCAATTAAAGCCCACAGTTCAGGCCAAACATCATAAAAAAAAATACTTGTTTATTTCCATCTCATTCTGGGGTTTATAATTCTTCTTTTGGATGCTTTTGGGGAAAAAAATTCACCAAGGTCAAGGGCTGTGAAGACGTTTTTGCCTAAGAAGATCATCATGCAGGCAGACTAATTCTTTTCCTAAGCTATTATTTGGCAACTTGCAAGGAGGACTTGGCTTAACCTTGAGAAACTGTTCTTTGAATGATCAGGAAAAAAGATGAGAATTCTTCCTTTATTTACTCCCTTCGTCTTCATTGTTCAGATGGTAAACCTGGCTCCTGTGCTTGGAGAACGGAGAAAACGACTGGTATTTATTTGTCCATTTGGTATTTTCCACTAATAGTGATCTGTTCCAGTTCTGTGCATGTCACCCTCAACTGTGTCCAACATGATGAGAAAAGAATGTATATTTCTGGATAGAGGTGGTTTACATCACACTCATTGAGGATTTAACAGAATAATTATGCTCTGAGGAAATCTAGAATAAATTGGAAATTTAAATTTTTCCACTTTCAGTTTGAATAATGCTCCAACTGTTTGCTATAGGATTATAATTTAGAACATGTGCTAAATATGTTATCAGGAAAGAATTTAAAAATCCATCCAAATATCATAACTTACCCCAAAATTAAAAAAAGGAAAAAGAAAAAAGAAACCTCATTCATTTCCAAAAATCAAGATCAGTCGTATGTGAATCTGTGAATCCTTATAAGAAATGTTTATTGTTCAAGAAAGAAGCCTCCTCTGGTGGTTGATAAGCAATTCTCCACGGCAGAGAAATGCTAATGTTTTGTTCTTATGTCTTGATTGATGCTTTCACTACTTATTCTTCAGGCTATAAGACAGAAGGAAACACAGTGTTACCTTCTTTCATAATTACAAATTCCAACACCTCTTTCTCCCCCCCACCCCCTGTCTCTCTTCTACTTCTCATATTACCTTAACCATCAAATTCAAATGCATCTGAATTTGTAAAGTTAATCTTTCAGGTTCTAAATAACCTGTATATATAAAATATCTCCATTACTAATGCCATCTCCACATACGTACAAGAAAATGTATAGCTCTACATTGTCAATCCAGACACTAAATTCATTCCAAATGTTTTTAAATAAAAATAATGAATTGATTTTTATTTATGGCATGCTGCATACACCCATCTTTAAGTTTCAGGTATAACTACATGCAGAACCCTCTTGTTGAAAGTGGAGAGCAACATTACAGTGGCTAAATTTCAAATTAATATAAGCCTCGTTGTCCACTCATTCAGAATTTTCTCTGTTAGAAGAATAGAAAAAAAAAATTGTTTCTGGGCCAGGTGCAGTGGCTCATGCCTGTAATCCCAACACTTTGGGAGGTAGAGGTGGGCAGATCACGAGGTCAGGATATCAAGACTATCCTGGCCAACATGGTGAAACCCCGTCTCTACTAAAAATACAAAAATTAGCTGGGCATGGTAGCATGCCTGTAGTCCCAGCTACTCAGGAGGCTGAAGCAGGAGAATCGCTTGAACCTGATGCAGTGAGCCGAGATCGTGCCACTGCACTCCAGCCTGGCAACAGAGGGAGACTCCATGTCAAAAAAAAAAAAAAAATTCTTTCTGGCCTTACTTGCAAAAAGTATTGATTTAATCAAATTGAGAGCCAATTTTTGAAGGATTTTTAGTTTTGTTTTTTTCTTTATGACAACAAGATACTACCTCTTACAACATGCCTACTACGAGTCATGAATTTTACATTTACTTTACATTTTAATTTAATCCACAGACCACTTTTACTATGTGTGCCATTTCCACCCCTTTTAAAGGTGAGAACACTGAGGTTTCACTTGGCTAAATTAATGGCACAAGATCAAACAGCTGTTAAGCAGTGGAACTTGAACCCTGGAAAAACTCATAAGCAGGAGGTGAGAGAGCTTGTTGACATCTTCTGCCGGGGATTTCTCGCATGCTGCTGAAGAAGTGCTCCAGCTGAAAGGAAGCTGCTGGAAAAGCATCTTCTAGTGGTGGCTGTTTCCCTTAAAGAATATTTTAGAGGGAAGGGTGGCAAAAGTGTTAGAGCAGGTTAGACTCTTTTCACAGGTTTTCCCATCTTCCTTCGCTAAGGTCCAAATGTCTCACTGGCAGTCTGGTAAATGAAAATTCAAAAGCTACAAAAGAAAATTCTATCACTCACCTAGAAACACAGAGCATATGTTGAAATTTCATTTTCCAAAAACAGTGCTGTCATAGAATATTCTTAGGATCTGAATAAGAATTTGAACATTGTTGGTATAATGTAGACTAAAAAAATTGAGACTATATGCATATTTTTAAAAATAGCTTTGAAATGTTTGAAATTTTGCCTTAGCATGACCCTGGTAGCTATAGCCACTTTTTAGTAGTTGTTATAAAAATTAAAATCCTGTTTTAGAATCTCATACTCTGCTACCATCCGGTCATGACCTAAAGAAATTCAACAGTCCTTGTCATCTTCAAAAATTAATGTGACATAAGGGTTGAAAGTTCTCACTGAGCAAATAAGTATAATTTCATTTTTATAAACTGCAAAGATGAACACTTTTGAGATTAAAAAGAGTTTGAAGGACAGCATCTTCACGTAACAGTAAGAAGACCAAATATTCACAGCTAAACAGTCTTTAGTCATGATTACATAGTTAGAGAAAATCAGATGAAAGGGTTTTTTTTTTAAACTTATAGTAAAAGTGGTATATTAAGAACTTAATCCCATAATGAGGAAAAATATCACATTCTTCCTTTTTATAGTCATTGTAATTATTCAGATCCTTTCTGAATACATAGAAATAATGACAAATTAAAATGTCTTTCAGTTCCCTATAGCTTTTGTAATTATTCATCCATTACTGTTATTTTTGCTGGAAAGGCTACTTCATATTTTAGTCAGCATCCCATTTGATACAAAAGAACACGGAAAATTTCACTGCTATTAATAAACACGCAGCCATCCAATCCAAGAAGAAAATTCTTTTTCATCTGAGAGATAAGCTGCATAATTCATGTATTTTCAGAAATTTCTTTAAATAGAAAATTGAAGAAAGGCATAGGGAAAAAAATTCATCACATAGCTTCCATTTGTGGCGAAGGGCAGTCTTTGTTCTCTGACAGCCTTAAATATGATTCCATCTGAAGAGAGAATTTCAATTGCGCCATATACATACCAGTCATAGTCAGATAGCTCATCTTCTTTTTGACATATATGAAACCACAAACATGATGAAAACATGGCCTCAGTTTCACATTTGCACATTTGCTACCTTTTTTTTTTTTTTTTTTTTTTTGAGACTGAGTCACGCTTTGTCGCCCAGGCTGGAGTGCAGTGGCACAATCTCAGCTCACTGCAACCTCTGCCTCCCAGGTTCAAGCAATTCTCCTGCTTCAGCCTCCCAAGTAGCTGGGATTACAGCCACGTGCTACCACACCTGGCTAATTTTTGTATTTTTAGTAGATACAGGGTTTTGCCATGTTGGCCATGCTGGTCTCAAACTCCTGACCTCAGGTGATCCACCCAACTCAGCCTCCCAAAGCGCTGGGATTACAGGTGTGAGCCACTGCGTCCGGCCCACATTTGCTACCTTTCTAAAACTAATGTAACTGAGTGTTAATAGGGACTTTTCATGGGGTCTCAGGAAGCAGTTAGAAAAATGTTGGGCAATTTGGAATGGGTACCTCTGCCTTCCCAAAAGAGAAGTGTCCCTGTCAGGGAATGTGGCGCGACATAGAACTTCTGTGATGTTCAGCCCCTATTGAAGTCTGGGCCACACGGGGCATGTGGCAGCCTTCTAGCACAAGCCAGATGAGAATCACATCTGTAGGAACAGCCATGTCCAAAAGCTTCCGCTTCTTCCACCACTAGTCTTTCCCCTTATTCTCATCCTGAAGGTCCAGGATAGGGGGATTCTCTGACCTGGTTTTGAGACAGAAATCTTAAGATAGACTAGTAACAACCATTGAAAATGGTCTCACCTTGGCCAGGTGTGGTGGCTCACGCCTGTAATCCCAGCACTTTGGGAGGCTGAGGCAGGCGGATCATGAGGTCAAGAGATCGAGACCATCCTGGCCAACATGGTGAAACCCTGTCTCTACTAAAAATACAAAAATTAGCTGGGCATGGTGGCATGCTCCTGTAGTCCTAGCTATTTGGGAGGCTGAGGCAGGAGAATTGCTTGAACCCAGGAGGCAGAAGTTGCAGTGAGCTGAGATTTTGCCACTGCACTCCAGCCTGGCGACTGAGCAAGACTCTGTCTCAAAAAAAAAAAAAAATGACCAGATATGTACACAATCTTCCTGAGATATTAACAATATGGAGGAAGAAAGAAGAAAGCACTTTGACCATGTGAGTTTGAAGGTGGTAGCTAGAGAAATATATAATGATTAATTGGTCCCACACTGAATGTAAACTGTTCAATAAGCCAGTGAAAAAACAGAGCAGAACATCCTTAGCCATGATGAAGCCTAATTTCTGATAGCCAGGTAGCAAGCTTATAGTGACAAGGAAAAGGCAGTCATGGGCCATGGTTTACATGAAATGATACGGCCAGAGTTTGTTAGGAGAGGAGGAGTCATGTCTAAGGCATTTTTCACAAAAATGTTGCTGAACAGTCATGACTTGGAACTTGTTCAGCCTATTGCCTGAGAACTGAATGACATCCAAGGACATAACACTTTGGGCCCATAAATTAAAATAGTGCATTGATAAACCAAATGAAGTTATATTTCCAAAATTGAACATTTCCTAATTTCTATTCTTGTATTTCCTAACTTGGCCAATAAATATTCAAGACAAAAGTGCAGCGTTTTCCCTGGCCAGTTCCTTTTTCTCCATCAGCCCATAATCAATCAATCCCAAATCTTATTGGTCTCCTACTTCTCTCTTAAATGTCCCATTTCCTCTGCATCCCCTGCCCCATGTCCTACTCCTGGTCTGTGGCATTGCACTAGTTTTCTATCTGGGATGTTTGCAGTCAGCTCTGCAGCCTCATCACACTGGTGTTGCAATGCCTCACTGGGTTCCCAGCACCTTCTGAGAAAATAAAAATGTCTTAATATGACACATAAAGGTCACTGTAATGTCACTGGCATCTTCTTCTCCATTCCTGTCTTTTACTCATTATTCCTTGCGATTACTCCACCTATCTGGATCACAGAAAATCAGGTGAGGCTCCTCTACGTGCTGGCTCTCACATGTTGCCATGGTTGGTGCAGGCAGTTCCTTCTGCTTGGAAACTCATCCCCCACCTCTCTGCTTGCCCAGCCTCTCCTATCCCCCTTGGTGGAAACCTGCTTCTTCCAGATCGTGTTTCCTGAATTTACCCTGACACAACAAAATGTATTTGGAATATTTTGAGCAACCACCTGGGAGTGGAGAACAAAACTTTAAGAAAATGCCCAAGCTACAGAAGGAAACTGCTGTGCTTAAGACAAGGGGCACAAGGTGTCTTGCTTCTGAAAAGGGTGAATGTCAGCGGGATGAGGGGGTTTGGAGAAAAAAAAAAAGAGAAGAGAAAGAGAATATGAGAGAAGGGGAAGAGGCCTAGAGAGAATAGAATCAGGAAGATGGCTTTGTTCTCTGCATGTTGATAGCTCTGTATGACAACCAAATCTTCAATACAGTCATCTAGACAAATAAAATACTTCCAAAGTGGTAATTTGTATTGGAAGCCTATGTAGTCTGATTGATATGGGGAGTGGGAAAAAGAAGCACTCAAATGTACAGGGGAGAAAGATGAAGAGAGATCATTAAGATGTTGGGAATCAAAAGTGGAGGCAGGACTTTGGACCCTAACAGGTTATAGACTTTTTTGGGTAGTCCTAAGCCCATTCAGGACGACTGAAAGTAGAATGGGGTTCAGTTGACACCTCTGAGATCTGATGAACATAACAATTTATCCAAAACCTTCTTGAAAAAAACAAATCACAAATGTTTTAACCCATGGAATAAAGAAATAATTTAAGAAAACTCAGGCTAATTCAGAGAAAAGTCAGGTATTGGGAACATTCAAGAAATTGGGAACATTCGAAAGTATAGCACTTTTAAAATGAATTCAACTCTTCTGCTTCCTAATACATATACACTAGCAAAATTGATAAGAACGATTTGTAATTGACTTACCAAAACACCTAAGAAAACAAGCCTCCTCTGCTTATATAGAATTTGCATTGTTTATATGCAAATGACCACTCCTGATGTGCTTCAGAACAGTTTATTCCCTTAAGAAGGCAAATATTCTCTTTATAATCTTGTTTACACTATTCATTTGCTTTGCAAAACGTTTTTCATAAAATCACAAATTAATGAAATGTTAGAGCCAGAAGGGATCCCAGAGATTATCTAGGGAGGTCGAACATCATCATTTTACAGATGAGGAAACTTGCTAGAACTCCTAATACACACACATCCTCCTCATTCCTGAGATCCACAACATCACAACCTGACCTCCATTATTTGGGTGACTCCATTCCCTTCTACTTTGGGGGTTCTGGCTACAGCTGAGGCAGAGCAAGGGGTCTGCAAAGTGCTAGGCTTTGGGCATCATCAGGACCCTGTAACCAAAAAATAAAATTCTAAGAAACCCTCCCCATAACCATTAGAATGGACTTCCTGCTCAGCCAGGGCTCTTTTAAAATTTAACCTAAGAAACTGTTTCAGGCCATGATGGGAAATAGGAGTCGGACTTGCCTCATTATACCTCTCCAGCATGAACATCAATACAGACTTTAAGTCTGATAAGAAACACTTTGCAACCTATTTTCTCGGGAGCCTACTATCTGAAGGCTTCCTCTGCAAATAAAAACTTGTGCCTCTGCAACCCTTTGTTTTAACCCAGACATTCCTTTCTGTTAATCCCAGGTCTTTAGACAAACTCAACCAATTGTCAACCAAAAAATGTTTACATTTACCTATAGCCTGGAAGCCTCCGAACCCCGCTTCTAGTTGTCCCACCTTTCTGGACTAAACCAATGTACTTTTTAAATGTATTTGATTGATGTCTCTTGCCTCCCTAAAATGTGTATAAAACCAAGCTACACCCCGACCACCTTAAGCACATGTTCTCAGGACCTCCTGAAGGCTGCATCGCGGGCCATAGTAACTCATATTTGGCTAAGAATACATCTATTTAAATATTTTACAGAGTTTAACTCTTTTTGTCGACGACAACATATTAGCCTCCTCATCTGAAGTGAGAGAGTTCAGTACCCCTCTTCTATTCACTTACAGAACTCGAAATCTGGTTAATCCTTGTTTGTTTCCAACCCCTAGCTCCTGCATTCTCTCCCCTAATCTTTCCTGACTCCCCTTTTCCTCTCGCCCCTTTCTAATTAGAACTTTCTTTTATTGTTTCCTTTATTGCATTTTTCTTTCTCTTTTTTTTTGTTTTTTGAGACAGAGTCTTCCTTTGTCATCCAGGCTGGAGTGGTGCAGTGGCACCATCTCAGCTCACTGCAACCTCTGCCTCCTGGGTTCGAGCGATTCTCCTGCCTCAGCTTCCCAAGTAGCTGGGATTACAGGCACCCGCCACCACACCTGGCTAATTTTTGTAGTTTTAGTACAGACGGGGGTTCACCATGTTAGCCAGGCTGGTCTTGATCTCCTGACCTCGTGATCCACCCGCCTTGGCCTCCCAAAGTGCTGGGATTACAGGGATGAGCCACCACAACCGGCCTTTTATTGCATTTTTCTAAGTGCTTTTCTTTATTGTTTCAGTAGCCATGTCACATTGCAATATTTTATGTACTGTCTGTGTCCTCTTCAAGGAAGCCTGGGGACTGTGTCTCTCTATTTGTGTATTTTCAATGCTTGCTACACATTAAAGGCCTGACACACATTAAAACATAATCTTTTGTAAATAAACACATGAGGAAAATCAGAAAAGGAATCACTTGGCACATTGGGAAGAAGCCTCACTCCCAGATCCTCACATTTCTCCTTGACTGTCCTATCCTGGGCAAGTCCATTCCCATCCTGCATTTTCAGATAAGAAAAACAATTAGGTGTTGAAAGCATCTATATCTCTATTCTTATCTCCTCCTACTATTCTTGTAATGTATTCAAAGGGCTTGTGATTGAAAGTTAGGTTTTAAGCTTGATTTTAAACTTCCATACCAATTGTTACTAGTTGGATGTTCATGTACATGGTTATTAATTTCATTTAGCCTCAGTTTATTCATCTATAAAACAAAGACATCGATAATATCTTCCTCCTAGGAATGTCATGAAGATTAAATGATATAATGTAGATGAATGTGACCAGTAACCACTAAACATTTAGAAATGCTTGTTTCCTTACTCTTAGTTACTTGAAAGAAAAATTTCTGATGTAGCTCTTGTACAATAGAGTTTGTCAGGTCTTTTTTCCAAGTTCTTGAGGTGGAGGTCTAAGCCCTTGGGATTTCCCAAATGATAGCAGTATCTTTGTAATTCATGGTGGAACTTGACAGCTTATGCTAATGAGGTGACTCATAGTGAGTCCCTAGATAGATTCAGGATGAAGTCTGGCCATGCTGGAAAGATAAACTGTGTGATCAGAGGGTTGAGGCCAAATAATAGTAGCCCAACCTTTAGGGAGGAGAGGCTGGACAATGAGTTCAGTCACATGACCAATACTTCAGTCATACCTAAGTAATGAAAGCATAATAAAACTCTGGACACCAAAGCTCAGTTGAGTGAACACATCAGCGTGATGAGGGAGTATTGTGTCTTGATAAGACAGCTGAGTGCAAAGAGGTTCCCAGGAAAACTCCAACCAGCCTGTGCACTGGGGTGGAGCCTCAGGAAGTTGGCACCCTTTGCAGTGGACAAGGAGCCTGGCCCCTCCTCTTCCTGTGTGGAACCTGGGATTCAAGCTGCGGGCAGGAAGTGCACCAGCAGGGACTCTGGCTTGTGAAGGGTCCCTCCTTCCCTTTTTTCCCTTTTCACCCAATAAAATCCTGTCTTACTCACCTTTTAAATTGTCTGCAAGCCTAAATTTTTGTGGCCATGTGACAAGGACCCCATCTTTAGCTGAACTAAAGAAAAGTCCCACAACCCTGATTTCACAAGAAGAGGACAAACAAGCTCCAAATTTGGGACCCTCCTAGACCTTCTTATATACATCTTGTCATTTGGTTGGTCCTGATTTGTAGCCTTCATAATAAAACTGTAATTGCAAGTCTAGCTCTCTCCCGAGTTCTGACATTCCTTCTAGGTATTAAACCTGAGGGAGTAATGGGAACCCCAAATTTGTAGCCAATTGGTCAGAAGTGCAGGCATCCTGGGACCCTCAGAGCTTGCAGCTGACATCTGAAGTGAGGGCGGTCTTGCTGAAGTCTGTGCCCTTAAGTTGTGAAGTCTGCACTAACTCTAGGTAGTTAGCGTCAGAATTGCATTGCAATATTGCAGTAGCAAACCTCTCTGATTCTGATTCTGTTTCTGTTTTTTAGTATACAGAGCTCAATCCCACTCCACGTTGGCAGGTACAGAGAGCATCCAAGATGCCAGGCCAGGAATTTCTCTGCAGGGGAGCATATGGCAGATGCAGTTCAATATGTGCCCAAGAGTGAGGTTTACTATCAAATGCCCAACTTCAAATTCCAGTTCTGGCACGTAGCAGCTCTGTAGCTCTTGCCTCAGTTTCCTGAACTATAAAATGGGTATAATATAATAACACACAGACCTCACAGGGCTGCTTTGAAGATTAAATGAATTAATATATGGAAGTATTACATACCTGGTACATATGGAGCAACAAATAAATGTGATCTATTATTTATTATTTATTATTATTTATTTGCTACATGAGCCTCGGTTTTAGGCTAAGTCAATTACTAAGTTATATAATTGGCAGAAACAGAGACAGGGGACTGAAGTCAGATATACCTTCTAGAAGCCAAGAGTAGCCCTGGTTTTACCTGTTCAAGGGCAAGCAAAGGATCATGGGACGTGGTGGGATGTGGCAAAAAGATGGTAGAAGTGGGGGAATGTTAATATTTGATTTCACAATTCTCCCCTCAACAAAGGGTATAATGGTCTAGTCTACACTGCCCACTTAGGTACCCAGTAGCCATGTGTGGCTATTTAAATATAAAATAATTAAAATTAAATACAATTTAAAATTCAGTTCCTCAGTCACACTAGCCACTTTCAAGTATTAGCAATCGAGTCTGGCCAGTGGCTACTGTGTTATAAAGTAGATACAAAACATGTCGCTCACCACGGAACATTCCACTGGACAGTTCTGGGCTAGTGTCACTGAAAGTGTCTGAAATCAGATATGTTTTGAAATGCAAATCAATCCACTGATTTTTCCCAAATAGAAAATAAAATGAAAAAAATAACAGGTGAATTTGAGAGAGAAACGAGCCACTGCTATGTTGTAATAATTTGTGTCTCTCTCTCAAACACTGCAGTGCCTCGAAGTGCAGGGAGCAGGGGAAGGGAAAATGTCGGACTCCCCTTTAGCTCATGAGCACGTCTCCTGGGGTACACATTCTGTGAAAATCTAGAGTCCCACAGTGCCAGCAATTACTACTATGTTCAGGTCAGCCACTGGCAGGAGTGGAAAGTTACTCTCCAAAGCTGGCCCTCGGGCAGAGTGGGACTGAAGGATGGAGAGGCAGAGCAGCAGGTGCAAGGGATGAGTTGGCAGAAGTATGTTTTGTTGGGGGGAGGAATGTGTGGTGGAGAGGCCGGAGGGGAGGGAAGGACTGGGAACAGAAGTGGTGAAGTTTGAAAAGAAGCACTGTATGTGGTAGGTTGCTGAGAAGGAGAATGGGAAGTAGTGTGGAATGGGATGCAGCCCTGCTTGCAGAAGGAACATGCCAGGCTGAGATGGAGAAAAAGAAGTTGGGAAGCTGATGGAGAAGACCAGGGAGGCTGTACTCATGTGTGGGCCACCGAGGGGTCAGGGAGGACCCTGGCTGGCCTATGAGCGGTAGAAAAAGCAGTAATATGATCATCCGATTTTTAATTTAATTTTGTTTTATTTATTTATTTATTTATTTATTTTTAGAGACAGGATCTCACTCTGTCACCCAGGCTGGAGTGCAGTGGTGTGATCATAGCTCACTGCAGTCTCAAACTCCTGGGCTCAAGTGATCCTCCCACCTCAGGCTCTGGAGTAGCTGGGACTACACGTACATGCCACCACTCCCAGCTAAGTGTTTTATTTTTTGTAGATACGGTGTGGCACTATGTTGCCCAGGCTGGTCTCCAACTCCTGGCCTCAACTGATCCACCCGCTTCTGCCTCTCAAAGTGCTGGAATTATACGCATGAACCAGTGTGCCTGACCTCATACAATTTTTATAACAAATTATTTGATAATAATTATACTATCGGGACAATGCTGAAACAACATTATGTAACAGAATAAGTGAACTGTGGAAAAGAATGAAATGATGATCAATCAACACAATGGATTTATCACTAAATGGCTGCATTGGAAATGTCACTTCATCTCCACAAGCCTCAATTTCTTCATCTATTCAATGAAGAATTGGACCAGGCCATTCCCTAAGTTCCTTTCACCTCCACCAGGCTGAATGCCTGTGGCCTGGCCAACGTCATTGCAGCAGAGATGGGCTCACGCCTCTAACGTCACTCAGCTCCAAGTTCAGCAGTTTCTGTCAGTCCTGTCTAAAATGAACACAAATTCCAAAATGACAAATCCACAGATAGAGTGAATTCTATGCTAACTTTTTTTTTTTCTCCTTCAGGCTCAGAGTTTACGTGCCATCCAGCACCCAGCTACAAACACAGCCAAACCTTTCAGCAGACGTCCATATCCATTACTGAAAGCTGTCAGCACATTCTGCAGACAGGGCCAAACTGTAACTTATAAACGTGCTGATAGGCCACGGAAGAGGATAGAGAAAGCCAGCACATGCTTGCGGAGGCTCTGGGAGACTGTGGTCTGGTGTGGCAACCCCCAGGGCATCCAGGTCTGGACGAATACAAAGCAAAGCCCATACTGCAAAGGCAGCGATGGGTGTAGCGTCTGCTGTAGTCAAACTCAATGTTGTAGAAACAGTTCAGCCACGTCTGGGAATTATCTTAGTCAAAATCCACCCTGATCCCCCACCCCAAATAACGATATCCTCCAAATTGTTCCAGCAGGACATCGAGGATATGGAATGGGACACAGTGCTGTGGAGTGTGGTCCTGCTGGTGCCACTCAGCACCGTCTAAATCATGGAACCTAGAGCAGATGACTTCACCTCTATGAGCCTCAGTTCCCTAATCTCTAAATTAAGAAGACACTGGCCGTATAGGCCTTTGGTGAGGAATAAATGAGTGAAAGGAAGCCCTTTATAAATGGTAAAGTAGTCGTAAAGCTATTCAGGTAGAAATCATTAGAATTATAACTTTATATCATCATATGACCTTACCACCCCTTAAAGACTATTTTATACATTTTAACTGAGATAAGGTAGAGGGAACAACATTAGCCAACCAAAGCATTATCGATGATTTGCTTATATGATGAATACTATCATCATGGACTTCCAAGTGTCCAGGGAATTGAATTTAATATATTGAAGCTACTGGAAACAAGACATGTCAAGCTGGGTGTTGGAAATTTCACCCTATGCAGTCAAAAACTGCAAAAAATGTTGAAGCCAGTGGTGGAGAGGGAAGGGCAGTCAGGGAAGGGGATGCCACAGGGAGGTGCACATGTGTGGGAGGGGCCAACTGAGTCTATTTTCAACCTCACAACTCTGCCCTGGCCAGCACTAATGAACTTAGTGATTGAGCTGGGATTTTCAAGCAAAGGGCTGAAGGTGCCATCTGGCTTTTTTGTGCTGCTTATAGTAAACTGTAAGAGTGATAAATTGAAGGAAGAATTGTTAAACATGAAGGAACCAAGACCTGATAATTTTGAAAAGTCTCAATCTCTCTGGACAGCAAAATATGCTAGAATTAAGAAATGGCTTTTGAGTACTTTCAGGAAAACATGGTATAGACATATAGCCACAGGTAAGACTACATAACTACTGGTTAAGACTTCAAAAAGATCAAAGGATCAGCGTGTTATTCTGTCTCACAAAGAGCCTTTTAAAGAGATGAAAGGTGTGTCTTACCGATTGTCTCAATGGAACAGTCGGACGACTAGGAAGCATCAAGACATGATCTCTCAGGCTTCTGAGCAGACCCCAAAGGTGGAGAAGGGCTTTTCTTGGAGAGAATTGTGGGTATAACTTTTTTTCTAGTACAGTAAACTCAAATAAGATTCACAGAAATCCCACAATATTTTTTAGTTAATGTCACCAGCAGAAACACTGTCGTTTTGTACCAAAAGTAGCAGAGACAGTGCAAAATGAAAAAAAAGGTTAGTAGACCCCAGGAATTCTAATGGGAAGTAGCAAGTCAAGTAAACTAATCAGTTACAAACAAGCTCTAGTTTTCATGAAAAAGGATGACTCAGAGGATGGACCAAGGTAGCAGCTTCTGAAATTGCCTTCAAAGGTCCCTGAATCCTGGGATCCATGTCCTGGTATAATCCCCTCTCCTTGAGTGTAGGCTGGGTCTGATGACCAGTTTCTAACAAATAGCATATGAATCGTATTATTATTTCCAAGATTAGGTTATAAAATACTGTGTTTTCCATCTTGTTCCTCTTTTGCCCTCTTGCTTGTTTACTGTGATCATTGTGAGTTGCTGTATGTTGTGAGCTTCTCATGCCTAGAGATGCCCCTGGCCTGGAGTTCAACAGGAACTGAGACCCTCATTCCAACAACCCACAAGGAACCAAATCTTTGTGGATTTTTTCAAGCAACTGCGCGAGTGAGGTTGAGAGCAGACTCCCCCCTAGTTGAGCCTTAAGATGATGATGGCCTTGATTGAAGCCTCAGGAGAAGCTCAGAACTAGAGACCAGAACCCAGTTACACTATGCTAGGCCATTCCTGAATTCTGGACCCATAGGAACTGTGAGATAATAAATGTTGTTGTTTGAAGCCACTAAGTTTTTGAGTGATTTGTTAAGCAACAATTGATAACTAATAGTCAGTGTTATGGTAGAATTATGCTCCCCCCAAAAATTATATGTTGAAGTCCTAACACTCAGTGTCTCAGAATGCAACCTTATTTGGAAATAATCATTGTAGATATAATTAGTTAAGATGAATGGTACTAGAGTAGGGTGACTCCTAACCCAATATGACTGGTGTCCTTATGAAAAGGACAAATTTGGGCATAGAAGAGCATGTACAAGAAGAAAGCCATGTGAAGACTGGAGTTCTGCTGCCACAAGCCAAAGGTCTACCAGAAGTCAGGAGAAAGGCCTCAACAGACCCTTCTCTTGCACCTTCAGAGGGAGCACAACCTTGCATATGCCTTGATCTTGAACTTCTAGCTTCCAGAATTGCGAGAGAATCCATTTCTGTTGTTTACGTCACTCATTTTTGGTACTTTGTTATGGCAGCCCTAGGAATTGAGACAGTCAATAAAAAGGAAGAAAGGTGTGATACCAAGCAGGAAAAAAGTAACCAAGGAACAATTTGCTCTAATCCTAGCAGTCCTCTGAAATGCTGACCCCCTCACCCTGAAGCCCAGTAAAAAAAAAAAAAAAAAGTCTATATGTTTATCCCTATTCAAACACCATCAGCATCAGGCTGTTCTGATCACAAAGGAAGTTACGGAGCCAGTGTAATGAGTGTCCCAGGTGGGCAGGTCTCTCCTTCACACAGCCCACAAAAGTAAGAGTAGCTGGAGGAAAACAACGCAAAGCAAACCACAAGGCACAGTAAAAAGAAAAGCAAATTTAAGAAAATCCACATGAATCTCATCTTCAATATGAATTTTCTTTTTAAAAAAGAGGAAGGAAAATTTGACTCCCTCCTGTGTAAATTAATTTACAGCACTAGCTGACCTATTTAAAGAAACCACAGGGTGAATCACTTGAACAAAAAAAAAAAAAAAAGAAAATCATCTTCAAATGCATCCCTTACATAACTCTAGGTTCTATGGAGACGTACCAGAGCTCAACTCTGAATGTGACTGAGTGGGATTCGAGGTGTTAGGATCCATCATTTCTCAAACTCTATGTTCACTTTCAATTAATAGACAAAAAGAAATTGATTATGGAAAATTTGGGGCTGAAAAACAGTCACTCTGATTAAAATTCATGCTGACTGCTCTCATCCAATGCAGGCAAGTCCTGGTGGGAAGAAAATCCTTTTTGTTGACTTTGTTAATACTCAAGAAGAAAGACAGAAGAAATGAATTACATTCCAATGGTCCTCACAGGAAAGTGCCAGTTCCTGAGGCAGCATAATTATCTGCTTCCAGCTGATGACCTTTCCTCCCTGGTGACAGACACAGAAAGGGAAGGGAGAAAGGCCCTCCAGAGCTCGGTGTGAGCTGCAAATGCCAGGAAATCACTCTGCTCCTAACCAGTTGCTGTAGAAATGTAGTTTATGTGTGGTACATAAAGCTGCGATGGATTGTGGCTCCTACTGCCTCTGCCAGTTCCTCTGAACATAGATTCAGACACATCCCACCACCAGCGCCTGATCTTAGTAGAGTAGATTTTTAGAAGAATTGAACATAAACACACACACTCACGCACACACACACAGCAAACTTTCATGGCAACAATATGGAAATGCAATCATGATAAAGAGTGACATTTCTTAAGGTGCATCATTTGCAATATTTTGATTAACTCCCATTTCGGAATGGCAAAGCAGCTTATGTTAATAAACATAGAACTCCAATTAGACATCTGTGCATGCAATCTAAATGGAACTCTTAGCGGGCTTGCGTGTGTCACCAGTTTTCCCACAGTCTGTGTGCGGGCAACCCAGCCTGGGAGCCAGGAAGAAGGTGTTCAGTGATCTCATGAACGGCTGCTGGGGTTAGCCTGCAAATCCCGCTGTTTTGTTGATGGTGTTTGTTTCCTCTCTAGACCTCTGACATGGGTCTCTCACAATCTGACTCCCTGATCTAAAATCCAGAGTTTTGAAAGCAGCAGCTCGCTGTTAAGAAGCCTCATCTTCATTCTATGAAAGCATTTCACTGTTTGGAAATGAAGGAAGCCACAGCATGAAGGATAGGGCGTGGACCTTGGGGCCAGACAGATTTGAATTTGAATTTTAACCTTGCAATTTATGAATCATGTGACTTGGGCAAATTACTTAAGCTTTCTCAGCCCAATCCCTTTACACATGAATGGGAATGTTAATATTTACCCCTCACACAGATTTAGAGCTGGGCACTCTTTTATTTTATTTTTTAAAAATTATACTTTAAGTTCTGGGTGCATGTGCAGAACGTGCAGGTTTGTTACCTTACACATGCCACGGTGGTTTGCTGCACCCATCAACCTGTCATCTACATTAGGTATTTCTCTTAATCACTTTTAATGTGCCGAAAATACAGCAGAAAATCAAAGTGGCAAAAACCCACACTTTATATTTAATATGGAGAGACTCACGATGAATGAAAATAAATACATTATATAGGACATTGGAAAATGATAAGGGCTGTGAAGAAAAACAAAGCAGGAGAAGTGTTATGAAGGATGCGGAAGCAGGAATTTGCAATTTTAAGTAGGGTGATCTGGGACGGCCTCACTGGGAAATGACCATTTGGCATGTGGTTGTCAGGGGAAGAGCTGGCAGAAGGACTAGCAAGTGCAAAGCTCTGAAGCCAGAGTTCCACGGAGGTCTTCAAGGGGCACCTAAGAAATCCATGTGGCTGGAGCCCAGGGAAGAAGGGTGAGAAGTTGGAAGGAATGCAAAGAGATAATCAAACATTTAGGTGTAGGAAGGACCCTTCAGGCCATGACACAAGATCACACTTTTATGCTGAACAAGATGGAAAACCATTTGTTTATTTTGAACCACAGAGTGGGTGGTTTGATCATTAAAGATTTAGTGCATTAAAAGAAGATTAAAAAAAAACAGAGAAGGAGGAGGAAGAAGAGGAAGGATATAAAGCATATAGCTATCTCCTGGCATAGATAGGTGATTTTTAAAATGCTATTTTGAAAGCTTCTTCACATTCCACAGAATCACAACAATCTTTCATTCTCTTCTTCATTCCCCCAAGACTGTGATTTATGCATAGAAGTTTTGTTGGAAATGTTTATGTTGCCTGAATTAATGTCATGAAATTTAAACAATAGAAATGAAATTTAAAGCCAAAGTATGTTATTTTCTTAGAGATTCTGATGATTTCTGTGGGTGAGTTCTGCATGGCTGAGTCAAGAAAGTCAGATAATGTCTCACCATCGCTCATAAGAGGTCCAGAGATAAGGGGGTTCTTGAACAATGTGTGCAGATTCACTCCACACATCTGCTTGAAATGCAGTAATAGAGTCTTAAAACAAAACAAAACAAAACAATAAAAGAGAGAAAGACAAAGACAGGAATGAGGCTGATAGAATTCTTTGTCCATTTGGTGAAAAACTTGTTTTGGAATCTTGTGATCTTGTAGGCATTACATCAATTTATGGCCGTTCTTCTCTTTACTGACTTCTGCTAAGCTGACAAAGGTCAAAGGAGATGCCAAGATTCAAGAGAAGCAAGCTAACCAATACCATTTGCTATGGTCTAAATGTCTGTACTCCCACCCACAGAATTCATATGTTGAAACGTAATCCCCAGCTGAATAATATTAAGAGGTGGAGCCTTTGGGAGGTGATGAGGTCATGAGGCCTCCACCCTCATGAATATGGAGGCCTTATAAACCAGGCTTAAAGGAACCCTTTTGCCCCTTCTGCCATGTAAGGACCCAACAAGAAGCTGCCATCTATAAGGAATGGGCCCTCACCAGACACTGAACCTGTTGCCACCTTGAACTTGGACTTCCCAGCCTCCAGAACCATGAGAGATACATTTCTGTTCTTTATAAATTACCCAGTCTGAGGTATTTTGTTATGGCAGCTAGAACAGACTAAGACACCCTCCCTTTACAAGATTTGAGGTTGTTGACTGACTCCACTAGGGGTGCTAAAAACAGCTCCTGAGAAAGAAAGGCTTACAACTCCCAAGTTTGCATTTCAAGCCTTGAATTATCTTTTGGCTGCTGGATAAATCAGTATCTGAGAGGCCTAAAATGCTTCACTGTCCAAATCTTAACTAGTTTTCCCCCAAACCAGTGTCGCTTCATGCAATCTTTTGATGAGAGAATGGCTCCTATCTAGTGTCCAAGCCAGAAACCAGGTAATCAGAGATTCCTCACACACAACTGGTGATCCAGTGATGTTAATTCTACTTTTCAAATACTTTTTTAGCTTCCACATTTCCACTGTCACTGCTATAGTTCAAAACATACTCTGTTCCAACTCATCTCCCTGCTTCTTATCACATCTTCTAATATGTCCACTAACTGATTTATTTGAAGGAAAAAAAAACTAATTGAGTCCTTCCCTACTTAAAATTTGCCAATTTCTCTTCATTGCCTAAATTCCTTAGATTTATACACTAGACTCTGATCTGACTACTGATCATATCAGAGTCTAATGTACTGAGAATTTCTTTGACATTATTTCTCAATATTCTCCCTTTTTGTCTTCTTGTTTCTCCAACCAAAGGGCACCTTATAATCCTGCCATATTGAGCTTGTCATTCTCCTAAAACTCACCAAACTGCTTTAAACAAATTCTTTGCCAATTTCCCTCTCAGCCTGGAGTATCAACTCAGGGTGACTGTGGTAGCCCTGAGAGTGTGTCTCACAGTACTTTCCCTATGGGGAGTAGTCAATCAAGGTTCCAACTCCTGAGTTGTGATGGGTTCTCTTGGGCCACTCCCAGACCATGAATGCAGCAGGGATTTTAAAGCAGACCCCTTCTGGAAACCAGAGGGCTCCTCTGAAGAGAAACATTGGCTCCACCTCCCAAAGGCCCTGCTTTCTGAGATTGCACAGTGTCCAGGATGCTTCCACCTGACCATCCTTCCCTCTGTCTTCCACTAAGGCTTAGAATAGTGGTCTAACAGCTCTCCCAGTTCCTCCTAGATCCTTCCACATTTCTCTCACAGGTGTTTTCCATAATAAAATTCCTGCATGTTTAATTCTGTCTTGGAATCTGCTTCTCAGAGGAACAGGTCACACACTAACACAATGACCATCTGTCAAGGCCTACTGATATGGTTTGGCTCTGTGTCTCCACCCAAATCTCACCTTGAATTGTAATCCTCATATTCCCCACATGTCAAGGGTGGGACCAGCTGAAGGTAATTGGATCATGAGGGTGGTTTCCCTCATGCTGTTCTCGTGACAGTGAGTGAGTCTCACGAGATCTGATGGTTTTATAAGCATCTGGCATTTCCCCTGCTTGGGGTCACTCCATCCTGCTGCCCTGTGAGGAAGGTGCCTGCTTCCCCTTTGCCTTCCACCATGATTGTAAGTTTCCTGAGGCCTCCCCAGCAATGCAGAATTATGAGTCAATTCAACCTCTTTCCTTTATAAATTACCCAGTTTCAAGTATTTCTTCACAGCAGCATGAGAACAGACTAATATACCTACTTTTTAGTCGACAGGTTTCTCCTCTGGAAAATAGCTTATTTCCTGCAGGTAAAACAATATATAATAGGAGAATATCATATAGACTTTAACTATATAACAGAACCACTAATATTAGGTTTGTACATTTTCATGTCCCTACTATATCCCACCTGAAATGCCATTGTATCTATTATGCTTCATTTGTTTATTATAGTGATGTTGTCTCATACAACATCTCTGTATCCACAAAAGTGAGCAGAGTGGCTGGCCTACAATCCATAATGGTTCTTTAGTGACTAGGAAAGTACTTAGCACATAGTAGATAATAAATACATGCTAAAAGAGTTAATGTTTATAGAATTAATGAATGAATTAATGTTTACTGAATACATGGATGAATGAATGGCACACAAGCCTGGGGGACAGGGGTAGAAATCAAAGAACCCAGAAAAACATAAGGGCAAAAGAGAAAATATTTTCTTTCCTTGAAGGAAGAACAGAAAATGAGTAAATTCTAATCAGTAAGGATCATGAGAAAGATATCACGTTGTTCTATTAAACTTTCAATTAAATATATCATCATCAATCAAGGCTTTAACATTTTGCAATTGTGTTATGCTTGACTACTGTAGTGGTTACATGGTTATTAGTTTTCATATAGTAGACGATGTATTAGTGTAGTCTGGATGATCAAGAAAGGTAGATGATTTGTGTTGGGGAAGATTCAACCATACCTCTGAGCGGGACAGATCTGAATTTGCAGGACAAACTCCAAAAAGAAAATCACCACTCTTACTTTAAGCATTGTTACAATAAACCTCTGTCGTCGAGACCAAGGTATTTTTCATGAAACAAGATGGGCTCGCTGCTTACCTAATACTAGTCTCTCACTTAGGTAGATGCTATATTTTAAGAAATGTGATTTAATCCATGATATATCTGCACTTGTAATTTCTCATTTTCAGAAATGAAAGTTGTGGCATGATAAAGTTTGAAAACTTAGATTCAAATCTCAGTTTTTCTCCTTGCAGTGAGACACATAAGCTCCCAGAGCACTAATTTCTTATCAAAGAAGAAGAGTACTAAAACTTCCCATACAGCGTGTGTGAGGATTGAATGAGATCATAAATGTGCACGCCTTAAGAACTGTGTCTGACACAAAATCGCTGCTCAACAAATGCCGGCTGAATCAGCAGCCAGGGCCATAATGGCATCTAATGCATTTTAAATGTCTGAGATGAATTTACAACATGGTATGTCTTCAGGATTAAAATCTACTTGGAAAGATTTCTCATAATAGCCCTCTCTTCTCTTGCTGGATCCATTTACTCTTTGGGCACTATTCCCAACTCCAGTTCTGAGTGAGCTCTCTTTTGCAGGTTTTGAGAAATGTACCCAATGTACACCCTTTAGGTCATCTTGCCACCAATCAAGCTGCTACTATTGCTTTTCACAGGGCTTAGTCCACCTTCAGGTCTCACAGTTAGCCCTCCCTAAACACACGCAGTCATAAAGCTATGCTCTGAGCACCAAATTCTGCATCTTTTCCCCAGTTGGTCCCCTTCCCTTATTCCTACTATCCAAGTCTTTATGTCCTCTCCCTCTTTCTCATACCAAACTCTGTGTACTGCAAAGGACTGGATAAGCCATTTGTGTTAAGGAGACTTCAATACATTTAACTAACATTTACTGAACTCCTACTTGTGCCAGGCATTGTGTTCTGTTTTGCCAGAGACATTATATTTTAAAGGAGACAGTGTATGAAAACACATATATAAACATAAGCCAAACTCTACTGGGAGAACTTGAGACCCAGGGAGATGAGTGGAGAAGGATGAGTCTCCTATATTAAGTGTGTCATCAGCACAGGCAACTACACACTCTGCAGATGACCAAAAGGCCACACGGGGCCTCTTTAACTTTGACTATAGCGCAATGTAGTAGTGTTAAAAATACATCCACAGATTATTTCACACTCTTCCCTTCAAGAGGAGGAGCCTAATCTTCACCCCACCTCCCGTCGCTGTGGCTGAACTTAACTTGCTTCTAACAAATAGAAAAAAATGTAGTAGCCACTTATGCCTAGTGTTCCATTATTGGAAAGCTAAGCACGTGGGAGTTATTTATATCCTGCTGCTCAAGGTCATCGCCAAGGACTGATTGTAAAAATTCAAAAAATTGTAACCTCAGGCATAAATGGGTTAAAGGTGTGTGACTTTGGAGATATGGTCATAAAATGAACTGTGTCCGCTCCTTATTCTTTCTCTTGGACTGGCCACCCTGGAAAATGTTAGCTTCCATCCTAGGAGGAAAGAGCCATGGAACAGAGGCCTCCTGCCCACAGCCGTGTGAGTGCAACACCTTGGAAGCAAATCCTGCAGCCCCACTCAAACCTTCAGATGACTGTAGCCCCAGACTACATTCTGACATCATTCCTGATTCACAGTAACTATGAGGCAATAAATATTTGTTGTTTCAAGCTACCGAGTTTTCGGGTAATTTCTTATACAGCCCTGGATGGCTAATAGAAAACTTGAACATTCTGATGTTTTGAAGTTCATTAAAAGTAGAGGGTGGCATACTGCATTTCAGCTAGCTTCTGAATTTCTTGTGCCATCAGCTTTGAGACCTAAAAATGCCAAAAAAATTTTTCAACACTATGGTTGACTGTCATCCCAGGATAGGAATGTCTATCTGGGCAACAGGTGGCTGTGAGGACCAAAATAGTCGCACCTGGCATCCAGACAGAATTTCATGCCTGATATCATTTCATCCTTACAATAATTCCACTGGAGAAGTAGGAAAAATTACTATTCTCCATTGTATAGATGATACTAAGTGATCACCTAAGGTTGCATAGATAATGAATGATATGGATGGCATGAGAATTCAGAATTCCTGAATTTCAAACCAACATGATTCCATCTCTATTACACTTTCTAGATCAATCTCTTCCTAAACCAAAGACTGTTAGATGATAGGGAGAGGAAAGAAAGAAATTTACCAATTATTCATTCTGTGCCAAGGAGCACACCAGGTACTTTATATTTATTTCATTTAATCATCACATCCAATGATACAGCTCTTGATAACATCAGTTTACAGATGAGGACTCTCAAGGGTGAAAGAAATTAACAAGAGCATTTTCATGGCCACTCATGCCACTTAAGGGTACAGGTATTATACATATACATGTCTTGTCATGTCATATCATATCATATCATAGCATATCAAAGTCACCACAGTCTGGTTTTAGTATTTCTGTCCCTTTTTAGTTTTTGTAGTTATAAGCTGACACGTTATAAGGTGACATTATCCCTAAATACTTTTTTGGGGGTCACTTAAAGTTTTTTGTGTTTGGGTAAAAAGCAAGGATAGAACAGATTTCAAATACAACCTCAATCAAACCACCACCTTCAAGATTACCACCAACTTCTGCTTCTGCTTTTGATAACTACAAACCAACCATTGTTTTTTTAAGACAAACAAAAATTAACTAAAGAGTTAATTAACTAAGTTAATTAGTTAATTAACTACTAATTGGTTAATTAACTAAGTACTTAATTAACTAAGTACTGGGAATACACTGCGAAAAAACTAGATATAAACTTCTGTCCTCACAGAATTTGTCTGAAAATGTTAAGCAATCATAAACATGTGGAAATCAAGCAAAAACCTTTGGGAAAAATGTCATTCTGTCTCATACCACTTTCTCATTCATCCCAGTTGGGTCATCAATAGCATTTTTATCTATGAATAAAATATTTAAAATATCCGTATTGGTCTTTCATCAACTACTTCTCAAATACTTCTTTTCTCATTTCTAAATTTAATTGATGCATAGTATTTTACATATTTATGGAGTATAAGTGATATATTGTTACACACATAGAATGTGTGAAGATCAAGCCAGCATATTTGGGATATCTATCACCTTGAGTATTTATCATTTCTATGTGTTGGTAATATTTAAAGTCCTCTATTCTAGCCACTTTGAAATAAACAACACATTGTTGCTAACTATAGTCACCTTACTGTTATCAGATACCAGAATTTATTTCTTCCATCTGACTGTATTTTGTGTCCATTAATCAATTTCTCTTAATTCCACCTCCTCACCTATACCCACACCCACACATCCTTCCCAGCCTCTGGTATCTATCATTCTACTCTCTATCTCCATGAGATTAACTTTTATACCTCCTACACATGAGTGAGAACATGTGATGTTTGCCTTTCTGTGCCTGGCTTATTTTACTTAACATAATGAGTTCCATCAATGTTGCTGCAAATGGCATGATTTCTTTCTTTTTATATGGCCAAATAATATTCCATTGTGTATATACTACATTTTCTTTATCCTTTCATCCATTGATGGACACTTAGGTTAATTCCATATATTTGCGATTGCGAATACTGCCACAATAAACATGTGAGTGCAGGTATCCCTTGGATATACTGATGTATTTTCCTTTGGATGAACACTCAGTAGTGAGATTTCTAGATCATATGGTAGTTCTATTTTTAGTTTACAAATACTTCTTAATCACCATCTCAGATATACTCCACAGTCTTCAAGATTAACAACCACCATCACGAAAATAGCAGGTAACATTTAGTAAAAGCTGGCTCAGGCTAAGCACTTGTCCTCAGATTTGTGATAATGATCTTCAATTCTCATAGTCCCATGAAACAGGAAGTGGAATTCCCATTTTGTAAATAAAGAAACTGAAACTCACAGAGGATAAGCTACTTTCTCAATGTCACACAGCTAATGAGTTGTAGTGGCAACACATAACTACAATGTCAGAGTCCATACTGTCTCTTTTACGGTCTCTACTCCTCTTGTGACTGATCATTCCTTCATCACTGATGAGATTGATCATTTACAGCATGAATTCCCCCAGCCTCCTTCACTAGATGAATAATAGACTATGGTCTCTTCTATTCTTCCCCAAATCTCAGAGTGGGTCCCTCCTCCTACTCACAGACAGGATTCTCCCATTCTATTTAACACTTAACACACTGCAATTTGTTTTCTCTCCCAACCACTCAACCGACTGCCTTGGCTAAGGTCATCAAAACAGCCCACTTCTAGACTATGCAGATGGTATTTGGACTTTATCTTACCATATTTCTCCTTTGCGTTTGACTGCCAATGGTCCCCCACCTTAAAACTCTGCCCTCTATTCTGAGATACCAGTCACATGGTTCTCCTACTTCTATAGCAATTCCTTTTTCATCTCCTTCCTCCCACACTTACATTTTGTTGTTTTTTAGGGTTTATCCTTGCTTGCCTCTCTCCTTACCCTATATCCTTTTTTCTACCTAGCACCCATGCTCATGGTTTTAACTACCGCTAGATGAGAATTCTCAAATCTTGTATTTCCACCCTTAACTTATTGTGTGCTTCTCCCAACACTCTTGTTCAGTTTTTTACTTAAAAAGTTCTTCTTAATAATTCATAGACTTCTCAAATTTAACATGAATACAATTCAACTCATGATTTTTCTCATTCTCTCAAACGAGCATTTCCTCCTTTATTGGAGTGATACCTCCATCATCAATCCAATTTTTCAATATGAAATCTGGGATTGTTTTATACAACTGTCTTTTACTCATCCCTCTCTCCAACTTAACAGTGTTGTTAATGTCTTAGATAAATCTCTTGTCCCGTTCTCCACCCAGTCCTACAACCACTCTCCTGAGTAAGAAGCACATCACATCCTGCCTGGACTACCTAAATAGTTTCTTAAATGTTATTTCTGTTCCTAGATTTTTCCTTCTTAAACCAACTTCCCACCTGCTGAATTAAAATCACTTCCATGTGACTGCACCACATGTAGAATACTTTAATTGATACAAAATATTTTACGTATCTATGGGGTACATGTGAGTATTTTGTTAGATGTGTAAAATGTGTAATGATCAGGTCAGAGTACTTGGGATATCTATCACCTTGAGTTTTTATCATTTCTATTTGTTAGGACTACTTAAGTCCTTTCTTCTAGCTGCTTTGAAATATAGAACACATTGTTGCTAACTGTAGTCACTCTCCTTTGCTAATGAGTATTAGGGCTTATTTGTTTTATCTAACTGGATGTTAGTACCCACTAAGCAACTCTCTTTAACCCCCACTCCCACCTACAAACTCTTCTCAGACACTGATACCTATCATTCTACCCTCTACCTCCATGAGATCAATTTTTTTTAGCTCCCATACATGAGTGAGAACATGAGGCATCAGTATTTCTGTGCCTGTCTGATCTCACTTAACATAATGACCTCAAGTTTCACCCAAAGGAAAAGAAATGTATATTTCAAAAGGATACCTGCACTCTCATGTTTATTGCAACACTATTTACAATAGCAATGATATGGAATCAACCTAAATGTCCATTGACCAATGAATATATGGTATATATACACAATAGAATACTCTTCAGCCATAAAAAGAATATAATAGTTAATTTAAAATACCATTTAGGTTCTTAATCTAGCTCCTACTCCTACTCTAGCTCCTACCTCCTGCTAATGTCTCAGGCTTATGTCTTTCCTCTCTGCATTCCAGGGTTTTTTCTAGTACTATTTTAAAGATTTGTAGTTCCCTGAAGATATCATGCAAGTGTCCGTCTTAAACATATAAATCAGCCTTTACTTATGGTCCTGAACCAACCTCTTTACTCTTCCTGTATATCTGTCCATTCTTCAACAACTCAAGTCAAGTACCAGCTCTTCAAGTTCTCCTCACAGGTGAGGTTGGTAGCCCCTCTTTTATATTCCCATAGCACTCTCTGCTTTTTCTTAACAAGGCATTTCCCACCTTATAATAACATCCCCTCTCTCTGGCTGTCTCTTCCCAACATTAGAGTGCAGTGCCTGCCCTCTGTGTGCTGGTCCCTTCTAAACCCTGGAGATGCAGCTGTGAACAAGACCCAGAAAAGCCATACACCTCTGCAGCTTTTACTCTATTTGTAAAAGAAGAGATAGATGATAGATGGATAGATGAATGGATGGATGGATAGACTGATTGATTGATAGATTGATATGATAAAAAGATGGGAATATAATGGGGGTTAACTGCTAGGTAGAGACAAAATAGGATGATGTGACAGAGAACACTGAGGTGAAATTTGAGCTGAGCTTGGGTTGACAAGAAGGGGCTAGTCATGTGATGACTGGGGGCAGTGCACATCAGAAAGCAATTCCACCTAGAGCAGGAAACGCCAGTTAGGCAGGAAAAAGTGTGGCTACCTGAAAATCAGAAAGAAGGCCGGCCAGGCTGCCATGGGTGTGGTGGGGAGGAGAGATTTGCCTGAGCCAAGGCAGGGAGGTAGGTTGATATTGGATTACACAGGGCTCTGGGAGCCAGCACGAAGAGTCCGAATCCTCTTCTGAGTACAATGGGAAGCTGTCAGTGGATTGCCAGCGGAGGGGACTATGATCTGGATGATATTTTCCAATGTTCACTCTGGCTGCTGTGAGGAATGGCACATAGAAAGGCAAATGTCCCCACAGGGAGCTAGTTAGGAAGCTGTCGTGGGCAGCCCATCAAAGAGAGAGACTGGAGGCTTGGACAAGGGACTAGCAGGGGAAAGGGAGAAAAGGGGGCAGATTTGAGGCGTGTGGAGGTGGAGTCACAGAACTGGCTTATGGACAGATGTGGAAATGGAGGGGAAGGAAGGAACTGCCATTATCTTCAAGATTTCTGCCTTGAGAAACTGGATAAAAATAGTGCTATTTAGAAATAAGGGGAGATTTGGGGAGAAGGAGGTAGAAGATCATTGGCTGACATCAAGTATTCTCTTTATGACCATGTGAAGTTTGAGATGCCTGCTGCACATCTAAATTGAGAGTCTTGAGTCCCATGTGAGAACTAAAAATAAAATCCTAAGGCCCCCAACTGACTGAACGGGCTCCCGCTTCTTGGCCGAGGGGACCCCAGAGATCCCAGCCACGACAGGATGAGAGGTCAGATATGCCTCATTAGGCCCACGCCCTTTTGTGTTTTAGACACGACAGCCAACCAACATAAGACTGACAGAACAGAGGGGCCATAAGACTGACAGAACAGACTCTTTGTGGCAATAAGATACCAAATCATAAACAGGACCTAAGGCCATGCCAGAAAAGGGTTAAGCCTCGCACCCCTGCACTTAAAGAATAAACTAATAAACTATGTTTTAACTGCCACAGGTTTGTCTTTTTCTTCAGCAGCTAACAAGCACTGGCTTTGAGACAAGCAGTGTTGAAACAATTGCAGCTCGCCCACCACCAGACACTGACTAACTGAGTCCTCCTGTTCTACAACCATAACTATAGCTTTGATTGCACAATAGAATGATTTCTGTAACTTTCTCCTGATAAAAGACCACTGACTGTGAACTGGTTCTGGCTGGCTTTACAGAGGCTGTGCACTGAGTGCCTTCATGTCCCTGCTTCACCTCTTCACATACAGGGCCTAATTATAATACTTAAATGTTAAGTCTCCACCTCAAAGCGAACATGGGACACATGTAACATGCATGTTTGTTCAGTATGCATGCATCATACTGAACCCCTTCATGAATATGCATTCCTCCTCCTAACATAACCTAACCCCTTCATGAATATTCATACCTCCTCCTATAACCTGTTAAATATGTGTACTTGGCCAACTTGTTTAGCACAAATCCTTGTGCCTCCCTCCCCTCCTGTGAACTGCCTGCTTTTTGGCCTCTGCTAGAGGCAATGCTTCCCAACCTGTCAGAATGCCCATCTTGTAGGTTGTAACCCTTTATAAAAAATAAAGTCTCCCTTCAAAATTTATAAATGATATAATTTTTCAGTTGACTCAGTGGATAGGGCAGAGTTGTAGATATAGAACTGAAGGCACACACACACAAATACACACAACCACACAAACAAACACAAAAACACACACACATGCGAATACACATAATTACAGAAACACACAGATATACACAACCACATAAGTACACACAAATACAAACACACGTTTGTGAAATTAGATTAGAGCTTTTCCTGAGTATGTTAATAGAAAAAAATAGATGACCCAGAAATAATCCCTATGGCCCCTTTGGGATCAAACTTATGCAATAATCTTCCTCAGGCAGAAACCGCAGAGGAGATACTGGGGCTGGGCAAAGACTCCATGTCAGGTGTAATTTTTGTGCATTTTTGCTCCCTGAGGTCTGTTCCACTCTCCCACTAATTCCTGTCCTAATGACAGTTTGTCCATGGCTTCCTGCCACTGTCAATACCTGTGCCTCTAATACACTTCTAGCTCAAGCTAGTCACACAGTGCCAAGTGATTTCCTTTTGAATTATCTTCCATAATCTTGTCAAACTTTATATATATATATATATATAAAATTTGACCAAGGGAAATTGTACATTTTATCTTAACTCATTGTCCTGAACAAATTATGTAAATAATAACACCGCCAATTATAGACAGTCTATTTTCCATTAAAGCTCTGTAGTAAATTCCTATGCCACAGTACCAGCAGAAATATATTTTTTCATTTTATTCATCAATGCTTTTTCTTGGAAAACAAATAATCATATCTTTCCCCTCAAAGTAATCTCAGAATGCAGATGAAGCTATGAATTCTCCAGGTGATATTTCAATGCTTTAGCCTCCTGGGTACAAGTCATCCTAGATATATATTAAACATTTACTGTGAAAGTTTTGAGATTCAAAATGGAGTCACTTGTGTCTTGTGTCACTTGTCAAACTCCGGCAAAATAAAGACAGAGAAGATCATGGTGGGAGGGCTGTCCTAATAGATTTGCCTGATAATATGAATGATCACAAGGACAGCCAGCCACTTATGCAAAAACACTTGCCTGACACACTATTTCACAAACTCAATCCAAAGAAACAGCTGCTATGACTTCGAGACTACAAGTTTTACCTAGAAATGCCCCCACTGTCACTCATCAGAGCTTGCCAGATCCTGAAAGACATCGCCAGCCAATGAACTTTCAAAATAACCTGTATAATCTACTCTTTCCCCAATTAAACCCTAACCTTTTCCTCTGTTCTCTGGACATGCAGGAGGCCACCCTGGTCTTTATGTATGTCTCGCATTGCAATCCTATTTCTTGTATATTAGTCCCCAAAAAACCCTTTTACTTAGTAGAGATTTACCTCTCCATATTTTCTATGTTGGCACTACACATATGATTCTAGAATATTTTCATTAAAATCATACAGTTCTGTTTAAAGAAAAGATCGTCTTTGATTTATAAGCTTTTCTGTGTACTGTGCAAAGAGACTTCTGTGCAAAGAGATTCAGTGTCATTTGTTAATAAAATAAGCTCATTTTTCTGACAAAAATGGAAACATCTTAAGTTACTATATCTTTAATTTTTTTTTTCAAAGAAGGACAAGAAAACTCAGCACTTTTAATGCTGTGGTCTTTCATTTGACATTTAACTATCCTGCTGTGTAGTGTTACTTGGCAGCTTTAGAGGGTACTCTGGTGGTTTTACAGTGTACTAACATGGCCAGCCTGCACAGCGTTTCTTATAATTCCCTTAGCTATATGTTTCTGGTTTTCACTCTCAGAAGGTCAGGGCTCACAGCTTCCACATGTAAGCACCAGGTTCTCCTGCAGAACTACCACTTTATTGAGGTTGAAGGTGGAGAGAACTAACTCGGGTTTCAGTCTGTCCTTAGAGGTCCCAGCTGGTGCTCAGGGTCTGAGTAGCACTTTCTCTTCCCCACCCAAAATCTCTCCTCCAACAGTCTGTCTTCCAGGCTCCAAGCACCAGCATTAGAGAGGGTGCTGAACCAGCTCTCACAAAGGCTCAGTGCAAGCTTGTTCAACCCCCAGCCCACAGGCTGCATGCGGCTCAGGATGGCTTTGAATGTGGCCCAATACAAATTCGTAAACTTTCTCAAAACATTATGAGAGTTTTTTGCAATTTTTTTAGCTCATCAGCTATCATTAGTGTTCGTGTATTTTATGTATGGCCCAAGACAATTTTTCTTCTTCCAATATGGCCCAGGGAAGCTAAAAGATTGGACACCCTTGGTAAGGTCTAATCCCTGTTATAAATCCATGTGTGAGTGTATGTCTGTGTGTAAGAGAGAAAAAGAGAGGGAGAGACAGACACACACCTCCTAGTGGTCTTGCTTCTCTGACTGAAGTCAGTCAGGTGCAATGCCTAGGGCACGGTTCTTTCTCTCTGCACCTTTCTCTACTTTGGACGATACGTCTTCTCCCTGGCTTTAACTTGTACCCATTTAGCTGACTTCAAAATGTCCATTCAAAGTCTGGTTCAAGTCTTCATATCAGGTCTGCTTTCCAAGAACCTGTAGGACATTCCTGCTCAGGCAAAACACCATTCCATCAAAAGCACTGTGTCTAAAACTTAACTCCCTCACTCCCGGCCAGATTCTGTCAGAATTTCTCCCATCTCCTAAGCTGAAGACAGGTAGGCACCTTAGGCCATCCTCTCAGAAATCCCATCATCAATGATTATCAGTGGTTCCTCAGAGTTCTAGGGATCAGCAGGGGCCAGGGAGGAAGTTCACTGGGTAGCACTTTTGACCCAACATGTCTAATTCCAAAAAAGACTACTTTTATGAAATTCCACCTGCTACTTATTTTAAAAGAGGGTTCTGCTGTTATAATTTGAGTTCTTATGCAAACCCCTTCCCCTATGCATAGCAAACAGCTACACATCACCCTCCATCCTCCTGGGTGCTGTCATCAATGGGGCTGCTGGGGCACTCTCCCTCATACAGGGGCACACTGGTAAGGAACTCCCCCTCTTTCTTTCTACCCCAGCCATTGTGGTAATCATGGTCTAGAAACTTCTACAAAACTCCCCAGGCAAACAATGACAACCCCTCCTGATTGACAAGCCATCTGTCAATCCTCTTTCTACTTGACTCTTTCTGGCATTTAATCAGTTTGTTCTACACCTTCCTTCTTGAAATGTTTTTTTCTCCCTTGACTTCTGAAGCACTAATCTGTCCTGTTCTCCTACTTAGAAAAGAAATACAAAATATATCATTATGAGAAAAAGTGTTGACTTCTCTTCCTTTGTCACGACGTGTGTGTGCACACATGTGTGCAGTGTAAACATATGTGTGTTTATTCCTCAAGTTCCTCTTACTGTACACACTCACCTTGAGTGAACTCATCTACTCCCATATCAGACACTTCAACCAGCTCCTGTGACCCTAAGCATCCTGAATCTGAATCTTCAGCCCTCATTTGTTTCTTGAACTCCAGAGCCATAAACCTCAATGCCCACCGGCATCTTCATCTGAATGTTCTTAGGCCCCTCAAACTCATTCCACCTCAAACTGAAATCATTCTCATTCCCCAGCCCAGGTTCATCTCATCCAGGCAGCTTTCTCTCATTACTCATGTCTGCATCATCTCTCCCTTCTCTCAAGTCCTTAAATGGTATATAAAGTCAGTCTCAAATATATTAGCATTTAAATGTTCTTTGATTATTTTCGTCTATTAATTTGGTCTCCTCAGTTAAACAATAGGTTTATTGCAGGCAGGAACCACACTGTTTGCTGGTGCTATATCCTTGCGGTATCTGACACTTAGCTAGACACAGAGTAAATACACAGAGCAGAACTGAATCTCTCTCAAGTATTAGGTCTCTAGCAAAAGTGGAACATGCTAGGAAACCATAAATATATCTGCTGTCTAAATCCAAAGGTAACAGATGCAATTCATCTTCTTTGAGCACTACTAGTAGAAGAAACAATTTTGAAATGAAAAAACAGATAAGAACATGAAATGTTCTGAACTAGACTTTAAAATTTGAATTACAATGATATCTTATGAAATTATTCCACATGCATGATTCTGCTTGACTTGATAAGGTATCTCTCTCCACCTCCAACTCTCTTTTTAGACCCATGAATTTTGTGACAGAGGGTAAAGGATATGATTTATTTGACCACAGTGGCTCTGTCCTTAAAGGCAGCTGTTCCTTGACTCTGAAAACTAGTCCAGAAACTGGGGTGATGCTGGTAGGCTGTGAGGGAGCAGGAGGGCCTCTTAGTTTCCTCCAGCCCCTACCCTTGCTCCCCATGGCAGGTCTCCTACAGGGGAAACCAATGAGTTTCCACCCAGTGGCTGAGGAAAGGGATGTCCTTTCACTTTCTCATCCCAGGCTCCCTCGGATTGTCAGAGACCACACATCTAATCTCCACCAGCCTTTTCTGAATAAATATGATCATGAAATTACTTATTTTTGGTCTGTCCTCCAAAAAGAGAAAATACGTGAATGAGGTCAAGTAGTTCCAGAATACTTGAAATATTTGCTTTATGAACACTAAGCTGGAGAACGCAAAGAAATCCTCATGGACAAACTTACCATGGTAAGGGAGTCCAGGAATGTGTTCATGTAGGAGACAATATTTAACTCACTGAGTTTTGTATTGATCACTTCTCTTTTTATAAGTCGAGAGTATATTGAAGCAGGTGTTATTTCTACAGGATTGCCCAACCCTGGACCCTAAAAGGCCAAGATTTTCATTGCTGATGCCAGCTTCCTCTTTCTGCCTTCTCTCCCCCTGTCAATGACACTCTATATTTCAGTCTCGGGCCACCCCCCTCTAAACTCACAGATAAGATTTTAGTATTTGTCATTTGCACATCTCACTGTGCAATTATCCCTGCCTGCAAAGTAGACAAAAGTAAAGTTTTCCTCTGTGGAAAAAATGTTGACAGTTACCTAGCAGGTGTGTATAGGGGAGAACATATCACTTTGAGAAAAGGAAGCAATTTATTGAAATCACATCATAAGGCAGGGCCACTGTTGCAGCCTGTTCCACTGTCTCATGGGAATGGAGAAATTACTCACATTAGTAGAGTACATTTTGGAATGATATTCATGATATTCATTGATTTTAGTCATTCAAATTATGTGTTGGCTTCAACCCTAATTAAACAGTTGAGAAAAGAAAGACCATTAATTGTTGAGCATCCATTGTGGGCACAGGATGAGATATTTTAATCAGAAGACACAGGAATAATCTTACTTCAAGGTTAAAAGAAAAATTACCTGCACGGATAGTAAAAAATCTGCTTTAGAACATTAAAGCAGTTCTTGTTAACAAAATCTGACATCCAGTCTTACTCTTTTATCTGTACACTGTCTTATTGGAGCTGCTCATTTGCTACCAATTCCTTAAATGACACTAGAGCAAGTGTTATTAGGGAGAAAGAATAATCAAAGTAATTTTCAACAGAGATTGGACAGATTGATGTCTCTAATCATCATTCTTTGATCACAAATGTCATTTGCTCTTAACATAAGTTTTAAACCCTGGTTTCTTCCCTTACTTAATAGCAATGAAATATTCTATCAGGTGTTACAAAATTCAAATCCTCATATATAAGTGATGAGGGCTTTTCAGAGAATGCCCAGAAAATATGAGTTTCTAAGTGACAAAAGTAATTTCCTTGGGTAAGTCCTTAGAAGTCAAAGCTTCTATATCAACTCATTCAACACAACAGCAAGTGCTGGTTTGGTGCCACCATCTTTTTTTTTTTTTTTTTTTTTTTGAGATGAAGTTTTGTTCTTGTTGCCCTGGCTGGAGTGCAGTGGGGCGATCACTGCAACCCCCGCCTCCCAGATTCAAGCAATTCTCCTGCCTAAGGCTCATGAGTAACTGGGGTTACAGACATCCGCCACCACGCCCAGCTAATTTTTTGTATTTTTAGTACAGATGGGATTTCACCATGTTGGCCAGGCTGGTCTCGAACTCCTGTCTTCAGGTGATCTACACTCCTCGGCCTACCAAAGTGCTGGGATTACATGTGTGAACCACCACGCCTGGTCATTGCCACCATCTTTTTCATATCTGACATCCCTCCTAGATCCTAAGCCTGCCTTCTTTCCCAACTCAGGTTCCAGGCTACCTTTTTTTTTTTTTTTAATAAGAGCTCCTCAGAGAACCTACATTGCCAGTGATAACTTGGGCTTGGAAGAACTGCAGGTCCATGTTGGTGCCCAGTCACCCAACACCACACTCCTGACAGCTGCTAATAGGACTCCAGGACCTTCACCACTGTGAAGGCCCCCAGCACTCTCTCCTGTGATTTCAATGAGTTCAAGAATTTGGGTGACTTTTCTGGAATCATAGCGCTTTAGGGTTTAGGCGTTTTAAAAATTACCTGAGCATTTTAAGGACAAGAAATCAATTTATTTACTTGTCATTTACTATGTGATTCAGAGCCTAGCACAGAGTGGGTGGGTCACTTAATAAATATTTGCTAAACTATTGACCAAATCAAGGAAAGTTCTGATGTTCCTCCGCCGTGACACACTATCTCACTGAAAACCTCCAGATCGTGAGTGAACCAGATTTCATCCACAGAAATAAACTCTCTAGATTCACTCCAGAAATATCACTTGCATGCTCCAAAAGGTTGACTAGTTATTTTATACTGGGTTTCTTTAGAGTAACTTGGAAATGAAAGCTGCCTCTCCAATGTGCACATAGAATGAAGAGCATTGCCCAGATCTTTTTTTAACTTGTGCTGATGTTTTCCGGACATGTGGGTGTGAGAGAACCTGACCTCCTTCCTATTACCTTTAGAAGGGGTGCAGCAGAGGGTGGTCATTCAATTTCCAGGCTGGGATGACTTTCTCAAATTACACTGTGACCTGATCTCTCCTTTCCATGGGAGGTGCATTTTTACTTTCAGGACTCTCACGGGATGTGGAATACAGAAATGATGACATCTGGTTCCAAGACTAAGAAATAGAAACCTGTATGACTTCCAAACCTTCTGGTATGGAGGATACTGAAAAATCTGAAGCTCCCCCCTACTCAGTTGCCTTGAATAGGAATTATACTGACCAAAAGCTAGATTTAAAATGAGAAACTTTAACATACCCAGTTAGACCCACCTACACAGAGACTTAAAGTGTCCATTCCAATACAGATACTAAGGGACAACTAGGTGCTAATTTAGTAAGCTATCTGGCCATGACATCTGAGTTATCTAGTAAGCTTATGTGATTTAGCAGTGGAAAGTTGTCAGAAAACAGAATGTATTATTTGAACTTTATCCATGTCCCAGGAAATAAAACCAGAGGTCTGAAACTCATCTATTTAAGGCATTTATAAGATCTTTTTGTTAGAATATAAATCAGTTCAGTGGTGATGGTTTTAGAAATCAAAAAGAGTAAAGTGCACATGTTATCCTGTTGGGTGTCTTTAGAAGGAAAGGCACTTACATAAGGAAGAGAAAAGACAGATATATCTCTGGAGAGTACAATAGCACCAGAGGCCGTAGATAGAACTTTGAACTAATTGTGTCCTAGAGCTTGAAATAACACCAACATTTCTGAAAGCGAACTTTATAGATTTTGATTTGTATTTGACTACTCGGCATGAAATGGACTGAGATTTTTCTGTTACTCTAAAAGCTAAAGAAAAATACATGGTTCCTATTTGCTGTTAAGGACTATTGCAGGTAATACATATTACTATTGATATTTATATAAGTTTATATTCTGAATGAGGTATAGATTCTGGTTACATCTGGCTATTCTTAACACAATATAGAATGGTCTAGATAACATTAACTCAAAAAAGAAGAAAAGCCAGGCATGGTGGCTCACTCCTGTAATCCCAGCACTCTGGGAGGCTCAAGCGGGCAGGTCACCTGAGGTCAGGAGTTCAAGACCAACCTCACCAACATGGTGAAACCCTGTCCCTACTAAAAATACAAAAATTAGCTACTCCAGAGGCTGAGGCAGGGGAATCACTTGAACCCCCCTGGGAGGCGGAGGTTGCAGTGAGCCAAGATCATGCCACTGCACTCCAGCCTGGGGGACAGAGCAAGACTGTCTCAAAAAAAAAAAAAAGAAAGAACAAAAAAAAACCCCAAAACTCTTTAAAATGTTTATCACTAAATAATTACCTAAATAACAGTGTTTAACACTTAAAGAGATGTCTCTGTCATGCATAGACATCATTTGTTTTTTGAAAAAATCCTTCCAACTCTGGAAAATATAGCATTTATCAAATGTCATCACTCAGATTTAATCAGTGAATATTGAGATTAGCCAGAATATACTATCAGTGGTAGCATAAAGATTCCTGAGTAGGCAGTGTATATATGTTTAATAATAAAATGAAAAATGCAAATGGGAAGAAAAATAACCTTCCTAAAATCAAAATGGTAAAGAAATTCCACGTAGAGAATCCCACAGACCACTGGGAGAATGATTTAGGAAATTCATCCAGGAAAATAGTTTCATTTATTTTATTTATTGTCAAGGTTAATACTCCATGGTCTCCAGAGAATAATGTGCTAATTGTACATGACTGACAAAATGAACTTGGTCATTTTGTCAAAGAGCTAGAGGAAGTGGGAGTCTGAGTGAGAAATTAGGGTGTAATGGCCACATATAATTGAGAGCATTCAGCAAACATTTCTTCCGAGAGTGCAGGACTGAATATCAAGCTTGAAACTGTTGTATAAAACGAGGCAGAAGACCACAAGAAACTCAGAATGAGAATCGTCTTTCGAGACCTTTCCTGGATCACTTCTTCTATCCCGCAGCTTCACTGAGATCCACTGGGGTTCTAAACCCTGAGCAGGCCGGAACTTTGTGAGAATCCAGAAACCCCAACCTTGGGCAAGAAACTAGCCATGCAAGGAAAAATTCTGGGCATTTTCATAATTTTGGGATAGAAGTATTGAGGGTTACACCTCAACATTCATCTACCCGTTCCTCGGGGCCCATTTAGTACTTATTATTATTATTGTTGTTGCTTTTGTTCTTAAAACTCAATCCTCACTATAGTCAGTTTGGGTAGGTACTTTTTATAACTATTACATTTCACAGATATGGAAACTAAGCCATAATGAGGTATTTAAGTATCTGTTCAAGGTCACAGAATTAGTAGATAGGTTCAGGACTGAACCCAGCCAGTCTCATTCCCAATACACATTACTGCACCCAGTCCACAATAACCTTTCTTGATGGCTCCAGGCAGATGCAGTTACTTCTTCCCCTGAATTCTACCCATGTTTTGCACCTCTTTTACTCACCATATCATATGTTGACGTTAACTGTAATCACTACTTGTTGCATCCCCTCAACTAGATTATTAATTGTTAAAAGGTACAATCATCTCTATAATCACTTTGCATTGCCCCTAGGGCCTGTTTTAATGTCCCAAACACAGTCAGTACTCAACGGATTTTGATTATGGGATTAAATTAAATGGGATGGGGGAGCTGATTTGTCCAATAATTCACACCACCACTCCAGCTACAAAATGAAAATCCCAGCCAAAATGAGCTCTTATCCTCCACCCCAAAGAGAAGTGATAAATAACTGATTCAGGAACACAATCAAGGACATGTCCATTCCCAACTTACCTTCTCTCCCTACTTCCCCAGCAAAATCTAATTAAATAAAGTGACATTTCTCATTTACTTAATTCAATTGCCGGGTATTCCACAATCCACAACTTCTAAGAGATCAGAGAAATGTTGGCTAAACTCAAAATTCTACTAAAGTTTTTGTAAAAATCAACGTCAGCTATAGATAGTTTACAAATGGACATATTTTAATTTCTTATAAAATTTGGTGAAATGTATGAGAAGGCACTACACTAACTTACAGAAGACCCAGAATGAGGGTAAGTCCAGCAGCCTGGGCTGCTCAGAGGAGAAGCCAGGATCTCCTTTAGAACCTTCTTGACTCCCTCTTACCCATCCCTGTTTGCCTGAGAAGTCATTAGAGTTTATGCTCTGTATTCATAGCAGGAAATAAAGTGAAAATAAGCTCCTTTCTTCACTTTCTCCCTGTAAAACCGACTTTATCCCTTCTGCCCCAAGTCATAGCCACCTGAACAGCCCTATTGCCTTTAACGTAAGAACAGGAAAAAGAGGCCTCCACAATGTTGTTCTTTGTAGTAGGCCTAGCTGGACCCAACTGCAGGGTGGGTCAGCTTCTAGGCCACCGTGCAGTAAAGAAGAAAGCACTGGAGAAAAAAGATTTTACAGACAACCTTCTGCCAGCTGGAAAATAGAAAAACACTAAAGAAACGTCGGTTAAACTTTAAGGTCATAATATTAGAGATTGTTGGAATTGATTGGAACCTTGACTACTCTGTATTCCAACCCCTCACATTTCAAATGAAGACAGTAAAACTCAGTGAGGGAACTTGTTTTGTTCAAATCCACAAAGGAAAAGAAAGAACTAATGACACGTGTAATTAATGTGAACAACTCTCAAAAACATTATGTTGAGCAGAAGCAGCCAGACAAAAAAGAAAGCATGCCATATTATTCCATTAAGTTCTAGAATAGACAAGACTAGACTACAGTGATAGAAATCAGATAATGGTTAGCTGTGATGGGGGTAGGAAATTGGGCAAAAAGGGGTCCAAGAGAACCTTTGGTGGTTATGAAAATGTTCTACATCTTGATTGGGCTGATGGTTGCATGGTGTAGATGACTGTCAAAACCCATCAAATTGTATAACTGAAATCTGTGCATAGCACTGTATTCAACTGCAGCTTAATCGGTTTATTTAAAAGTAACTTGTGGGGCCACGTGCAGTGGCTCATGCCTATAATTCCAGCACTGTGGGAGGTCGAGGCAGGAGGATTGCTTGAGACAAGGAGTTTGAGACCAGCCCGGGCCACACAGCAAAACCCCGTCTCTACTAAAAATACAAAAAGTTAGCCAGGTGTGCTGATGTGCGCCTGAAGTCCCAGCTACTCCAGAGGCTGAGGTGGGAGGATCATTTAAGTCCAGGAAGTGGAGGTTGCAGTGAGCTGAGATGGAACCACTGCACTCTAGCCTGGGCAACAGAGAGCAACCTTGTCTCCAAAACAACAAAGAACAACAACGACAGAAAACAAACAAACAAACAAACAAAAAAACCTTGTGAAGTTTTTAAAGCCACTCAGGATCTCAGGATTTGAGAGACAGGGCTGACCCTGGGACTCTGGCCATCTGCTTCCCAGGCCAGGTCTATAAGGCTCCACCACTCTCCTTCCAGTTCTTTTCTTTCTTGATGCAAATAAACTTCTCAGAACCACATCGGGTAATGACCTTGCACCCCTGGAGATTGGTACTGGAGGACTAATCTGAAGCAGCATCGTAAGAACATGAGAGGTATTCTGTGGGGTTCACAATTAAAGCTGAGACATTAAATCATCAGCTCGGAACCATTCTGGAGGCAATCATGACTCATGCAAATTTCAAGCAAGACAAAATAATGATTATAGGTCCCCCAAGAAGGAAGCAGGGAGGAAATGAATGAGCTAAACAATATTAAGTGTCATCGGTAATTCTAGAGGTGATATGAAAGAATGAACATGCTCCCCATTTAGTTCTTTTCAAGTCGGCAAAACACCTCATCTAGTCACATACTGTAATTATAATGTATCCCTAGGTACAGCCTGTATAGCAAAAGCATGCAAGTGCAACTTAGAAAAATAGAGCTGCTAAAATTGCCTATGTATTAGTGCTGTAGATATAGAGATACATATACAGTCTTTTTCGGCATCTCTGAAATTCTCTCTGAAAGCTACTGCCTTTTCCATGTGAGAAGTTAGAGCCTGTTTCTTCTGAGGCCTTCCTCATAGAATGGAGGGCTCTTAACAATAGTGGATTTCAATGTTCTACCAATTAAAGACAGGGCTAGGTAGAAAGCAGCCTTTGGCCCAAAGGCTGTGACACAGCCTCATTCCTGTCGTTGTCACAGTGATGCTGATTATCCAGATAGTCCTTAGCTAGAAAGACTTGATGACACACCACAAGTCTTACTTTCAGGGAGAAGAGCTATTTTTTACATTCAGAATTATAAAATGGGGCAAGCAAAGAATTAGCCATGGGTTCCAGATTTCACCCTTTATTCAGAGCTTTACTATCAGCTTACAAATGATTATCAGCTGAAGAGAAATAACTTTACATTCTTTGGAAAAGGATAGCTCTATTTTCAATATTTTCTTATGGCCTGTTATCTCAAAATTTTACTGGTGATACATATTTTGTATTTTTCAGAAAAAAATGCTTTCTCATGAAAAGCACAATATCGAAGTCTCAGGTTTCTTGGTTATTGGGTTTCTTGGTTAATATCAGTAAACTACATTGAAAATTCTACAAAGAATATTAATATGTTTAGCTTTTGAAATCCATGCATGACTTATGATTTGTTTGATTGTTTTCAAAGAGAACATCTTCTCAGGATTTTAAGCTGCTTTTATTCTTTTATTAAATATAGAAGGTTCTTTGTGGTTCATGTATCTTACAAAAGTGTCTTATTTATTACTGTGCGACCCTCAGCTAACTAACTAGTATGCTGAATGTGGGAAGCGAATTCCAAAATATTGAAAACAAAGATACTCCATCCCTGAAAATGAGTCTGAACATTCATTCAAGTACTTCCCAAATAAATGAGTATAATGGGGAAATAAATAATACGAGGCTTTTGTCATGAGGATTCATACCAGTTAGAAAAAAACCTCAGAGAAACAAATGGATATCACGTGTTAAGGCCTCTTCTCAAAGGAAGAAGCAGATTTAGAAATTACTACTAATTTTTGGTCAGTCTAATTTATTATCTTAGACACTTGTATCTCATTTTCAACCAACTGAAGTATCAAAGTAAGTAATGACAACTTTCATATCCTTTATTTCTAGGTAACATCATGTCCTGAGGCCTGGAGTGTTCCCTAAGCTCAAATTTAAGTATATTAATGGGGAATTGTTCATTAATCTATGGTACATACTCACAGTGCGTTTACATTTTATTTTAATCATTTGTACTAATTGACAAACTATATCCCCTGGAAGCTCTGAAAAGTCTACTAATAGGCAATTGCTTTAAATATTGCCATGAGCATTTGCATTTCCAAACCTTTAATCTCATCAGATAGTTAATATTTCTCCTGTTGTTTAACAATGGAGAGAAATTTGACTGCCATTATGCTGTTTACAGCTTTTGCCCCAAAATGTAAAAGACCGTGTCTGGTTACTACCAGCAAAGAGCAATCTGACAATTACAGTTTGATTAGTTATCATAATAGTAGTAGTAATAAAGGCATATGACCTGACTTTTGCCTCTGCTAACAATTACTTTTAGGGCCTTGGAAAAGTCATTTAACTTCTCTGAGACTCAATTTTCTAACCTATAACCTGAAGATAAGAACATCTGGCCAACTACAAGAATGCTGTGCATTTTAGATATGTTAGTACTTTCAGAACAATAAAATTTGTTGCTTTACTCCAGAGGCTCACAAGTTACACTCCAGTTATCCATGGTGGCATCATCTCTATCATCATCATCACCAGGGCAGGCATTGTAAGCAGTGGCTTAGTAAAATGTGTCTAAAGGGTTGCCTAAAATGTATCATAATGTGGGTAGTTTACAGCAGAAATTCATTCTCTCCATAAGAGAAGAATTAGTCACAACCTCTGGAGTCCAGAAGTGTGAAATCAAGGTGTCAGCTTCATCACTCTCTCTCCAAAGGCTCTAGGAGTGAATCCTTCCTTGACTCTTCCAGTTCCTGGTGATTCCTTGGTTTGTGGAAACATAACTCCAATTTCTGCCTTCATCTGCACTTAGCCTTCTTCTCTGTGTATCCAAATCTCCCTTTCCTTTCTCTTTTAAAGTCACCAGGCATTGGATTTAAGGCTTACTGTAGATTTCGGATGATTTCATCTTGAGAATCTTAACTGATAACATCTGCAAAGACCCTATTTACATATAAGGCCATATTCTGAGGCTCTGAGGGGATCCTGAATTTTGGAAAGACATTATTCAACCCACTATACATACAAAGTGCTAGCTCCAATAAAATGGCAAAGGCTATCTGGAAATCTGTTTTGAGAACAATTTTAAAGCTATAGTTAGGATGAGCTGGAAAGAGTGCCAGGATCATGAGCAAGGGCATGGAAAGTGGACCCATATTTGTTGTGTTCTTGTCATCACTAATCACTAATCCATGAAGGAACTTAAGATTGAGAAAAGATTTGTCAGTGTACAAGGCCACTGAGTGGCAAAGTCACAAGAGGATTAAAATCTCCTGACTCACAATTCAGTGCTCTTTACACCACACAGTTTAATAATCTTTTTTCTTACCAACACTTCTTTAGATATTATTAGTAAAAATATAAATCTGATACCTCTATAATCACTGGCACCTGAATACTTATGTTTATTTAATTGGTCAGATTGCAATAGTTAAGTACATTTGGCTGACTTACATTTTCAACTATGGTAGAGTTAAGTATTATCACACTAACCTTCCATCTGAAAACAAAATAAATTCTGGATATTATTAAATTTAAAGGAAAAAATATTTGAAATCCTTAAAAGCTTTGAAGAGTTAGTGTAGTTGATGTTGGTGTACACTAATATCAGAAAGGGTATACTTTAAGGAAAAAATAATACTAGGGAAAAAGAAAAACATTTGATAATGAATAAAAGTTGATACAAAGGGCCAAATGAATGGAAATAAATTTTTAAAATTTATATTTGTAAGTATCTAATAATATACTTTGACTATATAAAACCAAAAAATATACAGAAAAAGGGATACATAGGCAAATCCATATTTATAGTTAAAGGTTTTCAACGCCTGTTTCTCCTGGGTAGAATATGCAGACAGAATATAAGTAAGGAGACAACAGCAAGATGGCTGACTAGTGGTGCCTGGCATTTGTTCCTCCCACAAAAAAAGAACCAAAATAAAAAATAAACAACTAAAATTTGATTGGAGTGTCTGAAAGAGAGTGTTGATGTACAGCAAAAAATTGGCAAAATCCTTGTGGAGCACAAAAGTCCAGCATAGAGAGGGGAATGAGGCACCCACCTCTGCTACCCTGTCTTCTCCATCACGTTTGACTCAGAGCCAAGAAGGACTTTCCCATGTGGAGAAAAGATAGGCAGAAGTACCCTCGCCAGCCCACATTGTCACTGCAGACACCTGTAGTTCTTACTACAGGGGAATCCCAAAGTCCTCACAAGTCCTGAGCCCAGTTTGAGGAGATGCTTAGAATTCTTGTGGCTACATTACTCCAAAAGTAGGAGCCCACATTGTTTACTGATCATAACCCCATGATCTAAGCTGCTGCAGCATGGCATTATTTTGAAATCAAAGTCACTGCTGGAGTGTGACCTGTTCTGGGGAGCTGATAGCCACTGTGCCTTTCTAGACTTGGGACTCTGCTGTTGTTTCACCAAGCTCACATGAGTGGCTGCAACATGACCACCCTGGCTGCTCAAGGCTGAGGCTCAGAAATGGCCATGACTCTAATTTTGAGAGCAGGGAAGTCAACCCCAGGCTGTCCAAGCCAAACAGCTCAGCAAACCTGCCCCCAGATAGTCTTCCCTAGCACCACTGGCTGGAGAAACAGCCTGTCAGACATGTCCCTGAATTGCTGAGCCACTGTATGCTATGCGCCCAGCCAGAGAAACACAATTGTGGACCCACCCCAAGAAGATACAGCCCTGAGAAGCCCAAGCCACCAAACCCCTATGCCTTGGGCTAGAGAAACAGCTTGAAAGCTTCATCCCAAGAGAATCAGTCTCAGAGCCAGCTGACCCACCAAGTGTATGGCCATGTCCCCAGACTGAGAACCAGTTCACTAAGCTCACCTTCAGCAAAGCCACACCACTGCCCCCACAAACTCCCACAGCTGAGGCCACTGAGGCATTTACAACATCACTACTGTTAATTACAGCTGGAGAAACTATACAGAGACCATACTACTGTGTTTACCTAGAATCAAAGTCAGTACACTCTATTCTACTGAGACTCTGGGATCCATCTACAGGAAAAAGTCTTTTCTATGAAAGCTATTCCATAAAATTGGAAGAGGTGACTATTCTACTGAATGCACAGTTATCAATGTAGAGACATAAAAAACATGAAAAGTGAAGGAAACATGACACCTCCAAAGGATCATAATTCCTCAGTAATAAAGGCATAAAAAAGGAAATTACAAAATGCCAGAAAAGGAATTCAAAATAAAAATATTAAGGAAATTCAGTGAGATACAAGAGAATACAGATAGACAATTCAACAAAATTGGAAAAACAATTCATTATCAGAATGAGAAATTCAACAAAAAGTTAGATATCTCAAAAAAGATAACCAAACAAATCTTGGCAATGACAAATTCAATGAATAAAATAAAAAGTACCATCAAGAACATAAAAAAACCAGACTAGCTCAAGCAGAAGAAATAATTTCTAAGCTTGAATATACACCTTTTGAAATAACTTAGGCAGACAAAATAGAAAAATAATAAAGAATAAAAAAGATGAAGAAAGCCTGAAAACATATGGGAAACCATAACACAAATATTTGTGCTATGGGAGTTCAAGAAGGAGTAGAGATGGGAAAATGTGTAGAAAACTTATTTAGTGAAATAACAGCTAAAAATTTATCAAACCTACCGAGATACATAAACAACCACATAAACACAGCTCAAAAGTTCCCAAGTAGATTAAACCCAAAAAGGTCCTCCCTGAGGCATATTACGGTCAAACTGTCAAAAGTCAAAGACAAAGAGAGAATTCTAAAAACAACAAGAGAAAAGCATCAGGTCACATGTAAGGGAATCTCCATCAGACTAACAACCGATTTATTAGCAGAAACCTCACAGGCCAGGAGAGAATGGGATGACATATTTAAGGGCTGAAAGGAAAAAAAAAAAAAAACTGTCAGTCAAGAATACTATACCCTGGAAGGCTATTCTTCAGAAATGAAGTTCCCAAACAAGCAAAAACTGAAGAAATTAATCATCACCAGACCAGCCTTACAAAAAATGTTTAAGGAAGTCCTACATCTAGAAATAAAAGAAGAATAACTACCATTATAAAAATATGTGAAAGTATCTCACTGGTGGGACAGATAAACAAAAGAGAAAGGTAAAGGAATCAAACCTTATCACTACGAAAAACCACCAAACTGCAAAGATAAACAATAAATCCAAAACCTAAAAATATAACTACCATATGTTCCAGTAATTCCACTACTGGGTATGTATCCAAAGGAAAGAAAGTCAGTGTATTTAAGAAATGGTGGCTGGGTGTGGTGGCTCACACCTGTAATCCCAGCACTTTGGGAGGCTGAGGCGGGCAGATCACCTGAGGTCAGGAGTTCAAGACCAGCCTGGCCAACATGGTGAAACCCTGTATCTACTAAAAATACAAAAATTAGCCAGGCATTATGGTGGATGCCTGTAATCTCAGCTACCTGGGAGGCTGAGACAGGAGAATCGCTTGAACACAGGAGGCAGAAGTTGCAGTGAGCCGAGACTGTGCCATTGCACTCCAGCCTGGGGAACAAGAGTGAAACTCCATCTCAAAAAAGAAAAAAAAAAGATGTCTGTGCTCCCATTTCTGTTGTAGCAGTATTCACAAGAGCCAAAATATGGAATCAACCTAAGTGTCCATCAATAGATGAATGGATAGGGAAAATGTCATCTATATAAAGACATATAATACTATTTAGCCATTAAAAAGAATGAACTCTTTCTATTCATGGAAGCATGGATAAGCCAGGAGGACATTATGTTAAGTGAAATAGCCTGGCACAAAAAGAAGATCCACATCTTCTCACTCATATGAAAGCTAAAAGAGCTGATCTCATAGAAGTAGAGTCAAATCGTGGTTACTAGAGGCTGAGAAGAATAGTGGGAGAGGGGAGAGGAAAATATTGGTTAATAGATACAAAATTCCACCTAGATAAAAGAAACAAGTTTTAGTGTTCTACAAAAATGTATTGCATATTTGCAAATAGCTAGAAGAGAGGATTGTAAATGTTCTCAATATAAAGAAATGATAAATTTTTGAAGTGATGAATTTGCTAATTATAAATATATATCAAAATATCACACTAGGTCCCATAAATATGTACAATTATGTATCAATTATAAACAATAATAGATTTTAATTATTATTTAATTTAGTAATTAATTTTAACAATGAAATTATTAAATAATCAAATTTATTCTAGTATCCCAAAACAATAAATTCTTAGGAATAAATCTAAATAAAGATGTTTAAGACCTCTACAAAGAACTCTAGAAAACACTATTGAAAGAATTAAAGAAGATATAAACAAACGCTGGTATATACCATGATTATGGATTAGAAAACTCAGTATTTTGAAGGATTTTTTGAGGAAGTTGACAAGCTGATTTTAAAAATTATAGGGAAACGCAAAGAGGAAAGAACAGTGAAGACAGTCTTGAATAAGAAGATACAATTAGAAGATTTACACTATCAGATATCAAGACACTATAAAATTATAGGAAATAAGTAATGTGACATTAGCATAAAAAAAGAAATATAACACTGAGACAGAATATAGAGACAGACACACACGTACACATGTATGTAAATCACCTGATTTACAAAAAATGTCTATGATGGTCTTTTCAGTAAATAGTATTGGATTAATTGGTATCTGTATGGAAAAAAATCATGAAACTCAATCTCTCCCTCACACTATGCATAAAATTAACACTAGGTGGATCAAAGACCTATATTTGTAAGGAAAAACAACATAATATCATAGGAGATTATCTTATCGACCTCAGGATAAGCAGAGAATTCTTAAATAGCACTCAAAAAAATTTAACCATAAAAAAAGACTGATAAATTAGACTTCCTTAAAAATTAGACACTTCTACAACTTACTAAAAAAAAATTGATTTTTATAAACAGACAAAAGAATTGAACAAACATTTATCATTTATTCTCTCTCTCCTCTCTCTCTCTCTTTCAATCTCAATCTTGATCACAAGCATGCCCGCACATGATATGCAAATTAGGTCTAATGGCAGATAAAACAGGCATGTGAAACAGGACAGTGTAATTATTTTCTTCACAAAGAGAGCAGCTTTGTTCTTTTGAGTTAGAAATGAATAACATCTTATTTATAGGAAAGAAGGCAGCACTATAAGAGATGTTCCCTTCTGAAGTCTTGTGTATTTAAATCACTTCAAGGAAGTGGAACCCTCTTTTCAAAATGCACATACTACTCTCTATTGGCTCCCATTCCAAGCCTAAGTTCGTGTTAACTGAATGACATGGAGTAAGTGGAGACATAAGTCAGACACCACTGTGATCAGTGCTGGCTCTGCCATCTGCTTTCAGGGTGATAGTGGGCAAGTCACTTTACCTCTCTAAGCATTAGTTTTCTCATGTAAGATAACAGGTCAATAATATTAATATTTATCTCAAGGGTAGTTAAGGGAATTAAATGAGATAATAGATGTGAAAATACCTAGCACAGATTCTAGCCCATGAAGTTATATATGTACAGAATAGAGAAGAGAGACATTTTTCTGAATCTGGAGGTACTATCTGTATTAGTTATTTAAATAATTCATACCATTTAAAGTCATTGTTTATCTTTTTCTATGTATTGAGTGATGAATACATGCTCCCAAAAAGTTATCTTTTATTGTTGCAGGTATTTGTGTGTCTGTCTGCACATCAGATACAGGTTAATTCAAATGTGTATGGTGCCTGTAACAAAATGTTACTTAGAGAAATGATGAAAACAGCTTGGGGGGATGAGCAGTATCCGATAATTAATACAAGAACTCTAGTATTCCATAACAAATCAAGGAAAATCTTCTTTTTGAAGAATTATTCCAGTAAGAGTCCTCTGGGCGGACCAGAGTAATGCAAGCCATGGAACTGGCTTTGACTCACAAGGCAGAATATTGAGAAGAAAACTGAGAGTCAGTAACTAACTTTGGGTTTAAATTTTCTCACCTGAGCTAGACTCCCTGTGATGTACATCTTTGCAATATCTTTGCAAAACAATTTCTTTGCTTGTAATGCTCCATTTCATACTCCTGCTTAGAAAACTGTTACTCATCTTTTGAAATCACATATTCATTTAATCAAAAAAGTGTATAAAGACCCAATAACATATCTGATGCTGTGCTAGGAAACAAGGATATTGTGTTGAGCAAAATCAGACCATAACCTCATCCTTATGCACCAGCCTCTGCACTAGTGTCCCCTAAAGCTTGCCCTGGATTGCTCCCTCCCCCATGCTTAAAGCTCCGGGTGCACACGTGGCATTAGAGAACAATCTATGGGTTTACACAGCTGTTTCCTCAGCCTGGCAGGGGGAAGAGGAAGGACTCAATGTATTCATCTTTTTTTTTTTTTTTTTTTTGAGACGAAGTCCTGCTTTGTCACCCAGGCTGGAGTGCAGTGGCCTGATCTTGGTTCACTGCAATCTCCACCTCCCAGGTTCAAGAGATTCTCCTGCCTCAGCCTCCTGAGTAGCTAGGACTACAGGCACGTGCCACCACGCCTGGCTCATTTTTTGTATTTTTAGTAGAGACGGGGTTTCACCGTGTTGGCCAGGATGGTCTCTATCTGCTGACCTCCTGATCCGCCCACCTCAGCCTCCCAAAATGCTGGGACTACAGGCATGAGCCACCGCACCCGGCCTATTCATCTTTTCTTCCCTAGTGCACAGCTTGGAGTATGAGACATAGTGGGCTCTCGACAAATGTTTGTTAAATTAACATTCATAATTCATGAGGTCTTGATACAGTCCAATATGTTAAATGATCCTCCTAATGAATATTACAGAAATGAAAACAATTATGCTCAGGAAAATTACAACTTTTTGAGACATTCTTTGCTTTTTTCATATTTTATTAGCATTTTATTAACAGTCCTAGCAGCTGGTTTAAAAATGTCCAGTGGTTTTTAAAGAGCTGCATAGTATAAATATAGGTGAAATGGTGCCTGGTGAGACTTTCTCAGTTTAAAATTATGAGAATATTTGAAAAAAATGGAATAAGTTTCCATTCACTTGGAAATAGTGAATGTCATTGTATATAAATGTCATTGTATAATAGTGAATAGTCATTGTATATAAATGACTTAATATCCTGGGGGATTTGTTATGTTTCTATAATAATCAACAATATTCATCCAGAAAGGGAAAGTGGTAGAAGACATTCATAGAATTTGTCATCAAAGTTTGGTACATCCTACAAATAAGAATAATATTATTGATTTTAAAACACTTAGCATAGATTTTAATATGTCCTAATTTCATAAAAGTATGCTAAACTGTCCTTGAAAAAATGAAAAAAAGAGATTCTTATTACTCATGCCAAATAAAGGGAAGAAGCCATTCTTCAAGTAAGCATAAATATCATGTGAACTTTGAAGCAAAAGAGATGTAATTTCCACTCTACTTATTTAGAAATAGATGAAATGTTGAGCCTTTAGTCATCTTACTAAAAATTACATCGAAGAAACTGAAGAGTGAAAGCACAAAAGTACCTACTTGGTCTGGTGTTTAGATCCTTTCAGATGGGCATGATACTGTTCTATTGAGTTTAGGGAGACACTGCAGATGGTACATCTGTAATTGCGCCTCAGACCTGTGGACAACAGACAGACCTGGTTAGCTGCATCCAGTCGTCAACCACCTGAAATGAATCCTAGCATCTCCAGAAGTTCAGGGACACAGTGTCGGAGATAACTCCTGATCTACCCCACCAACACTTCAACCCTTCCTTGCAGAGCACAGCCAACAGGTCTCTTAGCAGAAGTGTAATTATGAATATGTTAGAAGCAGCTTATTTCATTTCTGGAAGGCTTAAATTATTAGAGCATCCTTCTTTGAATTGAGGTAAGGTGTTCCTGGGCATTTTATACTCAAACAGAGATGCATTCTATTTTTCTCTAGATCATATAGACATAATACACTGTCATCTCTGCAGTGAAATTTGAGACTCCAGAGAAAAACTCTATCCTAATTCCTTTCCACTCTACTCCAATGACAGCATTGAAAATTCAACTTTAGACATCACTCATTTAGGTGTTTCTTCTAGGATTATTTTATAAAATGTAAATACCAGGAGGAGAATAATACATCAATCTGGTTCATGTGAAGTCTTACGTTCCACCAGAATTTAGAAGGCAATCTATTCATTCACTTTTTCATTCATTTAATTAATTCACTAATACAGTATCAACTTTGGGCCAGGTACTAGGGATTCCAAGATGGATAAGATGCTCTTTGCTTTCAGAAGTTTAGTAAAAATCTTGACTGATCTAGAGCCAATTTATGTTAGAAAACAGCTTTAACCAAATAGCCTTAAACATTTGCCGCAGAGCTGAGACCCATAATGAAACATATTCCTTCAGCTAGTATGTCCCTTCAGAATAGAGAGAAAAGTAAAGTTGGTCATGATCTGAAACTTTGGATTTTAATTCTGACTCCGGTCATTTCTAGTTTTGTGATCTGGAGGAAGTCATGAAATTTCTAGCCTCAGTTTCTCCATCTACAAGACGAAGACAAGGCTGATCACATCACCAGGTGTTGTAAGAACTAGGTGAATAAGATATTACAATGGCCCGTAATCCCAATGATTTGGGAGGCCGAGGCAGGAGGATAGCTTAAAGCCAGGAGTTCAAGACCAACCTGAGCCACATGGCAATATCTGGTCTCAAAAAAAATATTTTTAAAAGTCAGGCATGGTGGCACACACCTGTAGTCCTAGCTACTCAGGAGGCTGAGAGCCCAGTTCAAGATCACAGTGAGGTATGACAGTGCTACTGCCTGCCTGGATGACAGCCTGGATGACAGAGTGAGGCCTTGTCTCAAAAAAAAAAAGTGACATATATATACAACAATGTTTAGCAAATGAGTACAAAATTCTGTTCTAGCATTGTAAATGCCAGGACTGAAAGCTGTAGCATTTGTTTTTATCAATGCATAGTATTTAATTTTAACAGGCAAAGTTATTCCTCTTTTCCTGAAAAGAAAATAATGCACTATGCTGGGATAGCTTTGCAACTTGCTACCTGGGTAACTTTATGCAAATTATTTGACCCTTCTGGACTTCTGTTTTCTTACAGTATTGTGGGGAGGGCTGAGTGAGATCTGGCATGTATGTGAGAGTGCCCAGCACATAACAAGTGATCAATACGGGCTTGCTATTTTTACTATTTTGAAGAGATGTTAACATGGAAACACTTTCTGTTTGAGTGTCCAGTTGAAGCCCTACTGGGAAGTCCTAGACACAGATGATAACTATACCCACATTACCAAAATGAGGTAAGAGAGCATCAGTGCAGAACGTCCAGGGGAAGTGGTCACGAACCCGTGCTGACCACTCACCACCAGTACGAAGAAGAGACTGAAGAAGAAAGAAAGAAATGGGTAGAGACTTTCTTAAGAGAGAGCTATATTGTACCGTGAGTTCCATGTGGGACCGTGGAGTTCTCCCTCACCTTAAGCCTGTGGAGAAGGGATTGCACAGAACTACCTAGAGGGCTTGAGGAGTACCTTCTTGTTGCTTGGGAAGTGGTAGATTGGACTCTGTCATCACCTGCAAGATCCAAATGGCTAGAGACTGTGGTTTGTTATCTTCCCTGGTGGCAAAGTATAAAAGGTGACAGAATTGGGCATGGCCTGTGTTCTCAGAGCTTGTCAGAAGAAAGGATATGTGAAAGCTTCTCACAGACTGTGTGTACCCTGTATGAAAGAAGCTGATTTGATGACTTCTTAGATACTACCCAAAAGGGCTGCCTGAAGTTGAGGGCAATGATACTTCAGCAAAAAGATGCTGAAAGTGTTCACCTGGCTAATCTAGGTGCTTAAAGTGATACCAGAGGAGCTACTTAGCCCGTATTAAGTAATGACAAGTCTGTGAAAAAGTCATGAAATTGTAAACCAAAAAGTATCTGAGACAGGTCTCAATCAATTTCAATTTAGATAGTTTATTTTGCCAAATTTAAGCACGCATCTCTGACACAGCCTCAGGAGGTCCTGAGGACATGTGCCCAAAGTGGTCAGGGTACAGCTTGCTCCTATGCATTTTAGGGAGCCACGAGGCATCAATCAATATGTGTAAGATGTACCTTGTTTGGTTTGGTAAGGTGGGACAACTTGAGGCGGGGACTTCCAGGTCATGAGTAGACAAGAGACAAAAGGCTGCATTCTTTTGAGTCCTTGATCGGCCTCCCACTAAATACAGAATTTAGTCTGGCTCAGCAAATGTGCATTTTTACATCAACAGTAGGGTAGAGGAAACAATCATATATGCATTTGTCTCAGGTGAGCCTCAGATGGATGACTTTGAATTCTGTCTGCCCTTTGTCCACGAGGAATTTCCTTGAAGGCAAATTGTGAGGGAGGTGTGTAGCTTTTGAAATTTGTAGCTATCATATTTAGGAAGAAAATGGGAGGCAGGTTTCCCAGCTTGACATTTCGCTTGGCTTAGTGATTTTGGGGTCCTGAGTTTATTTTCCTTTCACAAAAGCATCCTGAGGAGAATCAATTCGCACTTCCTGCCCAGTCAAGCAGTATCCATGCTAGCTTTGCACAGGACCTACCAAGTAAACTTCCATTTCCCTTGCTAGTCTTCCACCTGTGTCCCTCAGCCCTGGAGGAGCCAGAGCAATGTACTGAGGGCAAAGAAGAAAAGCAAAAGCTCCAGGCAGAACAAAGAGAGAAGCCTCCCACACCCTCTTTTCCCGTGTTAAGTGGACAGCGCCAAGCAGGACTGAGCTGGAGGAGGGGACAATTAACTTTTAATAAATTTTGGAAATATTTAAAAATTACTGCTCTATCATGGATGTATTAATTAAGGAATACAGAATTTATGTATTTACAAGTAGCAAAGGACTCTACTACTTAAAAATAAGTGAAAATTCGTGAAACTTGCCCTAGTTTCTATCTAAAAGTTTGGAAAAAATAACCCCACAAAGACAATTTGAATGAACTAATGGAGGAAAGAAATAAAGTTTTTTATTTTTTTTTGACATGGAGTCTCGCCCTGTCACCCAGGCTGGAGTGCGAGTGACATGATGTCAGCTCACTGCAACCTCCGCCTCCCGAGTTCAAGCAATTCTCCTGCCTCAGCCTCCCAAGTAGCTGGGATTACAGGCAAGTGTCACCATGCCCGGCTAATTTTTATATTTTTAGTAGAGACGGAGTTTCACCATGTTGGCCAGGCTGGTCTCAAACGCCAGATCTCAAGTGATCCACCCACCTTGGCCTCCCAAAGTGCTGGGATTACAGGCGTGAGCCACTGCACCAGGCCTAAAGTTACTTTCCGATTGCATCAAATCCAATGAGTCCTGCTCCCTGAATGTCAGTGTCCTTAGAACTGCCCACATCTACAATCTGAACAAAGAGTAGAGTTTCCTGGAGGCGTTCACATTATTATGGCCCAGTGAGCATTTCAGAGAGACCTCTTTGAAATGTATATAGTAAGCTAGGTGGGTTGGCATGAGAGCTAGCTTTGTTTTTGTTTTTGTTTCAATCACATAATCAGGTACTGACTCACCTGATTGTTCAATTAAGAGTCCATTTAATTATGAGAAAAGAACAATGAAACCACAAATATCTGGGATGTTCTTAGGAAGCAGCCTAAGAGACTGACAACTTTTCAGGTACAAACTGCCAGTTCAGAGATAAAACAGACAAATCTTGAAACCTATTTTCTCAAGCAGTGACTCCCAAACGTCAGAGTGTGGATGCATCCTCCAGTGATCATGATAAAATCTAGATTCCCAGGCAAAACTTCGGGAGATTCTGATACTCTAAGCTTTGGTTTGGGGCTTGGAAATGTACAAGAAGTTTCAGATCATAACCCCCAATCTCACCATACACCTGCACTTTACAAAGAATACTCCCATAAAAATCATACTCCTTTTGGGAACTTAAATTTGTCAGAACAATACTGGACCTTTAAAAAAAAAGCTATTCCATAAAAAAGTGCTATAGTTATACTGACTTTCCATTTCACAGGGATTCATGATTCAGTAAGATTATTACGGTCCCCAAACCCAGAGGCTATAACTTATCACTACCAGTGTGTGAGTTTTTAAATGCTTATCCAGGTCTGACCCATTCTCCTCTTCTAAGCATGGAATCAGAATACTAAAACCAGCTTCAGGGTTTATTTCTTCCAGAGTTCTCCATTAATCTTGTCATAATAAATATTAACTACTATTTATATGGGTCTTCTTCAGGCTACAGGCTAATCAAAGTTCTCATAACAAATAGAGGTTCAGCTTGCAATAGGCATAAATATTTATGTTTAAAAATGGGCATTTTTAAGAACTCCAACAAATCTAAAACATATTCTGATCTGTTGCTTTCCATAACAGTTCTCACGCTCTGCAGCCAGAGGCGTGGGCAGGAAATATTTGGCACTTTATTGCGATGCAAACTACAGGGATTATAAATTGGAAAGGCAGTGCATATAAACAAGAACAAAGACAGAGAAGGGGCAGAGGAGTCCTCCCCCACGCATGACACAGTGTCCTTGGTGGGAACTGTGCTTTATTAATGCACAGTTGAAATCCTAATTACTTTGGTATTATATGAGTCTTCTTTTCCTTAGAGAACCAGAACATCTTATTAAACCAAAAAATGCTAACTTCCTTGTTCAATTCATTTTCAGCGCAACACCATATTAAGAGTATCCTAAAATTTCTGCCGACCTAAAGGCTATTTCTGCAGGATTGCCTAATATGTGTTAGAAAAACATAGTTCCTACCTGCAAGGACCTGTCAGACAATCCAGTTGGAGACAGAAAACAGATATAGAAGTAGCAACAATTCAAGGTAGACCATTAAAAGTATTACAATGAGGATGAAGTGAAATGTTACAGGAGCTAGAGGAGAGGAGATTGTTTCTAACTCAGAGGATCTGGAAAAGCTCCTTGAAGATGCATCACTTTTGTATTTATATTTCCTAGCACAGTGTTTGTTAAACATATGGTCCTGGAGACTTCAGCAGCACATGACTACTCAATATGTCTTTTCAAGTCTAGCAAAGCTAGAAGTCCCTATGACTTCAATTGTATCCATTCTACATTAGAGACATATCATTGAGCCTTTATTACTGTGTGAGATATTTTGCTGAATGCTATGAATATGGGAGAGAATAAGACAGAGTACATTTTCTTATAGAGCTAATCAGGGAAAAAGACAAGAAACAAGTAAACAAATTAAAAAATATAATTAAAGGTTGTGAAAGTGTTGCACAGTATATAAGCAGGATCATGAGGAAGAAAGTAAGTGGGAAGAAGAGTGATTTGGGATAGTATGGTCAACAGAGTTCTCGGAGAAGTGTGAAATGGAACCAGACAATGCTGATTAGCCTGAGACGTGAAGAGGAGGGTAAAGAGCTATCCAGGGGTAGCAAGCAGCAAGCATAGAGGCCCAGAGTGGAAATGGGCCTGAACTGCTCAAGGAACAAAAAGTGATAAAAGAAAAAAAAAAAAGGAAAAACAAACAGAAAACACCTGTTCACTCAGAATTCTATTTCTAGCAAAAATTTCTGTCAAAATTGAAGGTAGGCTAAGAATATTCTCAAGGAACAAAAATAAAATGAATAGTTTGTCAGCAAACCAGTACTACAGAAATGCTATATAGAGGTCTTCTGGTGGAGGGGAAATGCAACCAGACTCAGACTATGGGGAAAAAAAAGAAAAATCTCAGAAATTATTAATATGTGGGTATCTATCTTTTAAAATTCCTCTTGATTTATTTGAAAGAAGCAAACAATTTAAGCAAAAATTAAAACACTGTATTGTGTATTATGCTGTTTATAATGTACAGGCATGTAAAATCTATGACAATAGCAGCACAAGAATGGCTCGGAGTAGAACAATATTGTTGAAAGACTATTATATTTTATATGAAATGGAGCAGTGATAATTTAAGGTTGTACACTGTAATCTCTTAGAGCAACAAATAAGCAAATACAAAGAAAGAAAGCTAAAAAATATAGAGAAAATAAAATGGAATAATAAAAAGTATTAGATTAAGCCAAAATAAGGCAGAAAAGAAGGAATAGCAAAACAGAAAATGGAAGAAACAAATAGAAAACAGATAGCAAAATTATGGAGCTAAAGTCAACCATATTAATATTTACATTACATATAAATGAATTAAATAGTCAAAAGGCCAAAACTATCAGACTAGACAAAAAGGAAGATCAAATATACACTGAATTCAAAGGATGCACTTCAAACACTTATAGGTTGAAAGTAAAAGGATAGAAAAAGACATCCTATGAAAATAAGTTCAAGAAAGTAGAAGTGTCTGTATTAATATTAGACAAAATAGATGTCATGACAAGATGTTTTTACCAGAGATTAAGAAAATATTTTATAATGATAAAAGAAGAAATTCATCAGGAGAACCTAATAGTTCTAAATACAATTTAGCCAATAACAAAGCTTAAGAGTGCCTTCCAATGCACATCAATAATAACATTGACTATATATTTAAATGTAAAAACCAAAACTATAAAAACATAAAAACAAGAAATATCTTCTAGAAAAATATAAAATAATATCTTCATGAAATTAGAACAGGCACAGATTTCTTAGGAAACAAAAAGTATTGACTCTTACAAAGTGACAAATTAGATTTTATAAAAAGCAAAAGCTTCTGTCTGTAAAAGAGACCATTAGGAAAACAAAAAGATAAGACAGTGCTGGGGGAAAAATATTTGTAACACATGTATCTGATACAGAACTTGTATCCAGAATATATAATTAACTCCTACAACTCAATAATAAAAATACAATCTAATTTTTTTAAAGGGCAAAATAATTTATTACATGTATCATAAAAGAAGACATAAAAATGACCAATAAGCACATGAAAAGTTTCTCAACATCATGTGTCATCAGGGAAATACAAATTAAAAGAACAATTAAATACTATTGCATACCCACCATGAATGCTAACATCAAATTAAAACAATACCAGATGTAAATGACCATATGGAACAACTAGAATTTGACACATTCTTGAGGGGATTGCAAAATGGAACAAATAATTTGGAAAATGGATTGATAGTACTTAATAAAGTTAAACATATATCTACCTTATGACAAGAAATGTCTAGCAGTAGAAATTCTACTCCTAGATATTTACCTAAAAGGAGCAAATACTTAGTGTTAAAAAAAGATTTTTACAAGAATGTTTCTAGCAACTTTATTCACAATAGCCAAAACCTCAAAACAACCCCAATGCCCATCAACACAAGAATTGATCGTAACACTCAAAGAAATATTTACATATGTTCTGCATTATAATGTTCACTAAAGCTGGAACTATTTTGAAAGATGATTAATAATACAAAGGTAGAAACAATAAGGTCTTTGTTTTTGTGTAATTTCTTTCTCTTCCACTTCTGATACATCCATTAATCAAACTGTCTTGTACATGGATTTGTTATCTTTGAGCAGAAGGAAAATAGCTAATACTGATATATGCCATATATAAGCACTGATGTGCTTACTTTACCCCATTTTCCCATTTACTCATTTACTCTTTGCAACACTCTGGGGTAGATACTATTGTTATACCGATTTAACAGAGAGGAAACTGAGGTATGCAGACTTACTCAAAACCATCTAGCTAGTGGGAGACAGAGTTGGGTTTTGAACCCACACATTCTGGCTGTAGAGTCTATACTCCTCCCACTGTGAATATTGCCTCCTATGACATGGACTAGAAGTAGAATCAAGGAAGTATGAAAAGCTCTTTCAATATCATCTGGTCTGGTATTCTCATATCTGCCCACCTGACAAGTGAGAATCATGTAGGAGTTGTTAAAAACACAAATTCTAGCCTTATCCTAGATGATTATGATTCAGTAAATCTACATTGGGACCTAGAAATCTATATATTTTTAAAGCTTAAAGGTTTGAAGAAACCATTGGTCCCTCCAGACTCCATAGGGTTTGTAGGAATTTGTTAAATCGTTGACAAGCAGAATTGATCTTTGTAACTGCGCTAATACCATTGGTGACATGAAACATCTTACACTTAGAGACCTTCCTTCCTTCTTCCTTCTTCCTTCTTCCTTTCCTTTCTTTCTTTCTTTCTTTCTTTCTTTCTTTTTCTTTCTTTCTTTCCTTTCTTTCTTTTCTTTTTCTTTGTCTTTCCTTTCTTTTTTATTTCCTTCCCTTCCTTTCTTCTTTCTTTCCTTTCTTCCTCTCTCTCCCGTCCTCTTCCCCTTCCCCTTCCCTTCCCTTCTCTTCCCTTCTTCCTCCCTCCCTCCCTCCCTCACTCCCTTCCTTCCTTCCTTCTTCCCTCCTTCCCTCCCTCCCTTCCTTCCTTCCTTCCTTCCTTCCTTCCTTCCTTCCTTCCTTCCTTCCTTCCCTCCCTTCCTTTTTAGATGAGGACTTGCTCTGCACCCAGGATAGAATACAGTGGCATGATTGTAGTTCACTGCAGCCTCGAACTCCAGGGCTCAAGCATGACTCCTCCCTCAGCCTCCTTAGTATTCTGCTGGGACCACAGGCATGCACTACCATGCCTTGCTAATTTTTTTTTATTTTTTATTTTTGTTGAAACAGAGTCTTTCTATGTTGTCCAGGCAGTTCTCAAACTCCTGGGCTCAAGCAATCCTTCCACCTTAGCCTCCCAAAGTGCTGGGATTACAGATGTGAGCCACCATATCTGGCCTAAATACTTTCTTAAATACAGCTGAATTCTATCCACTGGCCTAAATTCTGCTTGTGTGGGTCCCTAGCATAAGTGTATTCTCATCTCTTTAAATACATCAAATACTTGAGAGTTATCATCTCCCCTAAGGTTTTGTTTACCAGGCTGAAAATCAAACGGCTCTTTTACAGTGTTCTCATTGGAATATGCATTCAAGCTTCCTGCATCACCTCCAGGCCATTTTAGACAGCACGTCCTCTTTGTTGATAATTTTCTTAAACTACAACTGTCAAACTGAGGGCCAAGTCCCTACTATGGTCTCATCAGTGCAAAGTAGAGAAGGACAGTCACAGATCTTGTGCACTATTACTTCTATCAATACTTTTAAAGCTTTCAGTATAAGTGTGTGTGTGTGTGTGTGTGAGTCTTGAGACACGAATCAACAGTCATATTGAACCTGCTATCAATCAATTCCCTTAAGACTTTTCTACACACATTTCTGCTAAGCCACATCTTTATTTTCTCTTTCTGTTTGATTACTTAGATATTAACGTTTGTCCCCATTAGGTTCCATCTCAATGAGTTCTACCTATTCCTCTAGGGATAGCAAATATAATTCAGCTCATGTGTCAATTATGATTGGTTGGTTGTAACTGTCTAGAGTGCTCTGAAAACACTATGAGGCTTCACCCCAGCTGATAGGGAGAGGTTTCTATCATCTATTAGCCTCATCTGTTTGTGGTGAGGAGTGGGGTGCTAGTGGCTGACTCTTCATGTCTGTGTCTTTCAAGCTCCAGCCTATCAACATATATTGTAGAAAATTCAGGGCAAGGAAGGTGCTGGTGGACCAGGGAGTCATTAACACTTAGGTGGCGTCTAAAACCGCAGGGATGGTCAGATCATGTATGAAGGTGGTGTAGGTAAAGAGAAGGAAGTTCCAGAGTGTGAAAGAGCAGTTAGTACAGTGACACTTGGTGTGGAATCATTGCTAATCTGCTGTCTCACCTTCATGCATGGGGCAAGGCCAAGCCCATAGGTACCTCCAGCTCCCACTGCATCTCCACCCTCAAGGTTGCTGAATCCTGGGCCAGATGTGTGTGCAGGAACCAGGTGCAAGGACCCAATCTATCCTGCAGGTCGGTCACCCATGTGACTGAGGCTGGGGACACTAAGACAGAGTCACAGCCTCCAGTTTGTCCTCCTGGGCTCCAGTTTCCCCCTCCCCACCCCAGTACCATTTCTCTTTGCTCCTTCCTGCCTCACCTCCCTTATTCTTCTAGCAGGCCCATCAAAAGATGCAGAAAAAACAGCCTTACAAAGACTGCCTCACCAGCTCCCATAATTGCATGAGGTCTAATCCTTATCATAAAGGTCTTATTCTGTATCATTCGTAGTGGTTTATTCTTCTCATCAAACCCTGGTATGGAATTTGGTGGTATCAAGGAAGCCAAGAGAAGAAAGCTTTCCTAAGAGGATGAAAGGGTTGTTATTATCACAGTTAATCCTCAAAACCACCTTACGAATACTATGAGCTCTTTTTACAGATGAGAAAACCATGGTTCAAAGACATTAAAGTCAGAACTAGTAAGCAGAAAAGCCAGATCTGAAAATATTTATTTCCTATTTCAAAATTAATTACCTTAATTACTGCACTAGGTCTTTTATGGAAAAAAAAAAATAGAGGGAGGGAAAATAGAAGAACCCTGTTTCTTTTGTTTGTTTGTTTTAAAACACCTAATTTTGAAACTGTTATGTGAAATAGATGAAGCATGGCTGCTCTAGTTGAAATGGGGGGTAGGGGTGTGGAACATCAGTTAGTTTCCCATCAAATTTTAAGCACAGCTCTTAGGGTGTCCCAAGTAAGGAACCTCAGGGACAAACCCATTGGGAAATCACAACAGTTTGCCATGCCATTCCCATAAGGATAATATTAGGAATGGGGGCGCATCCAATCTTACACTTGCACAGTGAAAACAGCTCTTCCCTCTGAGTTCAATCTAAGAAAACTCACCAATATCAGGGTTTGACACAGCCCTAGTTAAAGAGCCTGTATTACTCTATTACTCCATACTACCGTCATTCCAAAGTACAGGATGTTTAAATGTTTAGCCTTCTGAATTCATCTCACTGCCTGCAGGCATGGACTGCAGGGTACCAAACAGTCGATTAAACAAAGAACACACAATTTCTAAAACAATTATTTCTCTATTTAAATAGTATATATGCAAAGCTTTGAAAATTTAATTGGGAAGCAAATGGCTTTGCATCTTCAAAAGTTGTTTCCAAACAAACGAAATCTAAAGCTAGGGAATAAATTTATTCTCAGTCATTAAAAGACAATTTTAGCCATATTGGATGCCTGACCCAAGAAAGGGCTGGAAAATTGTCACCCTACAGTGAAGATTCAGATGGGACACAGTAGATCATTCTAAATATTTAAAGAGCTTGTTTATTGGAAGATGGTTTAGATGTATTCTATACAGCAGAGGGAAGATGATAGATTTTAACATTTGAGCAAATCATCTTCAGACAACCTTGATTTTGGTCTTGGACGTGGTCACTATGGCAAACTGCAAGAAACCTAAGGAATTAAGCTGTTTTTTTGTTTTGTTTTTTGTGCTCTGAATTGAACGTTAAGAAAACATAAATAAATAGATCTACTCTGAAGCAATCTATTCCTTTGAAGTGTACTCAAAGTGACTTTTAACCACATATTAAATAACAATACATGGGAGAAATATCTTTTTGTTGGTCTGGGTTTTGATGTGATGCAAATGAAAATTCATAGATACGAAATGTGTTTTTTCTTTCCTTCCCATGCCGGTGCCATAGATCTCGTCGGATATAGGGAAGCACTAACACAGCAGGGCAATTTTTTATGTAAAGTGTTTTCATAAAATTCATTTTTTCTAGAACACAATTGTTAATTCAGCTTCCTTTATGCCTGAAGTGGATTGGGCTTCTAACATGGATTTGTGGATTATGGTATCAAGATACACAGTGGGTTGGATTAAAGCTCAAACAGTTGCTTGTTACTATCTGGGGTGGTAGAAAGCGGTATGTATGCAGGGCACAATGAACAAGTCTAGAGGCACGCTTCTTCCCTTCCCTCTGCTTTGCAGTGGCATCTCTTCCAGGCTATTTCTCATTTCTTCCCAAATGTTGGGGATTGTTGGCCTCTATGATTTCCCTGAGTAAGCATCAATAGTGATAGGTGACAACTGTCGAAGGATTGTGATACTTGCCTTTTAGCTACATCAGCTGAAAGTCCTAATGTGTCTTCACCAACCTCCACTTTAGAGCTTTACCTGCCACCTGGCCAATGAAAGGGCCCAGGGAAGTGGATGCAGCATTGGTGGTGATTTTCCAGACTCAACTAGGACTCGACGTTGAGTCGTTAAAAGAAGATGCTAATTGTCAATATCTCCTGTTAACATGTTTTATTAAAACCAGATTACACTCTTTCTCTCTTACCCTCTCTGCCATTCACATACAAGCCAGCTGTTGGGTACCTGCGTCTAATCTTCGGTGTCCTTCTAGCTCTTAGATCTTCATTCTCCCCTGCTTGGAGACACATCGCTTACAGCAGGTCTTTATCTTTTTTCAGCAGCCAGACTGCCAAATGTTGGGTTAAGTCCTGGTTGTCTGCTGCATCTCTGCAGTATTGGCCTTTTAAATTAGAAAGTCTTCAACACCAGAAGAAAACACCTTTAAAGATGAAATTTCAGGTGTGGCCAGTTAGGTTGGAGAGAGTTTCATAGACAGTGGCCCCCGAGGCACCAAAGCCAGATGGCTGCTTGCTTCTCCTTTCCCCTCCGCCAGCCTGACACTGACACCCTGACACCTGACAGCCCCACTGCCACTTTCATGGAAGATTTTCGTGGGACACATGACGGGGCCTCCCAGTTTAATACAGTTATCTCAGTGGCCTTATCTATTTATAGAAACATACCTGACCTCATTTGATTTACAAGGTAACAGAGAATAACAGAACTCACAAATTATAGATAAGAGAAAGTGTTGATATGTAGAAAACAAAAACATTCTATAAAGCCTAGAAATGACTCTAACTCAAAAATTTCCAAATATATTGAGGCCTGAAGAGACAGAAGAAATGAAGGAATAACATACCTACAGATCATTTTCATTGAGAGGAGCTCCCTAATTTCTCCTTTTTCATTCTATATGTGTTTGTAACCCTTATGTGTCTCTGTTTCCTAAAATGGAGATAATAATTGTACCTACTCAAAGAGTTAATATGAAAATTAAATGAGTTAATATAGGCAAACAACTTTGAAAAAGCCCAAACAGCTCAATCAGTGTAAACTATGATTATTTTTAATCAAGATGGTTCTTTGCTTTGGACAAAAATAAAGACCTAACTCGTGAGTGGGACATTTTGTAACAATTTAATATTCTGGAAGGAACACTCATTTTTGGCATCCTCAGGCATGTTCAAATTATTCTGGCAGGCTGCCTTCTCTACAGATGCTATTTATACCCATCTTTTTTGACAGGTCAAATGCTTCCTTATATACTAATCATCCTATATTTTCTTGGCATATATTTGAATGGAAAATTATCTCGAGTCTTCGTTCTTAAACATTTTTTGAAAACATGGAAGATACAACATTACACGAACATCTTCTAAGAAAGCTGTTGACACAGTGGATCTCAATATATTTTCCCTGCTTTGTTCTTAAATTGAGTGATTGAGGTTATTAAATGGGTAATTAGTTAAGTTCATAAACCAGATAAAAAGAAAAAGCAAAAGGATATATTGAAAATCGTGTAATTGCACGTTTTTTATTTTTAAGGAGAGCACTCCAGGATCCATCTGAAGCCTTGCTTTTCCTTTCTATCAACAACCTCTGCGAACAATGCCATTTGTGCTCTAGGGTTGTTTTGAACTCTGAGGAGGCAGTGGCTTTGGGGAGAGTAGCAATACCTTTCCAACTGTTCAGACTGATCTCCCAGTAGACTCTGATGCACCCAAATAGAAAAAGTATACACACATACATACACGTGTATAAATGTATACAAACACACACACATATATATATGTGTGTATATATGTATACACACCACACAGTGATATGTTGCTTTATGATAGGGATATGTTCTGAGAAATGCATGATAAGGGAATTTTGTTGTGTGAACATCAGAGTGTACTTACATAAACCTACATGGTATAGCTTACCTACACACTTAGGCTATAAGGTATGGCCTATTGCTCTTAGGCTACAAAAATATACAGATGCTACTGTAGTGAATTCTGTAGGCCATTATTATGCAATGGTAAGTATTTGTGTATCTAAACATACCTAAGCACAGAAAAGGTACAGTAAAAATATAGCATAAAAATAAGAATGGTACACTTGTATAGGGCACTTCTCATGAATGGAGCTTACAAGACTGGAAGTTGCTTAGGGTGAGTCAGTGACTGAGTGGTAAGTATTTATGTAAAAAGTACTATAAAACCGCAATGTAAGGCTGGGCACGGTGGCTCACTCCTGTAATCCCAGCACTTTGGGAGGCCGAGGCAGGCAGATCACCTAAGGTCAGGAGTTCAAGACCAGCCTGGTCAACATGGTGAAACCCCATCTCTACTAAAAATACAAAAATTAGCCAGGCATGGTGGTGGGCGCCTGTAATCCCAGCTACTAAGGAGGTTGAGGCAGGAGAATCACTTGAACCCAGGAGAGGGAGGTTGCAGTGTTGCAGTGAGCCAAGATCGTGCCATTGCAGTCCAGTCTGGGTGACAAGACCAAAACTCTGTCTCAAAAAAACAAAACAAAACAAAAAAAACCCCACAATATAAGATAAGAAATAGTACATTGTATGGGGCACCTACTGTAATTGAAGCTTGCAGGTCTAGAAGTTGCTCTGGGTGAGTCAGTAAGTGAGTGATGAGTGAATGGGAAGGCCTAGAACATAACTGTACACTACTGCAGACTTTATAAACACTGTACGCTTAGGCTACGCTAAATTTATAAAAACTATTTTTGCTTCAATAATAAATCAACTTCAGCTTACTTTAATTTTCTTCATAAACTTTATTTTTTGACTCTTTTGTAATAACAGCTTAAAACACAAATGCATTGCACAGCTGTACAAAAACATTTTATTTCCTTATATTCTTATTCTATAAGATTTTCTATTTTTGAAATTTTTGATTTTTAAAAAATTTATAAACTTTTTTTGTGAAAAATGAGGACATAAACACGCACATCAGCCTCGGCCTACATGAGGTCAGGATCATCAGGACATCACTAGGTGACAGGAATTTTTCAGCTCCATTATAATTTTGTGAGAACACCATCATATATGTGATTCATTGTTGACAAAACCTTGTTATGTGGTGCATGACTGTATATGTCTATATTCATTCAGTTCTCACTATTATCTACAGATTCATATTTGTGAATTTGTCTACTTGCTAAAATGTATTTGTAACCCCCAAATCAATAGAGTTGCCCATGTGCAAGTAGCCAGTTGAGGCTGAATGAGACAACCTCCGTCTCCCTGTTCCAACTCTCCCACAGAGAGGACGAAGGCCATAGGCACAGCATAGGGCAGTGCATAAAGTTCTAGCTCTGGGGCCAGTTGACTGGGATTTGAATCTCAACTCCGGCTCCTGCTAATAAGGTGGCTCCAGGCAACTCACTTATGGCTTCTGAGCCTCATTTTCTCTTTTGTAAATAAAGAAAATCCAGAATGAGTTGTTTTTAGGATTTAAGATTATAATCTATGTGAGATATGGGGATGGATGGATGGATGGATAAATAGATGTACATATTTCTTGTAGGAGCAATGTTTTCAGTATTGGCTTATTCAGTGTCTCAGGGCAAGATGACTATAGAAGATAACTACTATGAATAAGGAGAATTTAGTGCATGTATACACTCAATACGAAAGGTCAAGACAATGTGAGGACTTGCAGGCCACTTGATGACTTTGGCTTTTGATCAGAGTCATTGGACTGGAATATTATGAATAGGATTACTCTAACTCTTGTGTTGACAATTGTCTAGTGGAGGTGAGAAGAGCAGAAGGAGAGAGACTGGTGTGCAGGCCACTTGCAATAACTCAGATTGGAAAATTGGGCCTGGGCTTGCTGCTTCCCCTGTCTGATCCTGGATCTGTGTGGGGGTCGCCCTCAGCTCCTTCCGGGATTCCTTGAATGTCACCTTTGTGAAGCCTTTCTTGAGTGCTCCAGCTAAACTGCAAACCTCAACCCCAGGCCCTGTTTTATCTTATCCTTCTCCACAGCATTTAGCAATAGGTAATATATTACATATTTTACTTTTTAATTTTTTTCTGAAATGCTGCATTGAACCTAACATTCAAAAGGCAGATTTTTCTTTTGTCTTTTGGTAACTCATATCTCTGAGTTCAGAGGAGTGCTTGATACATATAGGTGCTCAAAAAATGTTTTCATGGATGAATAGATGAACAAATGAAATTATATAAACATTAAAAGGTAATGTGGATAAACTGAACTCTGAAGGAATGCTTAATCTTTAGAGAAGTATCCAAATGATTCTTTTTCTTTAACCTGGATGGAAAAATTTATCAAGCTATTATTTGAATTTCATGACAATTTAAAACCAATGCTTATGGATGAGAGAGGAACATTTAAGAGTAACTATAATGTGTCTCTTCATCCCATCAAGACAGTAATATGCCTTTTCCAAAAGGGGATGTTTGAAGGGGCAAAGACTATGTGCATTTTTAAAGCTCCCTGAATTTTTTTTATAGGATTATACCACAATTCAGAAAAAAGAGCACACTTAATTTAATGTTTCTTTTTCATACGTCAATATGTGAGTGATATGCTTTCTTTGAACATGAAAGTAATGCACAATGTGTATATATATATTTTGTTTGTTTGTTTGCTTTTTACTTTAAGTTCCAGGATACATGTGCAGAATGTGCAGGTTTGTTACATAGGTATGCATATGCCATGGTGGTTTACTGCACCTATCAATCCACCATCTAGGTTTAAGCCCCACATGCATTAGATATTTGTCCTAATGCTCTCGCTTCCCTCACCCCCACCCCCTGACAGGCCCCAGTGTGTGTTGTTCCCCACCCTGTGTCCCTGTATTCTCATTGTTCAACTGTCACTTATGAGTGAGAACATGTGGTGTTTGGTCTTCTGTTCCTGTGTTAGTTTGCTGAGAATGATGGTTTCCAGTTTCATCCATTTCCCTGCAAAGGACATGATCTCATTCTTTTTATATAGCTGCATAGTATTCCATGGTGTATGTGTGCCATATTTTCTTTATCCAATCTATCATTGATGGGTATTTGGGTTGGTTCCAAGTCTTTGCTCTTGTGAATAGTGCTGCAATAAACATACGTTGCACAATGTATATTTTTAAAGGGTATAATGAATTTATTTTGGAATTCTATGTCAACATGCATAAGAAAATAAATAAAATATTAGTCCTAGAATTCAATGAGATAAAGTCCCAACAGCTAGAAAGTACTTCCTTAATGTTCCAAATGCAGTTTTTAGATGTAGTTATCACCATAGATTTGGATTGTTACGGGGTTTTCCTGATCAGCCAGTACGAATGTCTGCTATTTAATGAATTATTACAATTTGGGGTGGTGGAGGAGGAGTTTGACTGCAAAATAGTTAATTCAATAAGAGAAATAGACACAGAAAAATCAATCATAAGTTTTAAATATAAGATTTTCTGAACTCTTAAATGCCTGACATTGACCTTTAGTCTAATGCCTGACATTGACCCCTATTCTAAAATACTTCACAATTGAAATCTTAAGGTACTACACATTCCCTTATTGTAATTTCTCTCTCCTCCATCTCTCTGTTTTCCTCATTACACTTTAGTCATCTAACACTCTGCCCTCCTATACTACTTGGTTATAGGCCCCTGGGGAATAAGAAATGTCTGATTCATTTATATAGTTCCAACATAGGATCTGACACATAGTAGGTATTCAATTTTGATCTATAATTTAGGTTAATTAGTAGGAATCTCATTGTCAAATACATCACACATATGTACACACACATACATATGTATACACAGCACATATATATGTGTGTGTGTATATATATGTGTGTGTGTGTGTAGACATAAACGTTTTTCCATACTGACTTCCAGAAAGTTGAAGAGCTATATTTCCCAGATAAAATTGGAAAACTTGACCAAAGAAGGGTTTTTTTAGTATTTAAGGGGTCTTCTCCATGAAAAGTTAAGTTTCTCCTCCCCTTGGTAAAAATAGAGGAACACATTACCTGATGAAATACCATCTTAAGGAAATGTCAGCTTCCCTTCAACCTGACAGCTAAAGTTTAACAAGAGCTGCGGAAGCAGATGGCCTTGCTGTCCTACGTGTGGCTTTCTTCCCCACGGCTATGCCTAAAGGCAGGTGGGAGAGTGGGCTGAAGACATCTGGATGGGAGACACACGAGGGAGGGGTCTGCCTGAACATATGCTGTGTAAGGAGAGTGGTGGGAGGCATAGGGGGGCCCCCGCCCCTCCTCCCAGTGAGTCCTCGGTCCCAGCACCGGTCCCTTCTGTTATCTTTCCTTACCACGCACAGTGCCTGAGTCACCCTTTGGGTTCCTTAGACTGATTATCTCCTTTCATCAAGCAGAGTGTGGGACTCCCCTTGGTCCTGATCTACTCGAGCTAGCACAGTCTCATGTGTTGCCATGCTTGCATGTCCCTGTTCGAACTAAAAACTGCTTCAAACAACAATGTCATCTCAAGACAGGCATCTTTCTATCTAACCCCACATGCAAGAGCGCTGCTCCCTGTGCTGCTCACTAAATGGCTGTTTAATTAAACATGTGTGTGTATACATGTATTGGGGCTATTTAGTGGACTGCAGAGGAGGGAGAAAGGTGTTTTTTTGTTTGTTTGTTTGTTTTTGCTTTACTTCCATAAACTGGATATCCCAATCTGCAACTTCTCCAACACCCATTATTCCTCCCAGGACAAAAGTCAACAGATAAGCAAAGCAAAATATCTCTTGCAATCAGATATTCTGTTATTCTGACCTCCATTCTGGCATGAGCCATGCTGACTCTACCAAGATAAAAATGGGCAAACTAAAGCATTCCTACACCACTTCATACAGGGTGTGGCCAGGCTCCTGCCTGGATTCCAGCCCACATAGCCTTCTTACTCCTTCTCTGCTGAGCCAACCTTCCCTTCACCACATGCTCAGCCTCGCCTTTGACAGTCTCTGGGCTGTCCTAATCTCAAGAAGAGGAAGTGAGGAAGTTCTAATTCTATGCCCCAGGACAGAGCAGTGAGTCACACTTGCTATAATCTGATCTTGCTAGGGTGTCACAGTCCTAATAACAGGCCTTCTGAAGGGCTCCAACGGTCTAGAGTGCCAAACTCCAGTTCCTCCATGAGTATGCAGATCAGATTCCTGACTTAGTCCTGATACCAGGGCCTTTGTCCAGGAGAAGCACTCATTTCCTCATGTCAGCCCACACTGCCATCCCCATCCCTTCCCAGCTGTCCACAGACAGACTAGCAAGCTGCTGCATCCTACTCTTAATTAATAGGAACCCACTGGGCAGAAAATAAGCAACTTTTGTCCCTCTAGCCCAATGGGTTAGGAAAAACATCTGCTGTTCCATCCACACCTGAACTCTTAACTGCCAGGCATATGTCATAGACTGATAGCAAGCAGTATAAGACTCACCTCCATCCCATCAACTTGAAAATGAGACTCACTTTTAGCACCCCATTGCTTGAATATTTTCAGCTGTTGAAAGAATACAATGTAAGAGATTCAAATAGAAATGAAAAACTTTATTCAGTTGATGCATCATCAGGAACACTGGAGACCAGGTGACTCCTGGTAGTGGAAACAGGGTCAGGATTTTACAGGGTAGGGGAAAGTCCAGTATGTGTCTTTGTAATTTTGACCTAGGCAGCATTTTTTTTTCCACTTTAACAGAAACTGCAGTCCAGGGTACTAATACCCATCAAAATAATCTTTTGAAATAAGTGATTTATTTTGGTTTAAAAGGTCTTCAAAGTTCACAGGTAAAGAGGCTGATAGCCAAAAGAAGGAAGGAAGGAAGGAGGAAAGAAAGGAAGGAAGGAAGGAAGGAAGGAAGGAAGGAAGGAAGGAAGGAAGGAAGGGAGGAAGAAAGGAAAGAAAGAAAGAAAGAAAGAAAGAGAGAAAGAAAGAAAGAGAAAGAGAAAGAAAGAGGGAGAAAGGGGAAGGGGGAGTGAGAAAGAAAGAAAGAAGAAAGAAAGAAAGAAAGAAAGAAAGAAAGAAAGAAAGAAAGAAAGAAAGAAAGAAAGAAAGAAAGAAAGAGAAAGAAAGAAAGAAAGAAAGAAAGAAAGAAAGAAAGAAAGAAAGAAAGAAAGAAAGAAAGAAAGAAAGAAAAGAAAGAAAGAAAGAAAGAAAGAGAAAGCAGGCAGGCAGGCAGGCAAAGGTAGAAGGCAAGGGAGAGACTAGGGACCCTATAAGGTGTGTTTTATTCCTCTTACATCGTCAATGCTTCTCAAAATATCTTTGGTACAGGCAACAGATGTTTTTGTTTTTATTGACTTTTAATTTTTTCAGTAGGGTTTTGGAGAACAGGTGGTGTTTGGTTACATGAATAAATTCTTTAGTGGTGGTTTCTGAAATTTTGGTGCACCCATCACCCAATAAGTGTACACTCTACCCAATGTGTATTCTCCTTCTCCCCCTTCTGCCCTTTCCCTTGAGTCTCCAAAGTACATTGTATCATTCTTATGCCTTTGTGTCCTCATAGCCTAGCTCTCACTTAGGAGTGAGAACATATGATGCTTGGTTTTCCATTCCTGAATTACTTCACTTAGAATAATGTCCTGCAATTCCATCCAGGTTGCGCGAATGCCATTATTTTGTTCGTTTTTATGGCTGAGTAGTATTATGTGTGTGTATACATATATATCACGTTTTCTTTATCCACTCGATTGATAGGCACTTGGGCTGGTTCCGTATTTTTGCAAGTGTGAATTGTGCTACTATAAACATGCATGTGCAAGAATCTTTTTCGTATAATAACTTCTTTTCCTCTGGGTAGATTCCCAAGTAGTGGGAATGCTGGCTGGATCAAATGGTAGATCTACTTTTAATTCTTTAAGGAATCTCCACACTGTTGCTCCATAATGGTTGTATTAGTTTACATTCACACCAAAGGGTGTAAAAGTGTTCCCTTTTCACCACATCCATGCCAATCACTATATTTTTTTTATTTTTTGATTATGGCCATTCTTACAGGAGTAAAGTGATATTGCTTTGTAGTTTTGATTTGCATTTCCCTGATAATTAGTGATGTTGAGCATTTTTCATATGTTTTTTGGCCATTTTTATGTCTTCTTTTGAGAATTGTCTATTTATGTCCTTAGCCCACTTTTTGATGATGGGATTATTTGGGGATTTTTGTGTTTTTGTTTTTGTTATGCTTTGTTTTGTTTTTTGCTGATTTGTTTGAGTTCCTTGTAGATTCTGGACATTAGTCCTTCGTCAGATGCATAGTGTGCGAAGATTTTCTCTCACTCTGTGGGTTGTCTGTTTACTCTGCTGATTATTTCTTTAGCTGTGCAGAAGTTTTTAGTTTAATTAAGTCCCATCCATTTATCTTTGTTTTTGTCACATTTGCTTTTGGGTTCTTGGTCATGAACTCTTTGTCCAAGCCAATGTCTGGAAGAGTTTATCTCATGTTATCTTCTAGAATTGTTATGGTTTCAGGTCTTAGATTTAAGTCTTTGATCCATCTTGAGTGAAATTTTGTACTACTCAAGTACAAAATTGTGAGAGATGAGGATCCAGTTTTATTCTTCCACACATGTCTTGCCAATTATCCCAGCACCATTTGTTGAATAGAGTGTCCTTTTCCCACTTCATGTTTTTGTTTGCTTTGGCAAAGATCAGTTGGCTGTGAATATTTGGCTTTATTTCTGAGTTCTCTATTCTGTTCCATTGGTCTATGTGCCTATTTTTACACCAGTACCATTCTGTTTTGGTGACCATAGTCTTATATTATACTTTGAAGTCAGGTAATGTGATGTCTCCAGATTTGTTCTTTTTGCTTAGTCTTGCTTTGGCTATGCGGACTCTTTTTTTGGTTCTGTATGAGTTTTAGGATTGCTTTTTCCAGTTCTGTGAAGAATGATGATGGTATTTTGAAGGAAATTACATTGAATTTGTAGATTGCTTTTGTCAGTAATGTCATTTTCACAATACTGATTCTACCTATTCGTGAGCATGGGATAGGTGTTTCCATTTGTTTGTGTTGTCTATAATTTCTTTCAGCAGTGTTTTGTTTGTTTATTTGTTTGTTTTGTTTTGTTTTGAGATGGAGTCTCACTCTGTTGCCCAGGCTGGAGTGCAGTGGTGCAATCTTGGCTCACTGCTAGCTCCACCTCCAGAGTTCACGCCATTCTCCTGCCTCAGCCTCCCAAGTAGCTGGGACTACAGGTGCCTGCCACCATGTCCAGCTAATTTTTTTTGTATTTTTAGTAGAGATGGGGTTTTACTGTGTTAGCCAGGATGGTCTCAATCTCCTGATCTCGTGATCTGCCCACCTTGGCCTCTCAATCAGCAGTGTTTTGTAGTTTTCCTTGTAGATGTCTTTCATCTCCTTGATTAGGTCTATTTCTAAGTATTTTAATTAATTTTTTTGCAGCTATTGTGAAAGGCATTGAGTTATTGATTTGATTCTCAGCTTGGTTGCTTTTGGCGTATAGCAGTGCTACTGATTTGTGTACATTGATTTTGTATCCTGAAACTTTACTGAATTCATTTATCAGATCTAGGAGCTTTTGGATGAGTCTTTAGGGTTTTCTAGGTATACAATCCTATCGTCAGTGAACAGTGACAGTTTGACTTCCTCTTTACTAATTTGGTTGCCCTTTATTTCTTTATCTTGTCTCACTGCTCTGGCTAGGACTTCTAGTACTATGTTAAATAGAAGTGGTGAAAGTGGGCATCCTTGTCTTGTTCCAGTTCCCAGGGAGAATGCTTTCAACTTTTCCCCATTCAGTATAATGTTGGCTGTGGGTTTGTCATGGACAACTTTTATTACCTTAAGGTATGTCCCTTCTATGCTGATTTTGCTGAGGGTTTTGATCATAAAGTGATGCTGGATTTTGTCAAATGCTTTTTCTGTATCTATTGAGATGATCATATGATTTTTGTTTTTACTTCTGTTTATCTGCTGTATCACATTTATTAGCTTGCATATGTCGAACCATCCCTGCATTCCAGGTATGAAACTCACTTGATCATGGTGGATAATTTTTTTGATATGCTGTTGGATTTGGTTAGCTGGTATTTTTTTGAGGATTTTTGCATCTATTTTCAACAGAGATATTAATCCGTAGTTTTTGTTGTTGTTGTTATGTCCTTTCTTGGCTTTGCTATCAGGGTGATACTGGCCTCATAGAACGATTTAGAAAGGATTTCCTCCTTCTCTATCTTTTGGAGTAGTGTCAGTAAGGTTGGTATCAATTCTTCTATGAATGTCTAATAGAATTCAGCTGTGAATCCATCTGGTCTTGGACATATCTTTGTTGGCTATTTGTTTATTACCACTTCAGGCTCACTGCTTGTCATTGGTCTGTTCAGAGTTTAATTTCTTACTTGTTTAATCTAGGAGGGCACATTTGTATGCATAAATGTGCTCATAGTAGCCCTGAATAATCTTTTGTATTTCTGTGGTATCAGTTGTGATATCTCCCGTTTTGTTTCTAATTAAGCTTATTTGGAACTTCTCTCTTATTTTCTTGGTTAATCTCACTAATGCTTTATCAATTTTGTCTTTTCAAACAACCAGCTTTTTGTTTCATTTATCTTTTGTATTGTTTTCCGTTTGTTTCAATTTCATTTAGTTCTGTGCTGACCTTTGTTATTTCTTTTCTTTGCTGGGTTTGGGTCTGGTTTGTTCTTGTTTCTCTAGTTCCTTGAGGTGTGACCTTAGATTGTCTATTTGTGCTCTTTCAGACTTTTTGATGTAGGCAGTTAATGCTAGAAACTTTCCTCTTAGCACCACTTTTGCTGTATCCCAGAGGTTTTGATATGTTGTGTCACTATTATCACTCAGTTTAAAAAATTATTTAATTTTTATCTTGATTTCATTGTGAACTCAATGATCATTCAGGAGCAGGCTATTTAATTTTCATGTATTTGTATGGTTTTGAGAGTTCCTTTTGGAATTAATTTCCAATTTTATTCCACAGTGGCCTGAGAGAGTACTTATAATTTTGATTTTCCTCAATTTATTTAGACTTGTATGGTGTATCTTGGAGAATGTTCCATGTGCTGATGAATAGAATGTATATTCTACAGTTGTTGGGTAGAATGTTCTGTAAATATCTGTTAAGTCCATTTGTTCTAGGGTATAGTTTAAATCCACTGTTTCTTTGTTGACTTTCTGTCTTGATAACCTGTCAAGTGCTGTCAGTGGAGTATTGAAATTTCCCATTATTATTGTGTTGCTGTCTATCTCATTTCTTAGATCTAGTAGTAATTGTTTTGTAGATTTAGGAGCTCCAGTGTTAGGTGCATATATAGCATACATATTAAGGATTGTGATATTTTCCTGTTGGACTAGTACTTTTATCATTATACAATGTCCCTCTTTGTCTTTTTAAACTGTTTTTGCTTTAAAGTCTGTTTTGTCTGATATAAGAATAACTACTTCTGTCACTTTTGGTGTCCATTTGCATGGAATATCTTTTTCCACCCCTTTACCTTCAGTTTATGTGAGTCCTTATGTGTGTTCGATTAGTCTCTTGAAGACAGTGGATACTTGGTTGGTGAATTCTTACTCATTCCACCATTCTGTATTTTTTAGTGGAGCATTTAGGCCATTTACATTCAACATTAGTATTGAGATGAGAGGTACTATTCTCTTCATCATGCTAGTTGTTTCCTGAATACTTTGTTTTTTCCTTTATTGTTTTATTGTTTTATAGGTCTTGTGAAATTTATGTTGTAAGGAGGTTCTATTCTGGTGTATTTTGAGGATTTCTTTCAAGATTTAAAGCTCCTTTTAGCAGTTCTTGTAGAGCTGGCTTGGTAGTGGTGAATTCTTTCAGTATTTGTTTGTCTGAAAAAAAATGTATCTCCTCTTCATTTATGAAGCTTAGTTTCACTGGATATAAAATTCTTGGCTGATAATTATTTTGTTTAAGGAGGCTAAAGATAGGACCCCAGTGCCTTCTGGCATGCAGGGTTTCTGCTGAAAAATCTGCTGTTAATCTATTAGGTTTTCCTTTACAGGTTACCTGATGTTTTTGCCTCATGGCTCTTAGGATTCTTTCATTCGTCTTGACTTTAGATAACCTGATGACTATGTGCCTAAGTGATTATCTTTTTGCAGTGAATTTCCCGGGTGTTGTTTGAGCTTCTTGTATTTGAATGTCTAGACCTCCAGCAAGGCCAGGGAAGTGTTCCTTGATTATTCCAGGGAATTGTTGCTTGATTATTCCCTCAAATATGTTTCCCAAACTTTTAGATTTCTCTTCTTCATAGGGAACACCAATAATTCTTATGTTTGGTCATCTAACATAATCCCAGACTTCTTGGAGGCTTTGTTCATTTTTTTAAAAATCCTTTTTTCTTTGTCTTTGTTGGATTGGGTTAATTTGAAAACTTTGTCTTCAAGCTCAGAAGTTCTTTCTTCTACTTGTTCAATTCTATTGTTGAGAGTTTCCAGTGTATTTTACATTTTTCCAACATGTCCTTTATTTCCAGAAGGTGTGATTGTTTTTTATTTATGCTTTCTATTTCTCTGAAGATTTTTTCTTTCATATCTTGTATCTTTTTTTTTTTTTTTTTTTTTTTTTGAGATGGAGTCTCACTCTGTTGCCCAGGCTGGAGTGCAGTGGCACGATCTCGGCTCACTGCAAGCTCCGCCTCCTGGGTTCACGCCATTCTCCTGCCTCAGCCTCCTGAGTAGCTGGGACTACAGGTGCCCGCCACCACCCCTGGCTAATTTTTTGTATTTTTAAATACACGGTGAGACGGGGTTTCACCGTGTTAGCCAGGATGGTCTCGATCTCCTGACCTCGTGATCTGCCCACTCAGCCTCCCAAAGTACTGGGATTACAGGCATGAGCCACGGTGCCTGGCCTATATCTTGTATCCTTTTTAAAATTATTTCTTTGAGTTGGTATTCACCTTTCTCTGGTGCCTCCCTGAGTATCTTAATAATTGACCTTCTGAATCATTTTTCTGGCAATTTGGAGATTTTTTTCTTGGCTTGGATCCAAGCCAAATGTGATTTCTTGGGGATGTTAAAGCACCTTGTTTAGTCATATTACCAGAATTGTTTTTCTGGTTCCTTCTCATTTGGGTAGACTATGTCCAAGGGAAGATCTCCAGTTCAAGGGGTGCTATTCAGATTCCTTTTGCCCACAGAGTGCTCCCTTGATGTGGTGCTCTCCCCATTCCCCTAGTGATGTGACTTTCTGAGAGCCAAACTGCAGTGATTGTTATTTCTCTCCTAGATCTAGTCACCCAGCAGAGCTACTGGGCTCTGGGCTAGTACTGGGGTGTGTCTGCAAAGAGTCCTGGGATGTGATTTCTCTTCAGGTCTCTCAGCCATGGATACCAGCACCCGCTCCAGTGGAGGCAGCAGGGGAGTGAAGTGGATTCTGTGGGGGTCCTTGGTTGTGTTTTTTTTTAATGTGTTGGTCTTATGTTGGTTGGCCTTCAGCCAGGAGGTGACTCTTTCAAGAGAGCATCAGTTGTGGTAGTATAGGGAGGATACAAGCTTGTCCTAGGGTTGTCTGGGTAAGTATTCAGGTTTCTCAGGCAGTGGGCAGGGCCATGAAGTTCCCAAGAGATTATGTCCTTTGTCTTTGGCTATCAGGGAGGGTAAAGAAAGACCATCAGATGGGGGCAGGATTAGGCATGTCTGAGCTCAGACTCTTCTTGGGCAAGCCTTGCTGTAGCTGCTGTTGGAGATGAGGTGTGTTTCTCAAGCCCATGGGAGTTATGTTCCTAGGGGAAATATGGCTGCCTCTGCTGCATCATCTAGGTCAATGGAAAATGGGGGAAAGCTGGCAGTGACAGGCCTCACTCAGCTTCCACACAGCCAGAAAGGCCAGTCTCATTCCCACTGTGGCCTCCCAACAGCATTGAGTTTATTTCCAGGCAGCTAGTGAGCAGGGCTGAGAATAAGTCCCATGCTACAAGCCTCCCTGCTGAGAAAGCAGGTGGGGTTTTCAGGTTTCATGCCTCCCCACCTGCCACGGTTTTTGTGCTGGTATCTTTGCTCCATCCCCCAGATTCTGTCCAGGAAACTTCGTGTTCAGTCAGAATTGTTACAGAGTTCGGCTGGAAGTTTCCTTCTCCCTGATGTCCTTCCTCAGCTCCACTGGCAGTCCTCCCCAAGGATCCCTGTGAGACAAAGTCAGAAATGGCCTCCCTGGGGACTGAGAGTGCCCACAGCGTTCTTTCTGCTGCTTCCTTTACCCCTATATTTCACTCGGCTCTCTCAATTTGTCTCAGCTCCAGGTAAGATTAAATCCTCCCATGATCTGGACCATCAGTTTCCCCAGTAAGGATGTGTGTTCAGGGGCAGACTTTCCCCCTTTCACACTTCAGGCACTCACAGTTTTACAGCTGTCTCACAGTGGCAAGTTGTTACCTTCAAAGGGTCTGTGGATTCTCTTGGCTTTCCTGGTATGTTCCTGCGGTAGTTCTTGGAGTGAAAATTCACAATGTGAGTGTCCACACACTGCTTTGTCTGTCCGAGTGGGAGCTGCAAGTTAGTCCTGCCTCCTATCTGCCATTTTCTGTCATCAGCAACTTTTAATTTTCAATACATTGCAGACCATACTTTAGCAAAATTCTATAAAAAGTAAATTAGTAGGAAAATATAATAAAAACAAAAGCTTATAAAATGTAAGACCCAAATTTTATCGTCAGATTCAACAGAATTAATATTACTCTATAAAGTATGGGAAAAAGTCTCTGAATGATTACTCTTGATGTCTGTACTTGTGTCTTTGCAGATGAGTGAAAATCAGTTCTCAGACCAGCATTGGTCTATGAGCTACTGTTTCAATCCACTGGAGTTTCTTCATTGCCTGCAGACTTCAAAAGCAGGCTCCCTCTACCCATTGTCCCCTGGTGCACTCCACCACTTCACCTTGAGCATCCTGAGGGCTGGCAGTATGTTTTTCTGGATAGCAACATGCTGACTAGTGCCTGAAGGCTCTCCATTTTCTCCCTTTCAATAAGAATTTACTTGTCAAACCCACAGTTAGGCTCTAATATTGGCCAAGCTGTCTTACCATCAGTCATTTGAACTTAGCCAAAGCCCATATATGCCTCATATGACAAAATAGTAAGGTAAGATTTTTTTTTTCTGGATTCTTCTCAATTTTCTTCTTACCTATTCTCACTTTCTTGATTTCTTGATGGAAAACTGATCCAGGGCTCTTTGCTGTATCACTGCTGTAAATTCTTATAGCTTTGAACCTTGGCTTTCCCCCAGTTTTAAGTTCTGTTGTTTACTTAGTTTCTTTTGAGGAGATACTCTGTGTTCCACCTGAGCCCACACAACCGCAGTGCAGCAAGGATGCAAGTCACAGAATTTGCTGTCAGTGAATGCACATTGCACCAGATTCAGGTCTCAGCCCTTTATTCTGTCCTGATATAAAACAGTGCCAAGGTAAGACAGCATCTTTGATCTTTACAATTGTTAGAAGATTAAATAAATGTCCTGCAATTGTAACAGATTCTAATTGGTGAATGCTACATAGTTTATTTCAATAATATAAACAAATAAAAATATCCTCTAATAATTCCAGTCTTTGAAAACAAACAAAACTACAAAGAATCCACAAATAGGTCCCCACTGATTACCAAATCCGGAATGTGAAAAGCTTTCGTTTATATAATACATCCAGGAAATAGATAAATCATTTGTAGAGACACCCATCAATCAACTTAAAGAAGACCCAAACAAATTTTTTGTATGCACAAAGAACACCTGGGTGTATACTTACCTTTTATCATAGATCAAACCAATAAAACTTTGCAAGCATATCATGCCTTAGGTAGACACAATATTACAAAGCAAATATGGGTTGTGTGAGGGAGCTATGCAGGGTTGGCAATTCATTCCATGAGGAGATATCCAAAGACAATCTAACAAAAATTTCCTAATCAAGTGGATGATCAACCAAATTCTATATATATATATATTTTCATTTCATTTGTCTGGGAAGCGTGATTGTCATGGAACCACTTAAGGGAAAATGAGTCATCTGCTTCATTTGGATGAAAGCAGGAACAATTTCTTTCATAAATAGCATGAATACAATTTAATTCGGTTATCTTCTCTGCTTGGGAAAAGTGCCGGGGTTTCACATAGAAATAGGCATTTGATGTTTGTACATTTGTCATGTTTTCCTTGAGACTGTAAAAAAAAAGAGATGATGCCTCATGCCCTCTTGATTCTTTGGGCATATCTTTGATTCCGATGTGCTCTATAAACAGCAAAAAGGGGAATAAGAGATAGGCCATAGAAAAAATGAAAAAAAAAAGGCTATATGTGAAACCTGGGGTAGTCCTAGACTAAATTTTCTCCTATTCTCAGACTTAAAAACCAGATTTGCCCTTTTGCATTTTTTTTTTTTTGGTTTGTCTTAGCTCATCACTACATAACTAATACACAATTATCATCTCCAAAAAGACCCGAGTGGCATCTGCGAGTTCTGAGAACAGTGGTCTGTGCTTAATTGAAAAGTTCCTTTTGCAAATGCAAAAGTTGTGGAAATTTCGCCTATTGAGAGTCACTTGAAAGTAGTTTTAATGGACTATGCAATAGCTTATTTGACTTTGCTCTTTCATTTTAGCATAAAAGCATAAGTATTCCATTCAAATGTGGAAAATCTATTCAGGGCAAAAATACAGGCCTAGCATATCAGCTACAGCATTATTTAGGTTGTGGTCCATTTAAACTACATCGATGTGTCATCATTAATTGTTTCTGCCTGGAACTTTTACATATTATCTGTAGAATATATCTGATATCAGAAACTCACTTTTTTTTTTTTTAAGATGGAGTCTCGCTCTGTCACCCAGTGGCGCGATCTCTGCTCACTGCAAGCTCCGCCTCCCAGGTTCACACCATTCTCCTGCCTCAGCCTCCCCAGCAGCTGGGAATATAGGCGCACGCCACCACGCCAGGCTAATTTTTTGTATTTTTAGTAGAGATGGGGTTTCACTGTGTTAGCCAGGATGGTCTCGATCTCCTGACCTGGTGATCCACCCACCTCAGCCTCCCAAAGTGCTGGGATTACAGGCGTGAGCCATCGCACCCAGCCAGAAACTCACATTTTAATTTATTGTCTGGTGCATGTAATCACATTTAGAAAAACATTACCCTGTCCTACATCATATCAATGTAGGATTTCCTTCTGGAGAAAATGTTTGTCTCATATTCATTATTCTGAACACTAGTAAGGGAGATCGGTAAAAATGAAAAGTAAAGTTTTGAATGTTCAAATAGTTTCTCAACAGAGGTGAAAAATAAATTTTACTATCATCTATTTTCATTTCACAGAAAAAATGTAGTACCAAACTGAAAGATTTAGGGTCTGGAAACTACAGAACTCATTTTCCATCAAGAATTTTTGTGATCAGACCCCCACTGTCATTGTTGAAAGGCTGGAGTAGTCCAGCACATGGGAGGAGCATGGGCATTGGGATGGGACAAACCTGAGACTCCAGTTGCAGCAGCATTACCTACTGTCATGACACTGAGGCCCATTTTCCTGCTTTGTAAGAATGAAGATAATACCTTTCACTTCACAGAGTTATACAGGATCAACAAAGGAGGCCATGTACATAAGGTACCCAGCACAGTTCATTATATATTATGAACACTCAATCAATGCTCATTCATATCCTCTGTCTTCTTTCTCTTAGAACTGTGTGCATGCTAAATCATATCTGCTACTGCTCTGGGGCAATAGTACAGACCCCAGGACCATTTTGTGTGTCAATACAAATAATGAGCAGGAAATGCAGGTTCTATGCCATATAAGCTACTAGTGACAACCACAGAAAATTTCTAAGTTGTCCATAGCACTGGCAACCCATCCAAATTTCCTTTATGGACCCTGGCTTCCCATGCACACACAGTATCCATTCCTTAAAAGTGTGTATTCCTCAAGTTCCTGTGCTTTGTTTGCTTTTCTTCTTGCTCTTATCTTGTCACTGATTTTTTCCACTCATAGACTTCTGTCATGACCTTGTGTTTATGATCTGAAGTCCATATGTTTGTCCCGGTTTTCCTGCTAAGTTCCAGACTCATATATCCAACGAATACCTGATATCTTCACCTGAGTGACCTCAAACTCAACATGACCAAAGCATCTGTGCTACCTCATTCTACTCAATCCCCTCCCCTACCTCCCTAAAAACATGTTCCTTATATTTTGTATACTTTATTCAATGGGTTTCTACCCAGTCATTCTCTGTATTTTGGTTTTTGTTTTTTTTTTTTTTTTTTGAGACGAAGTCTTGCTCTTGTCCCCCAGGCTGGAGTGCAATGACGTGATCTTGGCTCACTGCAACCTCCGCCTGCCAGGTTCAAGTGATTCTCCTGCCTCAGCCTCCTAAGTAGCTGGGATTACAGGTGCCCGCCACCAGGGCCGGCTAATTTTTGTATTTTTAGTAGACACGGGGTTTCACCATGTTGGCTAGGCTGGTCTCAAACTCCTGACCTCGTGATCCGCCCACCTCAGCCTCCCAAAGTGCTGAGATTACAGGTGTGAGCCACCGTGACCGGCCTCTATCCAGTCATTCTCTAAACTTGAAATCTTTCACCTACCCTTTCTTTCTTTCTTTCTTACTTTCTTTCTTTTTTTTTTTTTTTTTTTTGAGATGGAGTCTCACTCTGTCACTCAGGCTGGAGTACAGCAGTGGGATCTCAGCTCACTGAAACTTCCACCTCCTGGGTTCAAGCAATCCTCCTGACTCAGTCGTTTGAGTAGCTGGGATTACAGGTGCCTGCCACCATGCCCGGCTAATATTTTTTGTATTTTTAGTAGATGGGGTTTCACCATGTTGGTCTGGCTGTTCTCAAACTCCTGACTTCAAGTGATCTGCCCATCTCGGCCTCCTAAAGTGCTGGGATTGCAAGCGTGAGCCACCTTGCCCAGCCTCACCTGCCCATTCAAATTGGTGAAATACACTTTGCCCTTTGTCCAACATTTGTATATTTACTACTTTATTCAGGTTTGGATTTTCCTTCCCTCCTGTCTTCTTCCCAGCTCACACATGCTCCCTACTTCTTATCTGCTTCTGTATTAAATGTAAATCTTATCTGTCATCTTGGATTTCCTTAGCTAGCCTGCTTCATGGACTTAATGACACCACCAGAGGACAGTAAGTCACTTGCCCTGAAAGTGCCAGGCCAGGCGCATGCCCTGAGTTTCCAGCTCCTTCCACAGTTTCTGAACTTGAGGGAATCACTGCACTGGAGGGCGTGGAATTAGCATCCAAGCCAGCCTCCAAAGGACTTGGATGACTCAAGCTGGAAGTGTGGGAGAGTTGGCTTTCCATGTGGCCAATTTTGCCCCAAAGAAAATCATAAGGGCTGAGATAAGCCTGAACAAAAGAATGCCCCTGATTCCTCCCTCCTATGGGCTGCTTTGAAGCAACTGTCCTTGACATGGAGAGTCCATAAGTGTCCCACATACTGAGTGACAACCTTGCTGGGTCACCTTCTGTGTCATCTTGCAGCTCATCATGAAGCTGTAGCCAGCACAGTCATGGGTCACTTTTTATTGCTTTGCGTCTTTCTTTGAACCCCCTATGTTTTTTCCTCACTTTTGCTGCCCTGGGTTTGCACCTTGCAAAGGAAGTGTCAGCATTTTAATCTTTGCCTCAAGCTCTCTTTTCTAGGAAGCCCAGGACTAAGAACAATTCTAAAAAGGATTGAATGCAACGTTAAATAAAATCCTCTTTACAATAACATAAAATCCTTGGCTCATTTACCTTTTTCTTTTTCAAGTATGAAGGGAAAATAAAAAATAAATAGTTATTAGTTTAAAAGCTTGTCAGAAGAATGTATATTCTGTTGATTTGGGGTGGAGAGTTCTGTAGATGTCTATTAGGTCTGCTTGGTGCAGAGCTGAGTTCAATTCCTGGATATCCTTGTTAACTTTCTGTCTCGTTGATCTGTCTAATGTTGACAGTGGGGTGTTAAAGTCTCCCATTATTATTGTGTGGGAGTCTAAGTCTCTTTGTAAGTCTCCAAGCACTTGTTTTATGAATCTGGGTGCTCCTGTACTGGGTGCATATATATTTAGGATAGTTAGCTCTTCTTGTTGAATTGCTCCCTTTACCATTATGTAATGGCCTTGTTTGTCTCTTTTGATCTTTGTTTGTTTAAAGACTGTTTTATCAGAGACTAGGATTGCAACCCGTGCTGTTTTATGTTTTCCATTTGCTTGGTAGATCTTCCTCCATCCCTTTATTTTGAGCCTATGTGTGTCTCTGCACGTGAGATGGGTTTCCTGAATACAGCACACTGATGGGTCTTGACTCTTTATCCAATTTGCCAGTCTGTGTCTTTTAATTGGAGCATTTAGCCCATTTACATTTAAGGTTAATATTGTTATGTGTGAGTTTGATCCTGTCATTATGATGTTAGACGGTTATTTTGCTCTTTAGTTGATGCAGTTTCTTCCCAGCATTGATGGTCTTTACATTTTGGCATGTTTTTGCAGTGGCTGGTACCAGTTGTTCCTTTCCATGTTTAGTGTTTCCTTCAGGAGCTCTTTTAGGGCAGGCCTGGTGGTGACAAAATCTCTCAGCATTTGCTTGTCTGTAAAGTATTTTATTTCTCCTTCACTTATGAAGCTTAGTTTGGCTGGATATGAAATTCTGGGTTGAAAATTCTTTTCTTTAAGAATGTTGAATATTGGCCCCCACTCTCTTCTGGCTTGTAGAGTTTCTGCTGAGAGATCCACTGTTAGTCTGATGGGCTTCCCTTTGTGAGTAACCCGACCTTTCTCTCTGGCTGCCCTTAAGATTTTTTACCTCATTTCAACTTTGGTGAATCTGACAATTATGTGTCTTGGAGTTGCTCTTCTCGAGAAGTATCTTTGTGGCATTCTCCGTATTTCCTGAATTTGAATGTTGGCCTGACTTGCTATGTTAGGGAAGTTCTCCTGGATGATATCCTGCAGAGTGTTTTCCAACTTGGTTCCATTCTCCCCGTCACTGTCAAGTACACCAATCAGACATAGATTTGGTCTTTTCACATAATCCCATATTTCCTGGAGGCTTTCTTTGTTTCTTTTTACTCTTTTTTTCTCTAAACTTCTCTTCTCGCTTCATTTCATTCATTTGATCTTCAATCACTGATACCCTTTCTTCCAGTTGATCGAATCGGATACTGAAACTTGTGCATTCATCAAGTAGTTCTCGTGCCATGGTTTTCAGCTCCATCAGGTCATTTAAGGACTTCTCTACACTGATTATTCTAGTTAGCTATTCGTCTAATCTTTTTTCAATGTTTTTAGAAAGCAATGGCAACAAAAGCTAAAATTGACAAATGGGATCTAATTAAACTAAAGAGCTTCTGCACAGCAAAAGAAACTACCATCAGAGTGAACAGGCAACCTACAAAATGGGAGAAAATTTTTGCAATCTACTCATCTGAAAAAGGGCTAATATCCAGAATCTACAATGAACTCAAACAAATTTACAAGAAAAAAGCAAACAACCCCATCAAAAAGTGGGCAAAGGATATGAACAGACACTTTCCAAAAGAAGACATTTATGCAGTCAACAGACGCATGAAAAAATGCTCATCATCACTGGCCATCAGAGAAATGCAAATCAAAACCACAATGAGATACCATCTCACACCAGTTAGAATGGCGATCATTAAAAAGTCAGGAAACAACAGTGCTGGAGAGGATGTGGAGAAATAGGAACACTTTTACACTGTTGGTGGGACTGTAAACTAGTTCAACCATTGTGGAAGAGAGTGTGGTGATTCCTCAAGGATCTAGAACTAGAAATACCATTTGACCCAGCCATCCCATTACTGGGTATATACGCAAAGGATTATAAATCATGCTGCTATAAAGATACATGCACATGTATGTTTATTGTGGCACTATTTACAATAGCAAAGAATTGGAACCAACCCAAATGCCCATCAATGATAGACTGGATTAAGAAAATGTGGCACATATACACCATGGAATACTATGCAGCCATAAAAAAGGATGAGTTCATGTCCTTTGGAGGGACATGGATGAAGCTGGAAATCATCATTCTGAGCAAACTATCACAAGGACAGAAAACCAAACACTGCATGTTCTCACTCATATGTGGGAATTGAACAATGAGAACACTTGGACACAGGAAGGGGAACATCACACACCGGGGCCTGCCGTGGGTTGGGGGGAGGGAGGAGGGATAGCATTAGGAGATATACCTAATGCTAAATGACGAGTTAATGGGTGCAGCACACCAACATGGCACATGTACACATATGTAACAAGCCTGCATGTTGTGCACATGTACCCTAGAAATTAAAGTATAAAAAAAAAAAAAAAAGCTTGTTAGAGCAGAACTACAGTAATTTTACAAAACTTGGTTTTAGGTTTTCTAATAGCCAGAGTGAAGAAGGACACATAATCATTCTCACTCATGAAGAAATAATTGGAAGTAAATTTATCAAGAAAAAATATCTCAGCTATGACTAGACCCTGAGCTTTGAGAAGAATTTATCATGATGTCACAATGTGATATCGTGACATGGTGTGATGATGATCTTTACACAAGGGTCTTAAAGTAAAGTAAAGGATCATATTCTTTATATTATATATTGTTAACAAAAAGTGTAAAAATACAGAGTACTTCCCATGTAGCTTTTTCTTGCACTAGAATTTAGGGAAAGGCAAAAGCAAGATGTTGGAACGTTGGTTGCAACTTTGATGTACACAAGAAGTTTCTTAAAAATACACATTTCGGGGTCCCTCCAGACCTACCAATCAGTGCCCCAAGGCTAGGGCCTATGCAGGTATATTTTAGACAAGAAGAACCTAATGCACACCAAAGTTTGAACACTAGCAATTTCCAACAGTTTCACCTAAACGTAATACAGAAAGTTGTTGCAATTTTAGTAGCAGAGGCAGCTTCTAAGAGAGCATTCTAAACATCATCTTGGAATGCTGAAACGCTATGCAAGCAGACACAATCGTTTGGGTTTCAGGAAGCATAAAATATATATAAAGCTAAAATGAAATAGAAAATTATGGATCAGTTGAATATTCTTTGAGCAAATATCTGTAAATGCCCTCTTTGGTTACAATGCCCTAGTTAAATAAACAGCATAGAGCATGAAATGCAGGCTGCTTAAAAGTTGAAGCAGGGTCCCTGCATCAAAGCTTACAATAAAATCCAGAAGAAGAACCACATAACAAAAGATGATAGCATTTTACGAAGGGCAAGATGATGTACAATAAACTGTGCCCACAGAAACAAACGGTTTACTGAATATGCTCTCTGCTGAGGCAGCCCAAGATACATGCAATGTTTTGCTTTTTCAAAATGAAAAATTTCCTCCCACAGATAGTTTTGTTACAGACAATTGGTGTGAGATTGGAAATAAAATAAATAAGGCACACAGCACAGATCGGACCACTGGAATATTCTCTCAAATTCTACCACACTCTCTACCTTTAGAAGGTGTGATGGAAACTAGCTGGATGTATGAGTTGGACTCATCATTGCTTTCTGTACATTAATCTCTAGGCACCAGATTTCCACCACTGGTGTGCATGTTTTAACAAGGTAACCAACCCTAGGAAGAGCACCATCTTAATATGACTTTTCAGACTCAATATTTAGAGGAACTTTAAAATATCAGTCCACTTATAACAACGAGAAAACAAATTCTTTGTCCTGGCATGACCAGGACAAAACAACACGAGGCAGCCTGTTCTTCTGTAATGGGGTGTCCCAGAGGACCCACTGGTATTTATCTTCCACATCCCTGCTCTACAGAACTAAATGCTCACAAACAATTCTGTCAGAGGGGCTGGGGAAACAGTGAGTATTAATAATACTCCTTGACACCAGATATATTTCATGGTTTCTAACTGATGCTGCAGATTTAAAAAATACAACGGTGGTTTCAATATCTTTTAAGAGGACGCAGTTTGTATTGACAGAAAATCAGGTAGTATTTAGTACAAGGTTTTTAATCATCTTTTGATACCTTTAAATCCAAGCTACCAATTCATTTGTTTAATGTAAAAATTGAAACTATGTAGTCATTTTTATACAGTATACTACAGTTTTTCTACCACTAGAAAAAAAAAAAAAAGAAATGACTGGTTTCCCAGGTCAGATCCATACAGAAGATGGAAAGTGGGAGCAGAGCAAGGGTCTGGCTCCCTCACGACAGCACTGCAGGCACCTGAAAAGCACAGTTTCCTGCCCAACCCTCTCCTTGCTCCTGTTCAAATGGCATCTTGGTTTGGGTTTCCCCAGAAGCGATGGATTCAAGGAATCGAGTGCAAAAACTTTCTTCTAGAAGCAATTCCAGGAAACACTAATGGGGAGTGGGGAAATTAGACAGGTAAGTTTAAGTGTCTAGTGAAGGGTTTGCAGTCCATGAATAAAGCTGAATCATACTGGGAACTCTGGGAGCGAGTGTAAAGGAGTTAATGTTTTGGAGTAGTCCCACCTGAGAGGTGAGGGAGTGGGTCAGTAACCAATTCCTGACGCATCATTGGTGATTGGTTGCTAGGAGAAGGGGCAGGACTATTAATTCCCTGATGCTTTCAGCTGGCCACAGGGACATCAAAGTGGGCTCTAGTGACCAGAGAAAGCCCTCAGACAAAGAAACGTTGGTGGCCACAATGCTGAATTGAGTCCACGTGCACTAAAGGATTGTGGGTAGAAAATATGGGTGGAGCTCCAACAGGATCAGCCTCTTTTATGCCCATTCCAACTCTCTGCAGTCTGTCCAGCTCAGAAAGATGACTTGGAGATTTTTTTTTCATGTTTAAAAAATAATAATAAAGGCACAGATTCTTTGGATCTCTATACATGAGTAGGGCACACTTGGTGCCTTCATCAGATATGCTGTGCTGGGGTGGGATTCACACTGGAATCAGAGATTGTCTTTAAGGCGGACACTAATGGGGAAACCGTTGAGTCCGGATGGGAAATGCAGGAAAGGGCTCTGCACTGCACTGTTGGCAAGCAGGCAGAGAGCAGCGGCAGAACCTGATTCTCTGACACAGAACAGGGAGACAGGACAGGCATGCAGGGGCAAGGTCCAAGTAGGCAGGCACTGGAGAGCACCAGAGAGGGCAGCAGCATTTAGGGAAGAGCTCATGCCAGCCAGCAATTGTATTTCATCATTTCTTAGCATCAGCTATGCACCATGACATTTAAATCAGAGGCTCTGAAGGTGATTCAGGCTTTTCGACAATCCCCTGAGTAAGGAAGTGTGACCTGGGAAGAGAGTGTGAAGGGACCCGTGCAGACCAGGCCCACCATAAAGAGCCAAAATGCATGCCCTTTAACTGTGGGTCAATAATGTCTTTTTCAGACTTAAAGCACAACCCATTATCAGTGGCCCAAGACACTTCAATTTAGTTTCTTTGAGTGAATCACTTATAACAAGGAAAATGCACAGTAGAAACATTCAGCTCCATAAATGCAAGGATCTCAGCCAAATAAAATCTTAGCATTTGCAGAGTGCTTGACATGAAAAATAAATCTAGATTTTTCTCACTAGCCGTGTAGGGTTCTCAGAGATCCTGAAATAGGAGAGTATCTCAGCTTACTTAGGAATGCAGCAGGTTATTGCTATAGGGTATGCGTACTGACCACCTTGTAAGAATTTTACCTCTGCCACTGTGGATCCTGAAGAATCACAACAGAGGCTAACTATAATGTGAGAAATAAAAGTATGGGCATTTAGAACAACAGAGAGTTGATGCTGGAGCAAAGGTTGATGTGGGAAATGTCAGAAGACGCTTTCTTCCATCCTTCCCCAAAGCGCGGCAGGGCTAGTGACCTCAGGCCACAGGATAAGGACACAGTGAGATCATTTTTCCCCAGAGCTAGTGATCTGTTAACCTGATTAATATTACTTTTATTCCTCTGTAAAAGAACATTTTTGTAGCTGAGGATCATTCCTGAGGAATCCCATTTAATAGCAAACCAAATATTTTGTTCAAAGGGAAGAGAGACCATTGTCAGATTTTGAGATGCTCTCGATGTAAAAATTCGTCATATGTTATTATGACAGAAATTATCCAATTAACAATTCCTCACTCCCATCACTTGTTTTACAAATGTTATTATTAAGCTCTTGATCAGGTCATTTGGTTTCCTATTGCTGCTACTTGAGAAATTCCATAACAAATGGCCCTGGTAGGTTGTAATTCTGCAGTTACAGTGCTTAACACAACCTCTCTGAGAACTGGCTCAAAAATGTTGATGAAGATCTGTTTATATTTTAGTGGCATTCTCAGGCAAGCCTTGTTGTGGCTCAAGCTCCTTTCAAGTCTGTGCTTTACATTTATTTTTCAGCAGAAGCATTTGATTATATATCCCCTACTGCTTATTCATTTCCAATGCATCTTAGGAAACTAGTAAAGTCTTGATGGACTTATTTATATTCTAATATTAGCAACATTTCTGTTCCACAAAATTGAGGCTTGAGTTGCTTTATTAGAGAAGTGGCATCCACTATTTCTGGTCTCTGCCCTTCTAGCCTAACAAGAGTGAGTACCATGAAGAACATGGGCTCAGTGGAGGCAGAACACTGTAGTTAAAATCTCAGCCCTACCAGCGAGGGAGTGGATCATCTCGGGAAAGTTACTTAGTGCCAGACACAGTGCTGATGCAAGTGAAACAGGCCAGCACACAACAGGGCCACCTGTCCAGGAAAACTCACCAGGTGGGCAGATGGGAAGATGTTGAAATACTTAGGTGAGACCAGAACTTAGACCACTGAGGGATGACTACAGATGCAAGAGTCTGAAGACAATCCCCAACTAGTACTCAAATCTGGAGGAAATGACTGAGAGTAGGATACAGTTCCATCAGCTGGTGCTAATGAGCCCAAAATGATCATGTCTGAGCAGCTGATAATTTGCAAAGATCCAGGGGTTCTGAAATTGGAACAGATAATAAGGGCAGGGCAAAGCTGAGAGATGGTAGAAATGTGGGAGCAGGCAAGGCTGGGAATTTCAAGCGCAAGGTTAGAGTTGAAGGAACAAGTAACAATACTGACATGATTTGATATCATTAAGCTAACGGCACTGACTCCTGAGACCCTGCCTTGGGCATGCTTAGTATCACAATTTTTGGCTTTGAAGGTCGCTGGGAAATGGAGTGGGGAATCAGGAAAATATTGCACATTTCCTCTTTGGATTTTTCTCTTTGTGAAATGAATGACTTGGACCAGATCTGTGAGAGCCACTCAGGGTCTAAGATTTAATATTCTAGTGGTTCTTTGATACCATCTATGAATTGTTCAAGGCAAGTTAAATCACATTTAGAAAAAGCTTACCCACCTATGGTTTTCCTATTTCAGTTGTGGCAGAACTAACAGCAGTTATGGGGTGATGGAATTTATTAAAAAGGCACTATCAATATTGAGTCTTTCACTTAGTTTTAGTAAAAATAGGCATTCCATTTCAATTCACTATAAGAACATTTATTATATGCTTAATAGTAATAGTCAATTCCAAGTATTTTACATGTTTACATCACACATTCCCAATACATGAAAGCACAACGGAAAGTACAAGGGTATTTTTAATTGAAAAATGACCTGGTAATTCTTTTCACTAACCAATTACTATGGCTTATGTTTCATATGTTTAAATTATAAGATAAACAAAATAGCTTATTCCAGATATTTGGGGTTTATACTTTACTTGTATCTGCCCAAAGAGAACAGTAGAGAGCTTGAATATGTGTGGGTGGCTTGTGACTTAATGATACAGGAAAAGACCCTTGCCCCAAATGCCTGCCTTCTCCAACACTTAAGGGGAGGCCCCTCTGAGGCCAGGGTTTTGTATTTCCAAGAACCTGGCATAACACAGAGTTACGGAGAAAAAAGAACACTGGCAGAATTAGCTCTGCCCTAAACCATGTTACCAACTGGGTGAAGTTGCACAAATCTCTTCCCTTTTCTGGGTTTTATGTTTCATTTGCTAAAGAGGGGATTATCTTTGTTTGTTTGCACTGCTATCAAGGAATACCTGAGGCTAGGTAGTTTATAAAGAAAAGAGGTTTATTTGGCTCATCATTCTGCAGGCTGTGCAAGAACCATGGCATCAGCATCTGCTCCTGGTGAGGCCTCAGGAAGCTTCCACTCATGGCGGAAGAGGAAGGGGAGCTGGTGTGTCACATGGTGACAGCAAGATGCCAGGCTCTTTTTAAGAATCAATTCTCACTGGAACTAACAAGAGCAAGACCTTACTCATTACCATGAAGAGAGTACATGTCATTCATGAGGGATCCACCCCCATGACCCAAACACCTCCCACCAGGTCCAACCTCCAACACTGGGGATCAAATTTCAACATGAGATTTGGAGGGACAAATATCCAAAGTATATCAGGAATTTAAGGCCAACTCAAGTGTTGTGAGTCCAAAAGGTTAGATAGTAGTTACACTTCATTTGGCAAAGCTTTATCACCTCTTTCCTCCATGTCAGAGTCTGTATTAAGTACTGGGGACACCAAGACAAGAAAAAGTATTCAAGACATTAAGAAGGCTTCTGTCTTATTGGAGGAATAATAAGGACAGTGCAAAGCACTGAGCAAAATGAAGATGGAAAAATGGCAGCGTGGATGCTAAGAGGGCAGAGGGAAAGTCACTAGATGTAACAGAAGAAGCCCAGCTAGAGAATAACATGGTCATCCGAGTTCCTGGCTTCATGGCAGGCACTAGGATGATGTGGTGTAGAATATGGCACAGAATGCAGATTCTGGAGCCTACTCTAGGCAAACACTGTAAGCATTCTCCTTTGATTCTGGAAAACAAGAATAATATTTTCCTTGCAGGGTAAGTGTGAAGATTGAAAAGAGAGAATGCATGAGAAAATACTAGCAAATGCCCAGCAGAACTATGGTAGCTATATTCAGTTTTACTGATATCCAAGTTACTCACAAGAGAAGCCAAGAAGTGAGAAGACACATTTTGCAATTTCACCTTAGTTGGGCCTGCTTAGCCTTGCTGGAAGAAGTGGTGATCTCTAGCCTGTGAACCTCCAAGTCTGTCTTGCCTATGACTATCAGAAATGACCATGTGTACAAGAAACTGAATCAAACGTTCCAGCAACAACCAGAGGGTGAGAGTTCTCTTGGTTGTTGGAAATCTGTCACACAGGGCATGAGAGACAAAGTTATCCTAGAAACCACAGGGCCCCTGAAAGGCTACATAAGCCTAAGATGAAATAAAGGATCCCTTCCTTCTCCACAGAAATAGCAGAGTGTCCATCAGCCCCATTTAAGCCAATACAGTGCTGAATTGCCTTATTCTAGCAGAAGACACTTTCTGTGACTAGTGGCCCTTTGTCCCTGGATCCTACAGGCATTTGAAGCTTATGAGAAACATCAATTTTCTTGGCTTGCTTCACTGGTCTATACCTGTGGAGGAGTGCCTGGGCCTACTAATTCCAGGTCATACTGTTTTTCTTGCCTGTGCTTCTAGTATTCTGCAATTTCCTCTGCTGGTGAATTGCAAGGGTATGTGTATGTGTCTGCTATGGACTGGATTATGTGCCCCCAAAATTCATATGTTGAAGCCCTAAACCCCAATGCTAATGCAACTATATTTGGAGATAGTCTTTAGGAGGTAATTAAGGTCAAGTGAGATCGCAAGGGTAGAGCTTCAATCGGATAGAAATGGTGGCCCTATAAGATGACAAAAAGAGATTTCTCTCTCACTCTCTCTGCACACACACTGAGGAAAGATCATGTGAGGGTCAGCGAGAGGGCAGTGGTCTGCAACTAGGATGAGAACTCTCACCAGAACCAGACCCTGATGGCATGCTGATCTTTGGAATTCCAGCCTCCAGGACCGTCAGAAAATAAAGATCAGTTGTTTAAGCTACTCAGTCTATGTATTTTGCTACAGCAGCCCAAACTAAGATAATGTCCACCTTCCTTTCCAAATTATTAGCTCCTTAAGGATGGAAACAATAATTTGTTTGCCTTGTTGCTCCAGCCTATAGTGTCTGACACATCTTTAATCTTTAAGAAATATTTGTTAAATAAAGGAATATTTTGTTGGATGCTTAGTCATGACTATATTTCAAAGTGTTTCTAAATTCTTCCCAGATCTCAGTACATATCCTCTTCCTGCCTAGGACTAAAGGATTCCCTCTTAACTGGAAAACTTCAATATTCTACACAGTTGCTGAAGAGGTAAAGCAAAAAGAGCTGGTCAAGCCTAGTTTTCAGTCAGTCAGTCAACAAATACGTACTCTGCACTTCCCACAGCCAGGCACTGATCCAGCCACTGAGAATGCTGCCTTAAAGACAATGGACAGAGTTCATGCCCCAAGGAGCTTAGCATGTGATGGGTGGTGCCAGACATAAAACATGTCAAAATACTGGATAATTTCAAATAATGCTAAGGACTATGAAGAAGTGGAATTAAGGTGATGTGGTAAAAGGAGGGGGCAGTGCTCCTTATCCAGAGTGTTGAGAAGGCTCTCTGAAAAAGCGACATTTGAGTTGCAACCTGAACAATGAGCGGGTGGTAGCCATATGAAGGCCCGGGGAAGAAAATGCCAAGCACTGAGACTAACAAATCCCAAGGCTCTGAAAGAGAACAGCTTGATGCATCCAGAGGACAGCAAGAAAATCAGCAGCTGGAACTTAAAAAATGAGAGGAAGAACGGAGGGAAGGCAGTGAGGGACAGGGAGGCAGGAAGGAGCTAGATAGTGTGAGTCTTACACACCCTAAGAACCGGTTCCAATTCTATTCCAGTTATAATGGGAAGCCACTGGAGATATTTGAGTAGAGGCATGTGATCATCTAATTTATGCTTTAGAAATATGACTCTGTCAGGCAGGAGAGGAAGAATATTTAGGAGGCTGTGGCCACAGTCAGGGAGAAGGTTGAAGGGGCTTAGGGTGGTTGCGATAGAAGTGGTGAAAAATGGCCAAATTGTGGGTCTATTTGGGAGCAGAGAATACTGGGTTTATAGACTAAACGTGACATTAGAGGGAAAGAAAGGAACTGATCATCACTTACACAGCTTTGGGCAAAAGTAATTGTGCGGATGTGGTACCATTTACAGCAACAAGGTGGGAGGCAGGGCTGGGAGAGATGGGGAGGAGATCACTGACTCTGAGAAAGTTAAGGCTGAGATATTTAGTAGACACCAGGCACAGATGTAGAGCAAGGAGGTGGGTACCTCAGTCAAGCATTTAAGGGAGAGGTTGGAGCCAGGTGAGTAAATTTGTTAGTCATCTGCATAAAGACCAGACTGGGGGGCTGGGCGCGGTGGAATCATGCCTGTAATCCCAGCACTTTGGGAGGCCAAGGCAGGTGGATCACCTGAGGTCGGGAGTTTGAGATCAGCCTGGCCAACATGGAGAAACCCATCTCTACTAAAAATACAAAATCAGCCTGGTGTGGTGGCACATGCTTGTAATCCCAGCTACTCGGGAGGCTGAGGCAGGAGAATCGTTTGAACCCGGGAGGTGGAGGTTGCAGTGAGCTGAGATTGCGCCATTGCACTCCAGCCTGGGCAACAAGAGCAAAACTCTGCCTCAGAAAAAAAAAAAAAAAAAAGACTGGATTGGAAGTCTTGGGGGGTAAATAAGAGCATGAGGGAGATGTATACAAAGAAAAGAGCAGATGACTAAGGAGAAATCCCTGAGGCACTTCCTTCCCTGGAATCAAGTACGAAAGAGGAGCTGCCAAGGTGCCCCGGAAGTGCAGCTAGTGAGGAGAAAACCAGCTAAGTGTGGCATCTCAGAAACCAATAGGAAATAAGAGTGTTTCTAGCTTAGTAAGATGAGGGTTCTGACAACATAGGAATTCATGGTTCCACTCTCTAGAAACAGCAGCACTAGAAGAGACTTTAGACCTCATGCTTAAAGGAAGAAACCAATAAAGGAAAAATTCCTGAACATATAAAACTCTTCTGTGTTAGGGCCCAGGGCAGACTCTAGGCTGCTAACTGCCAGCCCCAGATTCTGGACCTGTCTCACCTGCCTCCATGCCATGGTCAGCAAACACGCACGATGTCTGGGGACTTAGCAATGTTGGTTAGTTAGGAATCTTTTTGTGATATCCCCCTGTAGCCATAACATTGAGAAACAGACTAGATCTTTATCCTGCTGGTGTGAAGTCAGGCCTCTGTGACCAAATAAAAATGTCCATGGATCTTTAGAGAAGGCAAAGCAACACTGGGATTGCTAATGTGAGATGTTGGATGGACAGGCACCAGTTATGATGGAGCTGGGGAGGGGGGCTGGAGGTGGCCATTGACAGCTGCACACAGAGAAGCTACAGTTTACTGAGTTTGGAGTTTGGGTAAAAGAAGGAGAGAATGGGAAGCTATGGGATTATACATTTGATGAACTAAATATCCAAACCCAAATTTAGGACATATGACTCTAAAGCTTCTCCTAATAACCCTGCTCTGAATGATCCACGCCCTTTATGGGTCTCCCTGATAATTCTGTTTGTAAAATTGCATGGCCATCATCTACCTTTGCTCATTCCCTCCCTGAACTGTGCCTGGCCTAGCAGATACTCAGCAAATGATTATTGAACCAATCAATATTCAGTCAACTAGTAGGTTGGGATATTTGAAGTCAGTTTGTCCTTGAAAATCTGAGATTTGTATTCAGGCTAAGAATGTTGCTGTGGAATGTTCTATTAGAGAGGCTGAGATTTTCAAGGGCACTAAGCACACTAAGAATGTATCATCACATTATATAACTGGAACATTTTAGAACCAAATATATCTGTAGCGTAGCCAGGCATGAGAATCTAATGCTTAAGCAAAAGATAAGTACACACACACAAACAGACACATACACACAAACACACACATACACACAAACGTGTATATACATATATGTGTTCATGTGCATATATATAAATATACACACACAGAGAAAATATTTACTGTTTTACTGTCTTTGTGGATGAAGAAAATATATGTATTCCTAAAATATTCAATAACATTTATTAACAATATCATAATTCAACCTATGATTTGAATTATAATTTTTCTACCATTTAAAATTTTTCAACCATGTATAAGCAGGGAATACAATTAAAACATCTTATGCCTGTGAGATTTAAATACTTTCTAGATGGTTTTTCATATTTGAGTTATTTCAGCTTGCTTATTCAGATTTTAAATCCATTGAGAGAAGTATCTTTTTTTCTTACATAGCAATGAACATTCCCTATGTTCAACAAATAGGTATATTAATAAGGCTTTCCAACTGATATAGCCCTATTTCTTAGAGAATCCTTTGAGGGGATGGGGCGGGAGGGAAAGATAAGTCCATAGCTGTGAAGGCAGGAGCCTGAGGGATTTAAGGCTTGAAGATCATGATTTTGTCTCTGTAGTGAGAGGGGAGGCCACCTGCTGCAAGGGAATGTGGTGGAGTTAGAAAGAGACTTCAAACAAGCTTTGAAATGTCTGCTCACAGAGAAGAGGAAAAAAGTGTTCTGTAGGGACACACAGAAGAGCTAGAGTCTAATTTAAGAGTTAAGGGAGGATTTTGTTAACTTATCAAGATTTTCTCCATTGGAGTCTCAACATCTCGATCATAGCATGCCTCACAGTTAAAGTCTGCCTGAGAGGGTATAAACTCAAGAGGGCTGGAGACCCAAGGGTACAAAGAAGAGATTTATTGAAGATAGAGAGACATATTGATGTCTAGGCTAAATAAGAAATGAGATGAAGACAGGAAAGCGTTAAGACGGTAATATATGGATCAAAGGACTAAAAAGATTGTTAACACTGAATAATATTTTGGAAGACTTACTGTGCACCAAGCATCGCGTTAAGCATTTAATATACATTCTTTCATTTTGTCTTCGTAATAACCTTATGAAGTGTGTGTTATGATTATCTCTATTCTAGGCTCAGAGAAGTTAAATAAATTATCCAAGGTCATACTGCTAATAACACAATGAAAATAGGAAGCCTCGGCCCTCCCATCCATTTTATTATAAGACCACATGGAGAATGGCTATTATGGAATTAAGAAACTTGTAAGTGTAGAAAGCTGTGGTCGAGGTGTGAAATTTTGTGTGGAAAGGAGGGAAGGAGGAATTGGTGGAGGGGTTGACAAGATGGTGTAAAGGTTGGTAGCTGGATGGCATCATCCTCTAAGGACATGATTACTAACTTGGAGCAGAGAGATGGAAATTCTGAAATGGCATAAAGTAGAAGGATTTTTACTTCCAACATCACTTCTGGGTCCTTTTAGGCTTAGACAGGATGAAAATAAGAAGTATCCACTAGAGAAAAATGCCAACATAGATCTCTACTATACAGAATCACTTCTATTAGAATCTAACTACATAGATGTAAAGAGACACCATACAATGGAAATGAAGATTGCGTTTCTATGAAACATCACATGTAGATATATTTAATGTTTGCTTGGGAAAATCCTGCCCTCGAGCTTTCTTTTCTTTTTTTTTTTTTAATGTCTTTATTCTTTGTTCATCCCTTCGCCCTCTTTATTTTCTTTTTGGGACTCCTAATAGTTTACTTAATGTTATACTTCCATGATTCGACCTCTATCTTATTTTTTCCCTTCTTTTATTTCCATCAGCCTCTTTTATTTCTGCATTTTAAGATAGTCCCTTACATGTATTTAGTGAGTAAAAAATTGATTTGTCCATTTTTAGTGCATCTGGATTTTTATTTCATAAAAGATATTGTTTTATTTTGAGGTTATTAATTTCAGGCTTTGTTTTTTACTTTCATCCCCTGGACATATTTTCTCATTTTCTTCTGAGTTTTTTTCCCCATGCCTTTCTTATTGGGAAATTTTTTTTTGACTTTGCCTGCAATGGAGTTTTTTTTTTAATTTTATTATTATTATACTTTAAGTTTTAGGGTACATGTGCACAACATGCAGGTTTGTTACATATGTATACATGTGCCATGTTGGTGTGCTGCACCCATTAACTCGTCATTTAGCATTACGTATATCTCCTAATGCTATCCCTCGCCCCTCCCCCCACCCCACAACAGGCCCCGGTGTGTGATGTTCCTCTTCCTGTGTCCAAGTGTTCTCATTGTTCAGTTCCCACCTATGAGTGAGAACATGCGGTGTTTGGTTTTTTGTCCTTGAGATAGTTTGCTGAGAATGATGGTTTCTAGTTTCATCCATGTCCCTACAAAGGACATGAACTCATCATTTTTTATGGCTGCATAGTATTCCATGGTGTATATGTGCCACATTTTCTTAATCCAGTCTATCGTTGTTGGACATTTAGGTTGGTTCCAAGTCTTTGCTATTGTGAGTAGTGCCGCTATAAACATACGTGTGCATGTGTCTTTATAGCAGCATGATTTATAATCCTTTAGGTATATATCCAGTAATGGGATGGCTGGGTCAAATGGTATTTCTAGTTGTAGATCCCTGAGGAATCGCCACACTGACTTTCACAATGGTTCCTTTTCAATTTTAATTCTATCTCCCCTCAGAAAACTTACTTTCAATCCCTATTCAGTAATTTTCTGCTCCACAGGGCAGGTTCTATATTACTTATGCTAGTTCCTCTACCTGAAATGTCCAACCCTCAACAGTATTTATCCAAATTCTCTCTTGTTTGGACCAAATTCCATCTTCTGCAAGTTTTCTTTTCTTCTTTAAACAGAAGTATGTGTTAACTGGTATAAGAAATCCACAGTACTTTTATTTGTATACTTCAAATGTCTCTCCTGCCTATAGACGTGTCCACAGTTAGAAAACAATAACTCACCTTCATTGGAAACACATTTCCCAGCAGGCTTAGAATTGGTGCGTTTAGTGGATTATCTTCTCTAGACCTCATATATATCCTATGTGGAAGATAGCTGCTATCAGTTCCACTTCATAAATGACGAAACTGAGGGTCAAAGAGGTCGCTTTACTTTCCTAAACTCACACAACCAAACCGTGGGGAACTTAGAATTTAAGCATGGACATCATCATGCTGACGATTAGTCTTGTGTTCAATCCTAGGAAGTGGGAAGTATTTGGCAGTGGTTGACTGGTGGGAAAATGGGAATACAAGTGGTATATGTATCATATGTACACAAACGAAAAGATACTGTAAGCTGTACCATATTACAACAGCATCGCTAAAACCCCAGTCACAGTTAATGCATACATGTGCACGAATTTATGCATACATGACATATGAGCACTCTATGTAACTCTGCACATTTGGACTTTAGTTTCTAAAGTGTATTGCGTAGCCATTATAGGGTGGTACTGGACAACAGAAACAAAATAAGAGCCACATGTGTAATTTTAAATTTTCTAGATGCCATAGTCAAAAGTAAAACAAAATAAGTAAAATTAATTTTAGTAATATGTTTTACCTAATGCATCCAGATACTATCACTTCAACATGTAATCAATATGAAAATATTAATTAGAAATGCACATTTTTTTTTCATGGCAAGTGTTGAAAATCTGGTGTGTCCTTTACACTTACGGTTTCTTTTCATTCAGACTAGCCACATTTCAAGTGCTCAATAGCAACATGTGGCTCTTGGCTATCATATTAGACCACACTGTAATGGAATATGAGAGGTGGGAGGTGGGAAGGCTTATAGGCATGATCTACTTTATTTTTTTGTTTGTTTGTTTGTTTATTTGACAGAGTCTCACTCTCTCGCCCAGGCTGGAGTGCTGAGGCGAGATTTCGGCTCACTGCAACCTCTGCAATTCTCTTGCCTCAGCCTCCCGAGTAGTTGGGACTACAGGTGCAAATTACCACATCCAGCTAATTTTTGTATTTTTAGTAGAGATGGAATTTCACCATGTTGGCCAGGCTGGTCTCAAACTCCTGACCTCAGGTGATCCACCCACCTCGGCCTCCCAAGGTGCTGGGATTACAAACGTGAGCCACCGCACCAGGCCAGAATTATCTACTTTGATGCCATTATTTTACAGAGTAGACACTAAGGCTTAGAAAAGCTGAGCAACTTGTTAAATTCTACTCAGTTCTAATGCGAGATATATGCAGTTCCCTGTTCTGGCCTGTTCCTGCCTATTGTTCCATGTTTTAATAGAGGGATCAGGAGATGGGGGAGATAGAAGTTAAATCACATTCTTTAATACTTTTTGACACAGAAGCAACATAATGGTACCATGTGATATCCACTCTCATTTTGCAAAACAGGAAATTGAGAAAGAGAAATGGAGTTAGGCATTTAGAGAGAGTTTTACGCTCTTAAGCCATTGGATGGGAAACCTGATTTCTGGTAGGAGAGCTATGCTGTAAAAGGTGTCTGAACACAAGACTAAGCTGGAATCTTACCCTGAGATATGGCAATCCATTTTTCAGTTCAAGATGAATCCTCCCACTTCAAATACTCAGACGAAACCTCTCAAGTCAATATTGCCCTGCAGACATCTTGTGCCTATGCATAAGAGCTAAGTGATTTCTTTCTCTGGAGCTAGGTTTCTGCTCAAATCCAGGTTTTTTTTCCAAGTGAAACAACCACAGGGAGCCTTTCCTGCCTGGTCCAACTGGTGAAACAGAGCCAAAAATGTTTGTGATTCTATTTATAGCTGTCTAGTGGTTGAACAGACTGGGCTGAGAATTCCTGGGGTGAAGTATTTGGTGCCTGAAGTCTGGAATGCCAGTTTTACACAGCTTGTTTTTAGATGCAAGGATTTCCATAAAAACAAGGCCAGGCACATAGAACTTTTTCAGGAGCAAAGGGCAAGAAAATGTTTTTAAAAAGGGGAATAATCCTAGCAAAATAGTTTTATAGATTTTTTTTTGGAAAGCCATGCCATTTTCTCCCCTCCTTATTACTAGTTGGTAATGTGCAAAACAATGCTATCTCAAAAATAAGAAAATAGTGAAAGAGAACATATGCCCCTGTTGTGGGTTAAATAGGGACTCCCAGAGGATATGTCCTTTCAGGACCTCAGATGTAATTAAAGTAGGGATCTTGAGGTGAGATCATCCTGGAGGAGGGTGGGCCCTAAATCCAAAGATTAACGTGTTTATGAAAGACTGAGACAAAGAGAAGAAGGCCCTGTAAAGCTGAGCACAGATTGGAGTTTTGTAGCTGTGAGCCAAGGAAAGCCAGGAGAAGCAAGGAAGGATGAGTCTCTAGAGCCTGCAGAGGGAGCACAGCCCTGCCAACACCTGGATTTCTGAAGTCTGCCCTACAAACTGTGAGATAATCAATTTCTTTTGTTTTAAGCTACGCAGCTGTGGCAGTTTGTTATGGCAACCTTAGCAAAAGAATGCAACCATGTGAAACCTCACCACCATAACTCATCAAAACTGTGATTCTCCTTTCTGTATTTCTCACATGTACACAGATGTGATGTAGTGGTGTTGTGGGTTAGATTTCATTTTAATTTCAGTTAAAGGAGAGGAAGATTACTACTTATTGAGCTTGTTCAATGTCCCAGATACAGCAAGGACTCACTGTCATGGACTTGTCCTCTTTTGCCTTTCTGTGGATGGTTTTCATCCTCCTTGTCCCAAGAATCTTCCAGGGCTGGGAGGGTAGGTTTGGATGACGAGAAGATTACAATTCATTACAGAAGAAATGCGAAGAAAAAATTAACATTAATTTTTTGACTTTCAAGACCTAATTGTACAGTAATGCTATAGCCATGGGAGCTCAGCTGTTGTCTAGAATGTAAATTTTTCAAAATCCCTTTGTTTTTCCTGTTATTAACCCCACATTCATCCCTCAAATCTACACTTTTGAGCTGACCAAAAACCAAGCCTGAGCAATTCAACTCATAGAGTTCTCCCAGGGCAGAAACACCTCTTCTGTCCCCGATAAGTGGGAAACCCATTAAGTGGGAAAGTGACACATGCGATGTGATGGCAGAGAGAGGATATGATGTAGGGAAAACAGGTATTTAACCACTGGGACCCTCGGCAGTGTGAAGTATTGAGGGACAAGGGGTGACCAGAAGATGGGGAGATATTTGGGCAGAAGTACAGTTAGTGAGGGTAGCACATAAAAGGTCTGTCCTCGCTCCATGGCCATCTCAGAGCTACCCTGCACCAACCTGGAATGTAACAACATCAAGGTAATGTGAGGCTAGTGTGAGCAAGCCATGAGGTTGAGCTTTTTCAAGCTTCCCTAATAGTGTAGAGAAGGACCAGAAGCATGTTTGAGTCTGACTGGGAGCTTCTCAAAGGGGACTGGCTAAGTGGGAATGAGATGATTCTATAGGAATAGCTTTAGGACAGCTCATCAGGCAAGGATAAATAGTTGTCACAGGCAGAGTCTCAAGATGTCCACTACATCTGCAGGGGCAGACGTGAGTCCATGTAAGCCAGGAGCACCATGAAGCTCTGCCCGTTTTCGGAAAGCAGCTTAGCTATGAGTTACCTCAGCGACAACTCCAAATGCCACCAGGAAATAGCAACCAGGCAGCTGAGTGACATCTCCTGGGAAGTCAGCAGTGATGAAGGACACACTGAGTCCAAGGACCTCCCCTGGACCCTGAGGTCACATGAACCACTGCTGTCCACATGCACCCAAGCACATTTTTGAAGAAGTGGTTGGGAAGGTAGAAATGAATGAAAAGTAAAGGGGCAAAAACATTATCTTAAAAAAAAGTTATGGAGAGGAGCAAAACAAAAGGTATGGGCAAATTGGCAAATATCTGGGAGATGGAGAATTCTCTAAAAGATTGTTTAAACATCAGACACAACGGAGCTTTAAACAGCACTGGACTGAATGAAGTTAATTTCTTCCTGGTCCACAAGTAGGTAGAGGTTCCTGAAAAAGACCTTGTAAGTCTAGACAAAGAACCTGATTCCTCTGTGTATCTAAGCATGATGTAAGTGAATCTGAGGCTTTTATTACTTCAGTTTGTCCCCATAAAAGAGCTAGAGAGAAATATTTTCTATTTGCACTCAACTCTAAAAAATCATTTTTTACAACACAGAACACTCCTATAACACCAATCCCACAGAAAGATTATTTCCACATCCTTTATTTCACCCAGAAATTTAAATGTAAGCCAAAGCAATAATGTCATGCATCAAGCAGTTATCCTACATGTAATTAAGAGGCTCCAGAAGTTTTAAGTCTATATGCAAGGAGCTGGGCAGGGAATGCGCGCTGTTTGCTGGTAGAGGTTTCCTTTCTTGAGGAATCATTTACCATGGTGATCTTAAGACCAATTACCTTCTTTGCACTGATGATACCTTATCACTTTACAAAAAAACAAGCAAACGCCAATAATCTCATACAACTCGCTTGTGTATAAAAGCGTCTAAAGAATGGAGCCATCCATACAGTTACAGAAAAGATACTGATGCGTGATTTATTTTGCAATCTAGCTTCCTGCAGACTCTGATGAGGCCATTACACACATGCCTTCAGCACCTTGCACTTCATTTGCAGTATATTAATTTGTACATATTTATAGGGGTTTTGTAGCAATATTTCTGGAATCCAATTATATGTCTCCATTCTGTCTCCCCATTTAGGTGATGAGAGATCTTTTTAAAGGCAAAGACAGCAATTTCCTGGGGATCTATGAGTACACTGTTCAACTACAGTACAGGTAACTGAATTCCAAAAAAATCTGGTAAACAACAGTGTTCCAGGTTTTGTCTCCCAAACCTGTACAAAGCAATTTCATTTGTGTGATTTCTGAGAGGATCACTTAGCCAAGGCATCGAAATATAAAAGATGGCTTAGGGAATGATTTTCAGTGAGTCTTAGTCATTGCTTCCGCTAGGGGCCTTAATACGAGTGGGTAGGATAACTAGGGGAAATTATGTCCTTGTTACCTTTTATCTGCCTCTCTGCCTCTCATTCTCTCCCTAACAATCCCCTGTTGCCTCTTAAGAACACCCCACCACACACAGACATACACTCACACCTCAAAGTGCTGTCACTTGCATCTTTGCAAAGAGCACCCCGACCCCACCATACGCAGATACACTCTCACACACATTTCAGTCCCAACCTCAGGCATACTTCTGTTCCAAGATGCCCAACCTCTGATGCAAGTAATCAAGACTTCTATTCCCTGGTATTAGAGGTACAATAAATATGTATTTTAAGTATTTCTCAGTGAGGGCGTGGTGGCAATGTCTCAGACAGAGCACCAGACTTAAACATAGAAGTCCGAGGTTTGAATTGCTGCTTTTTAATTTATTAATTCTGCACCTCTGAAAAATTACTCTACATCCGCAATGATCTTGTCTTTAACTTTGGTGTCACAGCCATGAAAAGGCCCCTAAAAAATATTTGCTATTGTAGGGTAAATGACTAATAGACATGGTCTTTGTGGATGTGATCTGAAAGGCAACATTTTAAAAGGACAGCTTTTAAAAGTCAAACTGTAACCTAATTAATAAAAGTTGGAGAGAGGAAAAGATTTCTGAGTTCTGGAACAGTTTGGGGGCCTCTATTACCACCTTCAAGAAAAAGTAGCAGTGGCTCAGATTCATTTCAAGGTTAGAGACGTTTGAGTAAGTTTCCTATCCGACTGTTGTAAGGTGTGTTGTGCAGAACTGTGAACAAGTCTAGCAATCAAAATTCAAGATATTCCCCCAAAGAGCCTGCAATGATTCATACATGCCTCTCAATATTCAATTGCTTTTTAATTCAGTGGACGTGAGAAAATGTCTTAGAAATGTGAGATTGCGTAAGCACACATACACATATACATACACACACACAGTGTGCAGCCCTTTTCATCTTGAGAAACTGGCTTGCACTCACAAAATGGACTGCAATTGAAAAACTGACTTCGCTGAGCAGTAGGGGTTGAAGTATGGCGCACAAAAGCTTTCAGTTTGGAAAAATCCACATCTCTGACATTGAGCCAAAGAGTTGCCTCAAGTTGTGCACATATCCATCATGTTTTTTAGCCAGTGCTCAATTTATTCTGACAAACCCAATCAACATAGCCTTTACAGTGGAGTTTTTTTGGTGTTCAGAAGGTCAGCTTCAAATGCCTCCACATTTCTACAGCTGCTTCCATTATTCTTTCAGGAAAACAAATAACAACTTAGAAAAGGAGGATAATGTGCTGTGCTGCTAGAGCCTCAGGGGCTATCAGAGGAGAGAAACAGGGTGACAATCACCACTGACAGAGCCTAGGAGAGCTTGTAATTAAAAGGTGGAGCTTTGAGTACCAAAGAGAAACCACTGACAATGGATCCTCTGCAGGGAAGAGTTTGTCTTAGACGATCAAGTAGCAGCCTAATGGGGAACATTTGGAGCATTGAGGAATCTTTAATCTTTAATGAGGGACTGGGGCCCCAGGATCAATTTTAATTCCACCAAATTCATGAGACACAATTGCCAACTTTTAAAATGAAAACTTTTTATCTTTTTAAAGAACACCTCCCTCCAGAGGGAGTCACAATACCTATTTCTGATCTGAGAGCTGCCGAATGCAAAACTAGGTATCTTTAAAAAGTAATTGCTTCTTTAGCTGAGACTTGAAGGTGTAGTTCCTGGGAAAAAATAATCACCTTGAAAAGTTCCAAAAAGAAGATGAGAGTCTGAGTCCTAAATATAAAAAATAATGAAATAGATTTTAAAAAAAAAAAAACTCTGTGATTCCCATTCCCATGTGGGCACACAGAAGTCCTGAAATGTCTTCTCTGTCTTGAAACCACATTTCTCAGTCAAATTGCAAACGTTAGAGAAGTGGTCCGAGGGAATGCCACAGTAATACAATCAAAATAAAATAACATAAAATTATTTTCAAATCATTCTCAGAATGGAAGCAATTTTAGAAACACAATAAAAGTCAACAGTTAACATGGGAATTGCTGAGCACCAAATCAGAATTATTGACAGTGAGGCTGACTCAAACTTGAAGAGGCTGACATCCCAGCAAATGTGGGATTTCTAAAGTCAAGTCTCTGAATCAACCCAGGTCTGGACAAAGTGACTTCAACCAAGGCATTAATAGGTAATTCCTTCAAGTTGTGCACCTACCACTCCTTGTCTCCCCAGAAAGAGAGAGAGGGAGATTAAGGGGATTCAATTAGATTAATTTTAGAAACATAAATTCCCCAATGCCATATTAAAATAGTTACTAGGTGGGTCTTTTGCTGCAATAGAAGCTACAGAATAGAAAGAGGCACTAAGGCAATTCAGACCATGATGACAACTTGGACAAATGACTGCATTTAAGAACACCTGGGAAAACCACACACGTGACTCAGGTGGAGCTGTCCTTCCTGGACCCACCTTGCTACTAAGCACTGATCCCTAGGAGGCTAGTGAGTACAATAGTATATAGCACGTGCTATATTTTAAGAGGTATTGGGAAGACTTTTATGCCAACCTACAAAATGGAATACTATTTAGTCTTTCAAAAGAAAGAAAAATGGTCATTTTCAACAACATGGATGAATCTAGAGAACATTATGCAAAGTGAACTAGGCCAGACACAGGGAGACAAATGCCACATGATGTCACTCATATGTGGAATCTCAAATAGTTGAATTCATAGCAAAAGAGAGTAGAATCGTGGTTATCAGAGGTCGAAGCAAGATCAGTAAATGGATAAAGAGGAGACGTTGGTCAAAGGGTACACCATTTCAGTTAGAGAGGAGGAAGAGGTTCTCGTGATCTATTGTACAATATAGTGACTATAGTTAATAATCATGTATTGTATATTTCAAAATGGTGAAAAGAGTAGATTTTGAATGTTCCCACCCCAAGGAAATGATAAATATGTGAGGTAATAGATATGCTAATTGGCCTGATTTGATCATTCCACAATGGGTGCATGTATCAAAACATCACCTTGTACTCCAAAATATATGCAATTATGATTTGTCAATTAAAGATAAAGTTAAAACAATAGACACATCTTACATTTGTCTTTAATTTATACTCATTTAATGAGAGATAGAGTCTTTCATTCCACAGTTCAAGTAAGGGTTAAAAGCCACCTCTGCTAGGAGAGGAAATCCACTGAGTCTCTTCTACAATAAAGCACCCATTTATCAGACTCTGAGACTATCTGTGTTTGTTATAAGGAACAGTGTTCAGAGAATCAATGGCAACCAAGAAGACAAGTACCACAAGAGTGACTCTGAGGCTGGAAAAGGAATCAGAGGAAACAAGTGCATTCATGAAAGTCAAATTTCACCCACTTCTCAATTTTACATCTGTCAGGCTGTGCCTGCATGTGAAGGCCTCAGAAAAAGTTTCTGATCCTATGGAGAAAATGGAACACAAACCAGAGGCTCTGCAATGATTATATCCACTATTTGGATTTCTTTTAAATAGAGAATCCTGTGTAAATGTACAAGGTAATAAGTATGGGGAATAAAAAAGGATAATGAAGAGAATGCACATTATAAATATTAAGTCAACAGAAAAGCTTTTGTGAGTTTACGATAGTTGCAATCAGTCTAATACATAACTGTTAAATGATGATACCATTATGGAATAAGTGTTCTTAGTCACAGTAGCCTTGCTGCACTCCCATACTACCCTCTGTGCTGGCGGACTGCAGGATGCCCCTCCAGCCAACCTTCGGCCAGGTCCATGGCCAGGTGTCTGACTCTGCTGCTTCTTGGGCTGACCTGGCAATGGGAGGGACATATGCTGCAGACAGGAGCCTGGAGAAACATGGACCGGCCACTCTTCAGAAGGAATTCTTGCATTCAGCTTTGCTGGTTTTTTTTAGCTTTTTAAATTTCTTATCTATCACTGCTTTGCACAATTTTTAATCTAGTTATGAAAATTGGGGATATAAAGACTGTGCTCCAGTAAAGTTTCCCAGGGGTTTTTGAATGAGATTGGAGATGGTCTGTGAAATGGCAAAGCCTGGCTGGGGCTGATGTGCCCAGGTAGACTCCGAGACCCTTAGCCAACATCGGGATCTCCAGCTACCTAGCGCTCCAGCCTAGTGGAGAGTCTTGAGCTTTGGAATTACTACGACTCTTGGCCATGAAGGATATTTTCCTAACAATTCTTCATAAAGTTAGAATAGAAAGACAAAAATCTCATTTTTCTTGGGGTCAAAGTAAAGTTGGATTTTTCCAAAATAACTTTTCTACAAAAAATAAAGGGGGCAGAAGGGAAAGTGGGTGACAGAAGGCAAGAACACACACACACACACACACACACTCAAGAACACGCACAATGAAGTTACAGAGAACCTGTATCTGAGTTCCTGCCTGCTGGCTCTAACCCTCATATCTTTAAGGGTGAATACATGTCTCAAACTAACAAAATTAAGTCCTTTTGTTACACACACACACACACACACACACACACACATTCTTTGTATATATTCTATTGTACATTATTATACAGTGGAAAGATCTAGGAGAGAACACAAAGTGTGGAGATAACTTTTTAAAAAGGGTAAAAAAACTAACCCAAATAACTCCCTTGTCTGGTCCTCTCTCATTCTATTATATCCATCTTTCTTTTTTAAACTTTTATGTATGTATTTATGTATGTATGTATTTTTTTGAGACATAGGTCTCACTCTGTCACCCTGTGCAGTGGTGAGATCATAGTTCACTGTAGCCTCAAACCCCTGGGTTCAAGTAATCCTCCCACCTCAGCCTCCTGGATAGCTTGGACTACAGGTGTGCATCACCAAGCCTGACTAAGTTTTCTTGTTTTTTGTAGAGATGAAGTCTCCCTAAGCTGTCCAGGCTGGTCTTGAATTCCTGGGCCCAAGCAATCCTCCTGCCTCAGCCTCCTAAAATGTTGAGATTACAGGTGTGAACCACAGAACTAGCCCCTTATATCTGTCTTAATGTTCTGGATGACTTTGCAGAGGATGTGAAGGCTAGAATGGTAGCTCAGCAGAATCCAATAGGTCCATTTATTTAGTGATACTTGAAAAGGCACAGTTGCCAGTGGCTCCATCTTGATTGCACAGAGGCACTCTCATGATTCCACAGGTCACCTCTCTGCATTGTTCTCATCACAAATGCAGCACAAGCAGTGTCTGCTAATGAACAGACTAACAAAAAACATTTTTTGATATCTAGGTTTGGTTTGCCAAGTAATTTTAAAGATGTATCAGAAACTTGCCTTGATAGTTCTGGAAAGTTCTGGGAAGATCTTGGGATAGTTCCAGAAAAAAGAAAAAAAGGTTTTTGTCAACTTAGCTCCCTTTACTTAAAAAAAAAGTATAGAGGCCAGGCATGGTGGCTCATGCCTGTAATCCCAGCACTTTGGGAGGTCGAGGTGGTGGATCACCTGAGGTCAGGAGTTCAAGAGCAGCCTAGCCAACATGGTGAAACTCCATCTCTACTAAAAATACAAAAATTAGCGGGCATGGTGGTGCATTCCTGTAGTCCCAGCTACTTGGGAGGCTGAGGAAGGAGAATTGCTTGAACCTGCAAGGTGGAAGTTGCAGTGGGCCGAGATTGCACCACTGCACTCCAGCCTGGTTGATGGGGGAGACTCCATCTCAAAAAAAAAAAAAGAAAGAAAAAAGAAAAAAAAAAGATAGACTATACAGCAGCAGCAACTACAATAGAACAGGGTTCACAGGACTTGCATAAGAATTCATCAACTTTACAAACCAAATTTCCTAAACAGTTAAAAGAATGACTAAAGCTAGCTTAATCACAGTAAGAATTATTTTGTAAATATGTGTCAAATATGTCCAATATCTCTAGAGATCTGTGTCAAGGCAGCAGATAAAATAATCTATCTGTGGATAAAAGTGTAGCAAAGGTGCTAACTGGGCACATTGCTAAATGAGCAAAATTACCGCTAAAAGCCTTTTAAAAGAAAAGAGAAGATGGCTGAGGCTTTGATGTCACAATATAATGGAAAAAAAAGTCAAACTTTATGTGGAAAAAACATTTACATTTATTTTGGTTAGGTGACTTTCCAAATCTTGTTAGACAAATGGGAATGAAAGAAAAGCTCAGATTTTTTTGCACACTTTAAACATCTCAAGAATTTGTACAGAAAAGAATTATTCTAAAAAACAGTGTTTTAGTGATTTTATTCTTTTATTTTTTAAGCTACTGTATTGAAGTAGGATTGGCATACTAAAAGCTATAAATATTTCATGTACACAACTTGATGCATTTGGAGATAAATGTACACCTTTGAAACCATCATCACAATCTGTGCTCTTACCCATTCATCACCTCTGTGTTTCCTCTGCCCTCTTTTTTTATTCTTATTATTTTAATTGTGATAAAAGCACTTAACATAAGATCTGCCTTCTTAGCAAATTTTTAAGTATACAATACAGTATTTTTAAGTATACAATACAGTATTTTTAAGTTTAGGCACTCTGCCTATTAGATCTCTAGGATTTATTAGTCAAAGGATATAAGGTTTCAGTTATTCTTTTTTTAAATGACTTTACAAATGTTGGGATCATGAACAAGCAGCCTGGGCAACAAAGCGAGAATCCGTCTAAAATAATGATAATAATAAAATAAATAAAAATAAAGTGAACTCATTTCCTCTCTCTAAAATGGCCTTATACTCTTTATTTGATTGAAATTTAAACTTTTAAAGATATTTAAACCTGAAAAAGTTGGCAGGTCATTAAGGTTGTCAAATTTACCAAATAAAAATACAGGATGCTCAATTAAATTTGAATTTTGGATAAATAACAAACAGATTTTTAGTATAAGTATGTCCCAAATACCTGCATACTTATTGTACGCAGGTTAAAAGAGTTGTTATCTGAAATTCAAATTCAATTAGTCATCTGGTACTTTATCTGTTAAACTTAGAGGCCATAAAAAAATTCATACCTGCACCAAATGGCGCACTGTTCTAGCGGGTGAACATTCAATAATATAGGGTATCCAACAAAAGTTATGCTAGGTTATCAAGGGCAAAGAGTAGGAAAAATAATTAAACATTTAGTCTTCCTAATCATTGTGGCTGAGAGGGACATCACACATACACAGTCAATGTGGCTATCAGGAGACTAGAGAAGCCAAATACTTCAGACCATTTGGCTGTCCCAGTTTTCTCACTGGGTCAAATAGGGTCATCCCTTTAAGACAATATATCATTAACTCTATCTAGTACCAAGGTAAAGATTGTTTTCAAACCTAATACACAGGTATGTTCTTCCTTCATAAGAACAACCTGGCAAAGTTGTGGCAAGTTTAGCCTCTTCCCTAGAAAAGCTATCTGCTAGAGGAGGGCTATTAATATTCTCTCCATTTCTCCATCCCCAGGATATGTGAGCTAAGTCAAGAGGATTGGAGGGAATGTGTACAATATACTACCAGATTTAGAGGAGGAGCACTGCCGTGCATATGCTCAGAAGGAGCAGAGATCATTTCCATTCTAGCAGCTCTGGAAACCTCACATATAAGCCATATTTCATGAGACCAAAATGACTGTCCCAGTTTCCCTAGGGAAGATATTTAAAAGATACCAAAGTTTTCTCTGAGTAAAAAAAGGGTATGAGGAGGCAAAGTCAAACCTTATCTACTTGTTCCTGTGTCAGATTCTTCATGAGTGTATAACTCTTGGGATGAAACTGGAGAAGTTTTGGAATTTGAAGATACCATGGAGGCCATGTTCTATTCTGAGCTATGAGGTGCAGGTGTAAATTCCTTCGCAGCTTTAGAATTCCTGTACATTTCTCCATGGCTGCCTTCCCAGTGTGTTTAACCAAGCACATGTCTGTGCCCACACACTAGATAAGAACTGATCCCAAGCAGTCGAGAAGCTTTCATCTGCCTTTTGTTTCCACGGTGGCAATGAAGAACAAAGAAAGCCGGGAACTATGCCTAACTATGAGTAACCACAGATGATCTTCAGTAACTGTTCTCATCTTTCCATTGTGGAGGAGATGTCTCATACTGAAGCATGCTTTGCCTACAAAAATAAATACATATTTGACACTTGGAAAACCATATTTCTTTAGAAATATGTCAGTGACCAGTACATCCTGAAGCTAGCATGGTGGGGAATATCCCATGGATAATTTATTGAGTCACTAAATAAATACTTCTTTAGCGCATATCAAGTGACAGATATTGTGCTAAATGTTAATCATACAATGATGAAACAAAGATACAAGGTCTCTGCCATCACAAACTCCGTCCAGAGGGAAGAGACAGTAAAATGATAATTACTGCCCATTGCGATGAGTGCTACAGTTGTACAGAGCCCGGTGGAGAGAGGAAGCGAGCCCAGCCTGGAAGCATTCTATAGAAAACTCCCCAAAAGATGCCCATTTAAGCAAAAAGTTGAAAATTGAGTAGAAATCTACAAAGTGAAGAGTGTGCGTCTGTGTGTTTGTGTGTGTGCAAAAAAAAAAAAAGGAGTAAGGTCAGTGTTCCAGGAAAAAAAAACTATGCAAAGGCTCATAAGAAATGAAAATAATTTTAGTAAGGATGCAGTTTAAACCAAGGTTGATAATTTTTAAGAGGTGAAGCTGGAGAGGAAAATAGAAACCAGAAACCAGATCCCAAAAACATTTCCAGCAATATTAAGTTTAAACTTTCTCCTGAGGACAATACTGAGATTATGAAGGTTTTTAAACCAGGGTAATGGCATAATGAGATTTGTATTTTATAAAAATCTCTATAGTTGCCAAGTAGAAAATAGGTTGAAGAGGGAAACCATTTAGGACACTCTAAGCTTATAGTAGAGAAATGGATAAGCTTAAAGGTATAGATGCCATTTTAAAAAAATATTTGAAGGGAAAGAATTTGATTAGATGGAATAAAAAAGAGAAAATCATTTAACCTAAGCAAGCAACCTAGCACCCAAATGTTGGTTTCTAATATCATTCTCCAGAAAAAAAGGACTGGAACTCCTTTCAGAAATGGTTATTTCTAGGACTGAGGCAGGAAATTTACAAAATGAGCCTTGAGCATCTTGTTGTGCTGGAAAATAAGGAAGTACAGAAAAAACCACACACACCCACACACACAGTGATTTGAGTATATCAAAGGCACATGGGAGCCAACAAAAAGAGTTCCCAATAGCAAAATCTAGAGCAATTTGAACAATAAAATAATCACAGTAGAATTAGATTATAGTATAAACTATAAAATAAATATATCCATGAGTTTATTCAAATATAAATGACTGAATAAACAAAGAGGATAGATAAACCTCACATGCAGAATTATTTTGAATAATTTATGTAGATACTCCACCCTCAAGGAGGTGAAATATAACTCCCCACTCCTTAAGGCTGGGGTGTGCATAATGAATTCCTTCCAAAGAGTACAGGATGACTAAGAGTGACCAAGATGATCAACAGCCAGGTGACCAAAGTCAACATCAGCAGCAATAAATCATGGTAATAGTATGCACACTTGATATGATGTGATGAAAATGGGACTTTCCCTCTGTGGTCTTTCTCTCAAAAACACATATCCCAGTCTAATCCTGAGAGAAACATCAGGAAAATTCCAGTCGAGGAGCATTCTCCAAAATATCTGACCAGTGCTTTCAAAACTATTAAATCGCCAACAACAAGGAAAGCCTATGAAACTGTCACAGCCAAGAGGAGGAGTCTAAAAATAGGTGATGAATAAATTTAATATAGTATTCTATATGGGATCCTGAAACAGAAAAAGGACACTCAGTAAAAATTAAGGAAATCTGAATAAACTATGGACTTTAGTTAATAATAATGTAAAATATTCTCTCATTAATTGTGACAAATGTGAGATGTTAATAACAGGAGAAGCTGGTTGTGGCATATATAAAAACTGTGCTATCTTCACCATGTTTCAGTAAATCTAAAACTATTCTAAAATAAAATGTTTATTTAGAAGATAAATAAGACATGGATAGGAATGAAAATTTTAAGTTATTGAGATAAGAAAGAACCTAACTTTACTAAGCAAGCAGTATTTGAGGGCAGAATTAAGGTTTTAGGAAAAACCATGACATAATCAATATTGTGTTTAAGGAAGTTTTGTTTGATGGATTAGAGAGAAGAATATATAAAACTAAATAGAACACACAGAAAATATAGGTCCATTGCAGTGATGGTCTTTATTTGAATAAACATTTGTAAAAATGGAGAAGAAAATATCTATAGAAGAGAAACTTTATGTCCAGCCATATTGTTGCCTGGGGAAAAGAATTCTTAGCCTAAAAACTGGAGCACCTTAGGATGAAAGTATTCAAGGAAATGCCTGATTGAGATATAACTGAAATGCTTCAAGTTTGGATGTAACATCTCCAACACTGGCTGAGATTCATACAGAGAGGTGAGCTAAATACAACTGAGTGATAATTCATGGCAGGTGCAATTTTCATATGAGATACAAATGCATTAAAACCAAAATTATCTTTGAATAAACTTAAATCATCCATAAAGTATAGTATTCACAGTTGTATGTATATAACCATATACAGTAATATGTATATATAATGTATATAGCAATGTAACAATAATACAACAAAGTGATACACAGATAATACACTTATTTACCACTAGAATCATAATCTCCTTATTGTGAGTTATTCACACCATAATAGATAAGCATCTCCTTTGTAATAATTTCACACAAAGAAGTGTCTCCATTATAAACTACTAATATATAGGTCCTAATATATATTATAAACCATTAATATATAGAAATCAGTGAGGACTGGTTTTGTTGTGTTTTCAATTTTATATATTCTGAAAATTTTTGCTTTTTAAGTGTTTAATTCACTTATAATTAATGTAACTACTAAGATGATTAAATTTAGGATTTCCATTTTCACTACTTGTTTTCTGTTTATCTCATCTATTTTTTGCTTCTCTGTTCCTCTCTTCGTGCTTTTTTTCATGTAATTTAATTTTTTAGACTATCATTTTTATTTATCAGTTACCTTTTTAGCTATATTTCTTTGTATTTCATGGTGGTTTCTCTAAGTATTATTGTAAACATACTTTAACTTTTTATTCTACTTAGAATTAATATTGTATCACTTTCCATAAAGTATAAAAACCTTACAGTCTTATTCTTTATGTGATAGTTGTCAATTTTATTAATATTTAATCAACTTTATAGTCGATTATATAGTTGACAGTGTAATTTATATTAACCAATTTAAAATAAGAAGTATCCATTTAATAAATTGTATTTATTGTTGTCAATTTAATTTAATTTGTCTAGAGGCAAATAAGGACATTTCATTATGATAATACAGTCAATTCATCAGCTATAAACATATATGTACCTAAGAATAGAGCCCCAAAAGTACATAAAGCAAAAGCTGATAGAATTTAAAGGAGAAATAGATCATTCAACTGTAATAGTTAGAGACTTCACTACTCCACTTTCAATATGGATAGAACGATTAGCAAAAGATCAACAAGAAATAAAAGGCTTGAACAACATGATAAACCAAGTAAACCTTAGAGACATCTGTAGAACACTTCACTCGTAAAAAACAGTATACATATTCTTCTCAAGTGCACATGAATCATTCTCTAGGACAAATCATATGTTTGGCCATAAAACATGTCTTAATAAATTGAAATGGATTAAAATCAGATAAGTATATTCTTTAACCATAATGGAACAAAATTAGAAATCAGTAAAAAAAAGAAATTTGAGAGTCTGGGGGGAGGAGCCAAGATGGCCTAATAGGAACAGCTCCGGTCTACAGCTCCCAGCGTGAGCGACGCAGAAGACGGGTGATTTCTGCATTTCCATCCGAGGTACCAGGTTCATCTCACTAGGGAGTGCCAGACAGTGGGCGCAGGTCAGTGGGTGCGCCCACCGTGCGTGAGCTGAAGCAGGGCGAGGCATTGCCTCACTTGGGAAGCGCAAAGGGTCAGGGAGTTCCCTTTCCGAGTCAAAGAAAGGGGTGACAGACAGCACCTGGAAAATCGGGTCACTCCCACCCGAATACTGCGCTTTTCTGACGGGCTTAAAACACGGCGCACCACAAGATTATATCCCGCACCTGGCTCGGAGGGTCCTACACCCACGGAGTCTAGCTGATTGCTAGCACAGCAGTCTGAGATCAAACTGCAAGGTGGCAGCGAGGCTGGGGGAGGGGCGCCCACCATTGCCCAGGCTTGATTAGGTAAACAAAGCAGCTGGGAAGCTCGAACTGGGTGGAGCCCACCACAGCTCAAGGAGGCCTGCCTGTCTCTGTAGGCTCCACCTCTGGGGGCAGGGCACAGACAAACAAAAAGACAGCAGTAACTTCTGCAGACTTAAATGTCCCTGTCTGACAGCTTTGAAGAGAGCAGTGGTTCTCCCAGCACGCAGCTGGAGATCTGAGAACGGACAGACTGCCTCCTCAAGTGGGACCCTGACCCCTGACCCCCGAGCAGCCTAACTGGGAGGCACCCCCAAGCAGGGGCACACTGACACCTCACACGCAGGGTATTCCAACAGACCTGCAGCTGAGGGTCCTGTCTGTTAGAAGGAAAACTAACAAACAGAAAGGACATCCACACCAAAAACCATCTGTACATCACCATCATCAAAGACCAAAAGTAGATAAAACCACAAAGATGGGGAAAAAACAGAACAGAAAAACTGGAAACTCTAAAAAGCAGAGTGCCTCTCCTCCGCCAAAGGAACGCAGTTCCTCACCAGCAACGGAACAAAGCTGGATGGAGAATGACTTTGACGAGCTGAGAGAAGGCGGCTTCAGACGATCAAATTACTCTGAGCTATGGGAGGACATTCAAACCAAAGGCAAAGAACTTGAAAACTTTGAAAAAAATTTAGAAGAACGTATAACTAGAATAACCAATACAGAGAAGTGCTTAAAGGAGCTGATGGAGCTGAAAACCAAGGCTCAAGAGCTACGTGAAGAATGCAGAAGCCTCAGGAGCCGATGCGATCAACTGGAAGAAAGGGTATCAGCAATGGAAGATGAAATGAATGAAATGAAGCGAGAAGGGAAGTTTAGAGAAAAAAGAATAAAAAGAAATGAGCAAAGCCTCCAAGAAATATGGGACTATGTGAAAAGACCAAATCTACGTCTGATTGGTGTACCGGAAAGTGATGGGGAGAATGGAACCAAGTTGGAAAACACGCTGCAGGATATTGTCCAGGAGAACTTCCCCAATCTAGCAAGGCAGGCCAACGTTCAGATTCAGGAAATACAGAGAACGCCACAAAGATTCTCCTCGAGAAGAGCAACTCCAAGACACATAATTGTCAGATTCACCAAAGTTGAAATGAAGGAAAAAATGTTAAGGGCAGCCAGAGAGAAAGGTCGGGTTACCCTCAAAGGGAAGCCCATCAGACTAACAGCAGATCTCTCGGCAGAAACCCTACAAGCCAGAAGAGAGTGGGGGCCAATATTCAACATTCTTAAAGAAAAGAATTTTCAACCCAGAATTTCATATCCAGCCAAACTAAGCTTCATAAGTGAAGGAGAAATAAAATACTTTACAGACAAGCAAATGCTGAGAGATTTTGTCACCACCAGGCCTGCCCTAAAACAGCTCCTGAAGGAAGCGCTAAATATGGAAAGGAACAACCGGTACCAGCTGCTGCAAAATCATGCCAAAATGTAAAGACCATCGAGACTAGGAAGAAACTGCATCAACTAACGAGCAAAATAACCAGCTAACATCATAATGACAGGATCAAATTCATATATAACAATATTAACTTTAAATGTAAATGGACTAAATGCTCCAATTAAAAGACACAGACTGGCAAATTGGATAAAGAGTCAAGACCCATCAGTGTGCTGTATTCAGGAAACCCAACTCACGTGCAGAGACACACATAGACTCAAAATAAAGGGATGGAGGAAGATCTACCAAGCAAACGGAAAACAAAAAAAGGCAGGGGTTGCAATCCTAGTCTCTGATAAAACAGACTTTAAACCAACAAAGATCAAAAGAGACAAAGAAGGCCATTACATAATGGTAAAGGGATCAATTCAACAAGAAGAGCTAACTATCATAAATATATATGCACCCAATACAAGAGCACCAAGATTCATAAAGCAAGTCCTGAGTGACCTACAAAGAGACTTAGACTCCCACACATTAAGAATGGGAGACTTTAACACCCCACTGTCAACATTAGACAGATCAACGAGACAGAAAGTCAACAAGGATACCGAGGAATTGAACTCAGCTCTGCACCAAGCAGACCTAATAGACATCTACAGAACTCTCCATCCCATATCAACAGAATATACATTTTTTTCAGCACCACACCACACCTATTCCAAAATTGACCACATACTTGGAAGTAAAGCTCTCCTCAGCAAATGTAAAAGAACAGAAATTATAACAAACTATCTCTCAGACCACAGTGCAATCAAACTAGAACTCAGGATTAATAATCTCACTCAAAACCGCTCAACTACATGGAAACTGAACAACCTGCTCCTGAATGACTACTGGGTACATAATGAAATGAAGGCAGAAATAAAGATGTTCTTTGAAACCAACGAGAACAAAGACACAACATACCAGAATCTCTGGGACGCATTCAAAGCAGTGTGTAGAGGGAAATTTATAGCACTAAATGCCCACAGGAGAAAGCAGGAAAGATCCAAAATTGACACCCTAACATCACAATTAAAAGAACTAGAAAAGCAAAAGCAAACACGTTCAAAAGCTAGAAGAAGGCAAGAAATAACTAAAATCAGAGCAGAACTGAAGGAAATAGAGACACAAAAAACCCTTCAAAAAGTTAATGAATCCAGGAGCTGGTTTTTTGAAGGGATCAACTAAATTGATAGACCGCTAGCAAGACTAATAAAGAAAAAAAGAGGGAAGAATCAAATAGACGCAATAAAAAATGATAAAGGGGATATCACCACCGATCCCACAGAAATACAAACTACCATCAGAGAATACTACAAACACGTCTATGCAAATAAACTAGAAAATCTAGAAGAAATGGATAAATTCCTCGACACATACACTCTCCCAAGACTAAACCAGGAAGAAGTTGAATCTCTGAATAGACCAATAACAGGATCTGAAATTGTGGCAATAATCAATAGCTTACCAACCAAAAAGAGTCCAGGACCAGATGGATTCACAGCTGAATTCTACCAGAGGTACAAGGAGGAACTGGTACCATTCCTTCTGAAATTATTCCAATCAATAGAAAAAGAGGGAATCCTCCCTAACTCATTTTATGAGGACAGCATCATTCTGATACCAAAACCAGGCAGAGACACAACAAAAAAAGAGAATTTTAGACCAATATCCTTGATGAACATTGATGCAAAAATCCTCAATAAAATACTGGCAAAACGAATCCAGCAGCACATCAAAAAGCTTATCCACCATGATCAAGTGGGCTTCATCCCTGGGATGCAAGGCTGGTTCAATATACACAAATCAATAAATGTAATCCAGCATATAAACAGAGCCAAAGACAAAAACCACATGATTATCTCAATAGATGCAGAAAAAACCTTTGACAAAATTCAACAACCCTTCAGGCTGAAAACTCTCAATAAATTAGGTATTGATGGGACGTATCTCAAAATAATAAGAGCTATCTATGACAAACCCACAGCCAATATCATACTGAATGGGCAAAAACTGGAAGCATTCCCTTTGAAAACTGGCACAAGACAGGGATGCCCTCTCTCACCACTCCTATTCAACATAGTGTTGGAAGTTCTGGACAGGGCAATTAGGCAGGAGAAGGAAATAAAGGGTATTCAGTTAGGAAAAGAGGAAGTCAAATTGTCCCTGTTTGCAGACGACATGATTGTATATCTAGAAAACCCCATTGTCTCAGCCCAAAATCTCCTTAAGCTGATAAGCAACTTCAGCCAAGTCTCAGGATACAAAATCAATGTACAAAAATCACAAGCATTCTTATACACCAACAACAGACAAACAGAGAGCCAAATCATGAGTGAACTCTCATTCACAATTGCTTTAAAGAGAATAAAATACCTAGGAATGCAACTTACAAGGGATGTGAAGGACCTCTTCAAGGAGAACTACAAACCACTGCTCAAGGAAATAAAAGAGGATACAAACAAATGGAAGAACATTCCATGCTCATGGGTAGGAAAAATCAATATCGTGAAAATGGCCATACTGCCCAAGGTAATTTACAGATTCAATGCCATCCCCATCAAGCTACCAATGCCTTTCTTCACAGAATTGGAAAAAACTACTTTAAAGTTCATATGGAACCAAAAAAGAGCCCGCATCGCCAAGTCAATCCTAAGCCAAAAGAACAAAGCTGGAGGCATCACACTACCTGACTTCAAACTATACTACAAGGCTACAGTAACCAAAACAGCATGTTTGGTACTGGTACCAAAACAGAGATATAGATCAATGGAACAGAACAGAGCCCTCAGAAATAACGCCGCATATCTACAACTATCTGATCTTTGACAAACCTGACAAAAACAAGCAATGGGGAAAGGATTCCCTATTTAATAAATGGTGCTGGGAAAACTGGCTAGCCATATGTAGAAAGCTGAAACTGGATCCCTTCCTTACACCTTATACAAAAATCAATTCAAGATGGATTAAAGACTTAAATGTTAGACCTAAAACCATAAAAACCCTAGAAGAAAACCTAGGCATTACCATTCAGGACATAGGCATGGGCAAGGACTTCATGTCTAAAACACCAAAAGCAATGACAACAAAAGCCAAAATTGACAAATGGGATCTAATTAAACTAAAGAGCTTCTGCACAGCAAAAGAAACTACCATCAGAGTGAACAGGCAACCTACAAAATGGGAGAAAATTTTTGCTACCTACTCATTTGACAAAGGGCTAATATCCAGAATCTTCAATGAACTCAAACAAATTTACAAGAAAAAAACAAACAACCCCATCAAAAAGTGGGTGAAGGACATGAACAGACAATTCTCAAAAGAAGACATTTATGCAGCCAAAAAACACATGAAAAAATGCTCATGATCACTGGCCATCAGAGAAATGCAAATCAAAACCACAATGAGATACCATCTCACAGCAGTTAGAATGGCAATCATTAAAAAGTCAGGAAACAACAGGTGCTGGAGAGGAAGTGGAGAAATAGGAACACTTTTACACTGTTGGTGGGACTGTAAACTAGTTCAACCACTGTGGAAGTCAGTGTGGCGATTCCTCACGGATCTAGAACTGGAAATACCATTTGACCCAGCCATCCCATTACTGGGTATATACCCAAATGACTATAAATCATGCTGCTATAAAGACACATGCACACGTATGTTTATAGCGGCATTATTCATGATAGCAAAGACTTGGAACCAACCCAAATGTCCAACAATGATAGACTGGATTAAGAAAATGTAGCACATATACACCATGGAATACTATGCAGCCATAAAAAATGATGAGTTCATGTCCTTTGTAGGGACATGGATGAAATTGGAAATCATCATTCTCAGTAAACTATCACAAGAACAAAAAACCAAACACCACATATTCTCACTCATAGGTGGGAATTGAACAATGAGATCACATGGACACAGGAAGGGGAATATCACACTCTGGGGACCGTTGTGGGGTGGGGGGAGGGGTGAGGGATAGCATTGGGAGATATACCTAATGTTAGATGACGAGTTAGTGGGTGCAGTGCACCAGCATGGCACATGTATACATATGTAACTAACCTGCACAATGTGCACATGTACACTAAAACTTAAAGTATAATAATAATAATAAAAAAGAAATTTGAGAAATCCAAAAATAAGTAGAAATTGAACCACACACTCTTAAATAACCAATAGATCAAGTTACAAATAAAAATGGACAGCAAAAAATATACTGAGATAAATGAAAATGAAAACGATATATCCAAACTTACAGGATGCAGCAAAAGGAGTACTTGAAGGGATATTTATAACTATAAATAAAACATTTAAAAACATAAGAAAGATCTCAATTCAATAACTAAACTTCTATCTTAAAAACTAGAAATAGAGCAAAATACTCAATGAAAAAACTCAATGAAAGCAGAAGGAAGGAAATAATACATTAGAATAGAAGAAGATGAAATAGATTATAGAAAAACAATAATGGAAGTCAACAAAACTGAAAGTTGATTATTTGAAAAGATCAACAAAACTGATAAATATCTAGCTAAATTGACAAGAAAGAGATAACTCACAAATTACTAAACTAAAAAATGAAAGAGAGGACATCACTAATGATCTTACTAATGATCTTACAGAAATAGAAAGGATTGTTAGTTAATACTATGGAAAATTGCATGCCAATAAATAAGACAACCTACTTAAAACAGATAAATTCATAGAAGAAAGAAACTACCAAAACTGACTCAGGAAAAAATAGAATGTGTGAGTAGACTTATAACAAGTAGAGACACTGACTTATAAATCAAAAATATTTCATACAAAAAAAGAGTCAGACTGGATGGCTTCATTGGTGAATTCTACTATTTTAAGAAAAGTTAACACCAATCCTTCACAAAGTCTTTCTAAAAACAGGAAAAGAGGAAATGCTTCCCAACTCACTCTATAAGTTGCTGTCATATAAATGAGCCAAAGATGGCCCCTGTATGTTGGCCCCGGGTTGGTTCCTCCTTCATAGCAGGCTGAGATCTGTTAGCACAAAATCCACCAGAACCAAATTCAAATTTTTTATGCATTCATTTGTATTAAATAGAGCCAGGTAAGCAGATTTTTGTCACATTGAGCCTGCCTGTTTTGCATAACCTGTGAAACTGTGCTCAACATCTGCTAGTCATAGGCAAAATAAATCTTGTAGCTATAAAAGATGCAAAGCCACCACTGCCTTCATGGCTCTCTAGCCCAGAGACTCCCTGCCATGCTGCTGAGCACCATTACCTATACAGTCAAGTCCCCTCTCTGATTATCTTCTCCTTTAGAAGTTTCCTGAACCTCCTCCTGTTCTGGATAGTGGTCCTCACACTGTAGCCTGTGAAATGCATGCAATGAGGCACTTCCCTTGCATACAAGCCTATCAAAGCATCACATACATAAAGCTCATGTGTGCTGCTGGTCATATCTTTTTCATTGTTTAACCCTGAAATTTCACAAATTCACTATAGGTCTGTATTACCCTGATACCAACACCATATAAAGTCATCACACAAAAAAAGAAAACTACAGACCAACATTTCTAATAAAAATAGACATCAAAATTCTCAACAAAATGCTAGCAAACTAAATCCAGAAACCTAAAAATGATAATGCACTATAACCAAGTGGAAGTTACACCAGGAATGCAAGGTTGGTTTAACGTATGAAAATCAATAAATGTAATTCATGGAATAAATTAAAGATAAAAATCGCCTGATCATCTCAATGGATAAAGAAAAGGCATTTGACACAGCACAACACCCTTTCATGCTGAAAACACTCAACAAACTGTAATAGAAAATTCCTCCTGATAAAGAGTATTTAAGAAAAAATCCACAGCTGACATCATACTTCATAGTGATAATTAAAAGCTTCCTCCCTAAGATCAGAAATAAGACAAGTATGCCCATGCTTGCCACTTCTATTCAAGATTGTGCTGGAGGCTCTGGCCAGTACCGTTAGGAAAGAAACTTAAATAAAAGGCATCCATATTGGAAAAGAAGTAGTAAAACTCTCTATTGGGAGATAACATGATGTTGTATTTAGAAAATCCTAAGGAATACCTACACACACACACACACACACACAGCACATAAAACCATTAGAGCTAGGAAATATGTTCTGCAAGGTTGCAAGATACAAGATTTATATTTAAAATACAATTATATTTCTACATATTTACAATGAGCAATCCAAAAATAAAATTAAGATAACAATTCCACTTGCAATTGTGTAAAAAAATTAGGAATAAGTTTAACAAAACACATGCAAGACTTACACACTGAAACCTATAACATATTGTTGAAAGAAAACCTAAATAAATGAAAAGTCATTTTGTGTTCATAAATTGGAAGGCTTAATATTGCTGAAATGGCAATATTCCTCAAAATTATCTACAGAGTCAACACAATCCCTACCAAAATCCTAGCTGCCTTTTTGGAGAAATTGACAATGTGGCTCTAAAATTCATATGAAAATTTAAAAAAACCCAAAACACCAAAAAAGTCTGGAAAAAAAAAAAGAACAAAATTGGAGAACTGACACTTTTTGAGTTTAAAACTTACTACAATGCTACAGTAATCAAGATTGTGCGGTGTTGCAGAAAAAAAAAAGACATATGAATTAATGGAATAGAATTGATAGGCCAGAAATAGACCCATACATTTATGGTCCATTGAGTTTCAGCAAAGGTGCCATGACAATGCAATAAGAGAAGTCTTTTCAACAAATGGTACCATTACAACTAAATTCCACATGCAAAAGAATAAAGTTGGATTCTTACTTCAAATCACATACAAAAATTAAGCCAAAATGAATCAAAGACATAAATGTAAGAAGTAAAACTATGAAACTCTTAGAATAAAATTTTGAGGTAAATCTTTGTGACAATTAGATTAGGCAATATTTCCTTCAATGTGATAAAAAAATGCAAACAACAACAACAGAAAATATATAGAAATGGAACTTAATTAAAATTTAAAATGTCTGTGCTTCAAATGCTATGGTTAAATTGAAAGATTGTCCACAGAATGAGAGACAAAATTGAAAATCATATATCTGATAAGAATCCAGTATCCAGACTACATAAAAATCTATTACAACTCAACAATAAAAGGCAAATAACTCAATTGAAGACCAAGTAAAGGATATGAATAGGTATTTCTCCCAGAAGAACTACAAATGTTCAATAAACACATGAAAAGACACAATCTCATTAGCCATCAGGAAAAAAGTAAATCAAAGCCACAGTGACTTACTATGTCATATTCTAGGATAGGCAGAATAAAGAAGGTAGATAATAAGTGTTGACAAAGATGTATACGAATTGGAACACTTATACATTGCTGGTGGGAATGTAAAATGGTGCAATCACTTTTGCAAACACTTTGCAATTACTTAATAAGTTAAATATAGGGTTATCATATGACCCAGCAATTCTACTCCTAGGCATATATTCAAGAGAACTGATAGCATATATCCACACAAAAACTTTTCCATGAATGTACCTAGCAGTATTATTCATAAGTCAAAGTATAGAAACAACTTAATGTCCACCAATGAATAAACAAAAAGTGTACCTACATAATAAAATATCATTAAATAATAAAAATGAATGATGTACTGATACATGCTACAAAATAAATGACCCTTAAACACATTATGCTAAATATCTGAAGTGAAGAATGTCGAGACTACCTTGATTTGATCATTACAGGCAGCATGCATATATCAAAAAAAACCTCTACCCCATAAATATGTACAACTATTATGTATCAATAAAAAAGGGACACAAAAGGCACATATTTTACATTTACATTTATATAAAATGTCCAAAATAGGCAAGCCCACAGAGATAAAACCTAGACTAGTGGTTGCTTGGGGCTATGGTGAGGGAATAATGGGAAATGGTGAAATACCCTAAAATTAATTTTGTTCACAGTTGCACAATCTCATGAATATACTAAAAACCAGTGAAATGTATACTTCAAAATGGTAAATGTTATGGTGTGTGAATTATGTCTCAGTATTTATTTATTATTTATTTACTTATTTTGAGACAGGTTCTGGCTCTCTCGCTCAAGCTGGAGTGCAATGATGCAATCTCGGCTCACTGCAACTTCTACCTCCCAGGCTCAAACCATCCTCCCACCTCAGTTTCCCAAGTAGCTGGGTATGTCTCAGTTTCTTAAAGGAGTCATAAAAATCGTATGTATTTTAAAGAAATTAAGAACAAAGAAAGCGTGTTATGCTAATACACGTATTTATCATTCCTGGTCATTTTCCATCCTTTTTGAAGATCTGATTTTTCTTCTGGTATTTCAGTATAGCCTGAAGAACTTCTTTCAGCATTTCCAGTACTACAGATGTGCTGGCAACAAATTCTTTAGTTTTTGTTGATTTAAAAATGTCATTATTACACCTTTATTCTTGAAGAATATTTTCACTGATTAACAGGCTTTTTTTTTTCTTGCAGTACTTTAAAGAGTTTCACTCAATCCTGGATTTAATTTTTTGTTTTAATGAGAAATCAGTTATCATTCATATTGTTGCTGACATCTATATAATGTGTAATTCTTCTCTGACTGCTTTCAAGATTTCCTCTTTCTCCTTGGTCTTCAGCAATTTGACCATTATGTACAGTAAGTTCTCACTTAATGTTGTCAATATGTTCTTAGAAATTGTGACTTTAATGAGACAATGTATAAAGAAATGATTTTTTTCTCATCAACAAAACAAAGTTGAACAAAATGATCTTCTTCAAGGACTTGCTGTAGGGCTTTCGCTTAAAGTCTCAGTTTCCAAGAACTTATTGAAGACGTTAAGTGAGGAATTAATGTATGTAATAATTTTAGGTGTAGTTTTCTTTATATTTATCTTACTTAGGATTCATGAGCTTCTTAAACATGCAAATGTGTTTCTTTCACATATGAAAGACTTTTGACATTGTCCCACACACAGTGTTTTAATTTTTAAAAATATTTTTCTCTGTGTTCTTGAGATTAGATAGTACCTATTTAATTTCAAGTTCACTCTCTTTAAATCCAATTCATGTTATAAACTCCATGTATATTTTTCACTTTGAATATTTTATTTTTCAGATTCTCTTGGCTCTTTTTGTTTCTATTGCTGATTAATGTTCTATTCCCTAACTCACTGTGAGTATACTTTCCTTTATATCCTTGAGCATAATTATAATAGCTACTTTTAAATCCTCGCATTCTATTAGCTGGATTATCTCAGTATTAGTCTCTATTGATTGCTTGTTCTCTTGAGCATGAGTCACATTTCCTAGTTCCTCCTATGCATATTAATGTAAGACTGCATCTGAATATTATGAATGATACATTGTATAAACTTTGGATTCTCTTATATTCCTCCAGAACATCGATTTTGAAAGCCGGCAGCAAACTTAGGTGAAGTCAAACTCCAAATTCTGTTCCCCTGTGATGTGTGTGTGGTAGCGGTGGTGTGGGAATTGGGATGGGGCATGGGGGGTTGGGAGGTGTGTGTGAAGCAGCTGAAATTGCTGCTCAGTACTTTTAGCTTGAGCTAAGATGTCTGGCGTTGGCTCCATTGGTACATTGTTTAGTTATCAAGGACAGGTTTAGGCAGCGTTAGACACATACACACACACACACACACACACACACACACACACACACACACACAAACACAAAACTCTGATTTTCCCCTTTCTTGAATTTTTGGCTTTACTTTCCAGTGCTATGGTTCCCCAGAGCTCTCTCCTTTGGTCTTCAAGCCAGTAAGACTGTGGGTTTTTACCTATATTCCAGCCAGCCAGCTTGCTGCTGACTGGATCAGCCCTGAGGAAAATAGCCACAAAAACTGGAAAACTCACTCAATGTTCTTTCCTTATTCCAAATGTTCACCTCCCTCCAGTTTCTGCCTGGTTTTGATTGCTCCCCATTGTCTTCAAGTAGATGATTTTTATATTTTCTCCAGAGTTTACAAATATTATCAGTAGAAGGGTTGGTCTGATTACTCTAGCATTAGTAGAAATGGATCCCCAAGACGTGGTTGCAGCAATGGTGACTTCCATTCGCATGGTAACCACACTTGGAAAATATGAGTGACAATTAGAAACAACATATATGATCAGGAATCATGGGTGGGTACATGAGTGTGTGCATGTGCTGCAGATGCCAAGACCACTGACGACTCCACTAAATAACCTTTACATCTAAAAGCTGAAAATATAAAACTCCTAAGTGTGCACTTTAAAGTGAAGGAGATTATGAAACGGAAACGAGATGAGGGCAGGAGTCAATAAATTTAGTAGACATTGCCCCTTGAGGGTAGAGAGCAAGTTTTAGGCATGAGGGAGTGCGTTGAGACACCTCCAAAGTTCCTCATATGTTGTTTTGCTTAGGGCCACAAGTCAACATACAGTTTGTCCAGACTCAAGCCAAATCATAATAAAAAGCTCTTTGCTATGAACATATAGCTGCCTTGAGTCCTTGCATTGCCCCTGGATGCAGAAGTCCAGGGGTGGTCAAACAGAATGGAGAGGGGACAAAATAAACCTTTTTTTGTGGTCCCAGGGTAGGGTCAGTGCATCATTAAACATAAGCTTGAACAATCTGATATTTCACGTATTCTGGAGGTGCAATTATTCACAATCGAAGTTCACAGACTCACAATTTATTGTTCCTCTGTGGTACAGACTGACCTAGAAGGAAACTAGATGGACTACAATGCTAAAAGAGATCACCTATCCCAACACCTTCGTTTCTGAGAGGAGACTGAGGCCCAGAGAGATGAAGCAACTCATCAAGGTCTCACAGTTACTTAGTAGGAAAAGCAGGACTCAGATTTAGGGCTTATGACCCTGAATCCACTACGCTGAACCTTACTGATTCACTAGGACTTTGTAAAACTATACTTCCTGCAGTAGGGTTTATATTGAGTGATAGATGCCTTTCTTTTACATATAACTGCAAAAGAAATCAGGACTCTTATTTACAAAACAGTAATCCTTGATAACTCACTGCAAATCATTTAACAGTTTGCCAGCGGGTATCTGTGAAAAGCTGTGCTACCATGCCACTGGCCCATTAGCTATTTCAGTAAACATATTATTTGTCATACTTTGTAAAAATAGGTTCCAAATTCAAGTTATTGCATATTTTTGTTTATTATTCGGGTCTAGGAACCCACTTATCTAATGTAGACATCATACTCACCTTCTAAATAAAAGATCTCTTTCGGTAAGTAACATTTCTATTGGCAGCAAACCACCAGCTGCAATATTTGTAAAGAAATCTTTAGTTGTGTATTTTTAAGTTGAAGTGGCTTTTTCAAGATTTTAAAGGAAGTTTTCCTATTCTTACAGTAAAGATATGCAAATCATCTGAAGATCTAAAAAGCATCCTTCAAATAATGTTAGATTGCTTGCATTACCTGCTAGCTTAGAAGTTTCCTGAAGGAAAGAACCATCCCTTTTTCATTATTGTATCTTCAGTACTGGGTATAGTGCCCGTTACATAATAACCACCTAATAGGCATTTGTTGAGTGACTCATGGATGGACAAATGAAGAGCTCTTTCTCTAAGGTGACTCCACTGTAGCAAAGCACCATAGAATTTAATTTCTCCATTTTCAGGTAGCAGTTTTGGTCCTGGGTATAGAGTCATACAAAGGTTTCAGATGCAATTTATCAGGACATCTGCTGTTTCCTCCCTTACCTCAACCTCAACTATAAAATCCCCATTTTCTTGGGGAAACATTTACATAAGATGATAATGGCCAGCAGCAGAATCTATTTGAAAAGCAAATTGTAGAGTACTGAATGAGCTCAGCTTTTGTTCATTTCTTTCTTTACCTTATCTCTATGCTTTTATATACACAAAACATACCAGACATCTTCAGGTAAAAAGCTCTTCACAGTATTTTATTTGCCTCGGAAATCACAATGATATGGACTTTTAAAAGAGAAAGCATGTCTTTTTTTAGATATCAGGACAATGGCATCTTGGTATTCCAGGGTTTATCACATGCCTGTTAAACAGTAGGTGCTTATTAAATATTACTCAAAATGAGACAGTAAACAGATACATCAATAAGTATGTTCTACTTGGAGTAAATCTGGCTTTTTGTTTTTTTGATACAGAGTCTTGCTCTGTTGCCCAGGCCAGAGTGCAGTGGCACAATCATGGCTCACTGCAACCTCCGCCTCCCAGGTTCAAGCGATTCTTTTGTCTCAGCCTCCTGACAAGCTGGGACTATAGACATGCACACTATACCCGGCTAATTTTTGTATTTTTTGTAGAAATGGGGTTTCACCATGTTGGCCAGGCTGGTCTTGAACTCTTGACCCCAGGCAATCCACCTGCCTTGCCCTGCCAAAGTGCTGGGATTACCGGCATCAGCCATCATGCCCAGCCGGTGTTTATTAAATATTAGTCAAAATGAGATAGTAAACAAATACGTCAATAGGTATGTTCTACTTTGAGTAAACCTGACATTTGTTTCTTATACCATAATCTCAGTTCACAATCACTTAGAGAATCCCATCTACTGGGATTAAGTCCATCTGCAGCAGCTTTAAAATAAAAGACACTTAAGGCTACTTTTTTCTATGGAGTTAAAGTTATAATTTTAGAAACAAACAAAATAGTTTCCCATTTGTTCTAGGACAGGTTTCTCCTGATTTTGCATCTTTTCACAAGGATCTCTTGTTTTGTCAAATGAATGTGGGCCACAAAAAAGCCCACAGCTTTTCAGAGGCAGCATAATGGATACGTCTTCCTAGAACCTTATGAAACCACTATGCTGAGCTCCTGCAAAATACTACACCCGTTCTTGAGCTTAAACTAAACAATAGAGATATTTAGTCAACACCCAGGAAGGGAGGGTCTTAGAGCACTGAGGAGAAAAATGAATTGGTTAGCAGTTTCACATGATATTGTCAGCTTCTTCAATGTAGACAAAATTGGTAACTAAAGAACAGGTTAATTTTTTTGTTTGTTTGTTTGTTTTGAGACAGAGTCTCACTCTGTCACCCAGGCTGGAGTGCAGTGGTGCAGTCATGACTCACTGTAATCTCTGCCTCACAGGCTCAAGTGATTCTCCCAGTTCAACCTCCTGTGTAGCTGGGACCACAGGTGTGCACCACCATGCTTGGCTAATTTTTTTTTTTATTTTTTATAGAGATGGGGCTTTACTATGTTGCCCAGGTTGCTCTCGAATTCCCGTGCTCAAGCAATCCTCCCACCTTGGCCTCCCAAATTGCTGGGATTCTAAGCATAAGCCACCACACCCGGCCCAGGTAAGTACTTTGGATATGAGTAGGGGTGTTTTGTTGTTGCTTTTGCCCTTTTCTTGGTCAACATCTAATAACAGAGAACAGTATTTCCATATTTCAAATATAGGGCTGTTTCCAATGTAGTAGCTGACTCTAATGTTTAAAATCCGGATAGGTTTCTAATTTCCTGCTTGAGTTTGCCCACAGTGCATAAATGGATGCAGTAGTGCAAAAATGATTTCATTTTAGAAGCCAAGCTCTCATCTCTTTTGGAACCTAGTCAGTGATGATGGAAGACTTAACCAAGCGTCTTTAGAGAGTGTTCCATTTATTAGCTTCATTAATAACAATAACAGGCAAAACCCATCCCAGCTGAAGGAAGAATGCCCCTATAGTATGTAAACACACGACTGAGAATGTTCATCAATTACATTTCTTGTTGGATTTGAGACTGAACAGAAATCTAAATTATTACTCATGTTACTCATTACATTTCTGTTTTTCCTATTGGAGTTCCCAATAGGAAACGTTGACCTTGTCAAGGTGTCTTTGAGAATTCTAATGTACAGGCTCATTTTCATTTTGCTAACTGGGAGAGCACTCTGAATAGTGCACCAAGAAATATATCTTTCACTCGTTCCACTTTTCCCCCTTGACCTCTGCCTTGGTCTCCTCCAGGCCCTCAGCAGGCCTCTGCATGAATTCGATTTGGTCTCCTGGCTTTCAGAATCTCCTCATTCCAATGATCACATCCTCTACTGACAAGTATTCATCTCTCTACTCAAAAACACATCAGTGGCCACCAAATACAGTTCCGCTTTGCCTGACATGCAAGGCCATTTACAATTTGGTTCCAATCTGTCTTCTCAGCCTTCTCTTACCTTCATCTAACCCAAGGTCCCATCTGACCTGAATGCTAGTTATGATCACCCTTCCCCATCTGGCCTGTAGTCATGCTGATCTCTCCGCTCTAGGGAAACTAGCCACCAACTTCTACATATCTCAATGCTAACTTCAAGTTGGAAGTCGTTTTTTTCTGTGTTCTCCATTCCCAAAGCATTGTGGTTGGAGGGCTCCCAAGCTTTTTTTTCACATTTTGTGTTACGTTTATTTCAATAAAGATATTATCTTCTCCCCCTCCCTTCCTCAGACTTCAAACCCTTTGAGATTAGAGGATGAGTCACATTCCCTTATAAATTCAAGCACAGGGCCTCTCACATAACAGGAACTTAGTGTGTTTGAATAAGTGAATGAATGAATGAATGACAAAATAAGAGAACCAAAATTATCTCTTCTATATCACACTATTTTCCCACTTCATTCCTACCCCAATAATATGACAGGAACATGAGCCATTTAAGCAGTTTAATTATCTAATCCAAAATGTGGGCTCTGAAGATCAGAGTGAGTCTACATAGAACAGCTGAGGTGTCAAAACACATTAAAAATAATAATGCAAAAATAACCAGGTGTAATCTAAGCTGAGTATTTTCTCTGGCACCTCTTCACTAACATTTAATTTAGAATTGTGTTCTATAATTATCGTATGTGTTTAAGGGTCCTATTTTCTGCTGATTCTTAACTAGATACAATACATACAGCTTTCAGAGATTGAAAATATTAGTATAAAGAGAACTAATGCTTTTATTTTAATTGATTAAATGTAATCAAAGTACATATTATTTGACACTAGTTTCTGTCAAGTATTCAGTACTTGAAAATGTTGAATCATCGGTTTGAGACCCATAATTCTGACTGTACCACAGACAGTGGAGAATGTGGAGTGTAGTTTTTCCACTGGGTGACAGGAGGGAGACCGATCCTCCAGGACTTCTATCAGCAACACCTTGTTTTGGGTACTGTGGGTGATATGAAGAAGTTCTAACAAATAGAATGTGTGGAAGTGGTGCTCAGAGACCTTCAAGTGTAATAGAAAGGGGAGCTTCCTCCAGATGCTGCCTTGGGTCACTCACTCTGTAGGAAGCCAGCGAACACAACACCAGTACATTCAAAACCCCAAGGAGAGGCCCACAAGGAGACAAAGGCCTCTCACCAATAAGCCAGGTGTGTGAGTGAGCTGCCTTTTCTCTCTTCTTCTACTTAGCTTTTTAAATGTACACACTGCTCTCTTGTTGGTGCATAGCTATTCAGATTTTGACAAAACCATAAAACCAGGTTGCCACCACCATGATCCAAGTATAATTTCCATTATGCTTCCAATACCCCATTATCATCCATCTGTCCTGCCCTCTGCAATGCCTGGCAACCACTAACCTATTACCCAGAATGCAATGAGCTGGCTTTAGGAGTAGACCCTCCAGCCTCGTTCAAGCTTTCAGATGACAGCAGCCCTGGTTGATGTCTCTGTTACAATATTATGAAGAACCTCAAGGCAGAATCACTGAGCCAAGCCACTCCCAAATCCCCTCATGGAAACTGTGAGAGATGAGAAGTGTCATTTGTCGTTGTAAGCCACTAAGTTTGGAGGTAATGATTGCACAGCAATAGTTGCATTGGTTACCTTATAAATCTTTTTTAAAATAATTATTGCTATTGATATTTACCTAGAATGTCTTTCCTTTGATTGGTCTTGGAGCAGACCCACAGCCTGAGTGCCCATGCACAGGTAACTTGGGTACCTGAAGGTAGAAAAGTGTCACCACATTGACATGACTAAGATGTCCACTGCCTGAGATGTGGACAAAGGCCATGCCAAGGTTAAGTGGAAGAAAATATGAAGCAGTTAATCCTCTGTCACTTGAAAGCTCACAGCAGAAATAATTCAAAACGTAAAGCCCTAGCCAGGCGTGGTGGTGGGCACCTGTAATTCCAACTACTCAGGAGTCTGAGGCAGGAGAATCACTTGAACCTGAGAGGTGGAGGTTGCAGTGAGCTGAGATTGCGCCACTGCACTCCAGGCTGGGTGACAGAGCAAGACTGTCTCAAAAAAACAAACAACAACAAAAAAACACACACACAAAAAAAACAAAAAATGTAAAGCCTCTCAACCACCAGGTTCTGCTTATCTTGTGGCAAATCTGTTTCTCTGTCGCACATACTACTTTCATGATTTGAAGTCCTAGATAAGCTGCCTGCATCCTCTTGCAATCCATCCCCATTTCCACACAGAGAGGCAGCAGCTGCATTACAGGGGGAGCTATTGTACATTCTAGGGGCCTCTCCAGCAGTATGTCTTCTCTTTCTAGAACTTTGCCTCTCTCACCCAGGCCCCCATGAATAGTGACTACAGTTCTTTGCATGGCTATGTTCACTCCAGCTGAGATGAAGTCATGAATGTGGGGGAAAGTCCTTTGTTAAAGGTACATAATGCGTGTTGCAAATAATCCATTCCCAGAAAACTCAGAGTTGGCTGTGCTTATTCTATACTTCAGTTCAAAGCAAGTTTTCTACACAAAAAATATTCAAGTCTCCCAAACTCAACTGTTTAAACAAAAGAGTTAATTACTCAGGATTCTGGGTGGTCAATGATGAATCACCAGAAATTGTGACACCCTCAGTGAGGAGCCATGGGTCTACCCTGAACTTAGAAGGGGACAGTCACTTCACGTCTCTGGGCCTCAGAATCATTCTCTGTAAAAAGAAGGGATATAATTCAATGATATTGACTGTCTTTTCCAGCACAGCTCAGCTTACGGTTCTTGGAAACATTATTAAATTTTTTAATGAATTCTTTTGTTCTGTGTCTTCAGATGAGAATTACAATAGAATAGTCTCGTTTCCTCTGCAACAATAAAATAACTGTGCATTTTTCCATCCTAAAGTATTTAAAAGAATAAATGATAAAGGTCTGCAAAATGAATATTCTATCTTAACCTAGCCATAATTTTATAATTTACATTGCCACTGTTTCTAAGTAAGAAACTGCCTTCTATCTGTGTTTTATACTGGCAAGAAGAATTTAATCTATAAAGAAAACCTCTAAAGTACTTTCAGACCATCGAAATTTATAATTCCATAACTCAATAACTTCCTTTGTTTTCTACATTACATTACATATTCAGGAAGATAAGACTTTTTTCTTATTAATTTAAAACTTGGAAGTAGAGACAGGTATCATCTTTTTCTGGAACAAATAACACTAGAGTTGAGTCAGCAATCAAGTTATGCATATTCATAACCATCTAGGCCAACCTCATTTATAATTCTTTGTTAATCTATAAAAATAATTTTATTTTTAAAAATTTGATTTGCTACTTGAAGCAAAGGCAAGAATAACACAATTTCACAGGGTTCCCAATGATTAATGTGAAAATTAAAAAAATACAAAAGGAGGAAATTATTTGCACTATTAAAGTATATACTAATAACAAGTAGAAAGTTATGTGGAAGTCACAGGAATCAAGGCCAATGAACAAAATTCAATTTCATTTTCTATATATCAGCAACACATAAAAATAAAACACACAAAATAAAGTTTCAAAACTACAATACAATGTATACTAGGGTTAAACAACACAAAATTTAGTTGACTTTCAAACGACACAAGTTTGAACCGCATGGGTCTATTTATACACACATTTTTTTCAATCAATATATCGGAAAAAATCTGGAGATTTGCAACAATATGAGAAAGCAGAGAACCACAAAGCCTAGAAATATCAAAAAATTAATAAAAATTAGGTATGTCATGAATGCCTAAAATATATGTAGATACTAGTCTATTTTATATTTACTATTATAAAATACACACAAATCTATTATTAAAAGTTGAAAGTTATCAAAACTTTCACATATATACACAGACTGCACGCATGGCGCCATTTGTAGTCAAAAGAAATGTAAAGAAATGTAAAGATGCAGTATTAAATCATAGCTGCATAAAGTTAAGGTAGTAAACACTGGCCCGCAATAATTTCTTTTTTTTTTATTTTTTTTATTTTTATTTTTTTCTTTGAGACAGAGTCTCGCTCTGTCGCCTAGGCTGGAGTGCAGTGGTGCAATCTCTGCTCACTGCAAGTTCTGCCTCCCAGGTTCACGCCATTCTCCTGACTCAGCCTCCCGAGTAGCTGGGACTATAGGCGCCCGCCACCACGCCCGGCTAATTTTTGTATTTTTAGTAGAGACAGGGTTTCACAGTGTTAATCAGGATGGTCTCAGTCTCCTGACCTCGTGATCCACCCACCTTGGCCTCCCAAAGTGCTGGGATTACAGGTGTGAGCCACCGTGCCCGGCCCTGTCCTGCAATAATTTCATAACCATCTCCTGTTGCAATGAGCGCAAGTATTGTGAGGATCCACTTACAATGCCATGTGATGCTAATCATCTCCACGTAAGCAGTTTGTCTCCCCAGTAAATTGTGTACTGCAGTAGAAAGTGATCTCTCGAGGTTCTCATGTGTTTTTCATCATGTTTAATGCAATGCTGGAAACCTTGAATAACACCATGGGATCTATACTAAGTGTAACTCGTGATGCTGGAAGTGCTCTTAAGAAGCACAGGAAACTCATGGCTACAAGAACAAGTTGAATGATTTGATATATATTATGGATGGAGATCTTCAGATTGGTTGCTTGCCACTTCAAGATAAATGAATCCAGCATAAGGTCCATTATTTAAAAAAAAAAAAAACAACAAAAAAAAAAACCAAGAAAAAGAAATTTATGAAGTTGTTGCTATAGCTACATCAGCAGGCATAAAAACCTTGAACTTTATGAGAAATACTTTTGCCCTCATATTGAAAATGCAGCTTTTATGTGAGTGCAGGATTGCTATAGGAAAGGCATACCTAATATGATTCGAGAAAAAGTGAATTCATTGTATGACAACTTAAAGCAAAAGGAAGGTGAAGGATCTAAAGCTGTAGAAGTTAATGCCAGCAAGGGAAGGTTCGATAATAGGAGGAGCAGCTTCTGCCAACAAAGAAGCAGCAGAAGAGTTCCCAGGCATCATTAAGAAAACTATTGAGGAGTGGCTGGGCGCAGTGGCTCATGTCTGCAATCCCAGCACTTTGGAAGTTTGAGGCAGGCGGATCACTTGAGGTCAGGATTGGAACCAGCCTGGCCAACATTGGGAAACCCCATCTCTACTAAAAATACAAAAATTAACCAGGCTTGGTGGCACGCACCTGTAGTCCCAGCTACTCCAGAGGCTGAGGCAGGAGAATTGCTTGAACCCAGGAGGCGGAGGTTGCAGTGAGCCAAGATAGCGCCACTGCACTCTAGCTTGGTGACAGAGCAAGACTTTGTCTCAAAAAAAAAAAAAAAAAAGAAAAGAAAAAAGAAAAAAAAAGAAAATAATCCTCCTGAATGGGCTTTTAATGCAGAAAAAATTGCCCTATTCTAGGGAAAAAAAATGCCACTAAGGACACTTATTAGTAAGGAAGAGAGGCAAGCACCAGGGTTTAAGGCAGGAAGGGATAGGCTAACTCTACTGTTTTGTGCAAATGCAGTCAGGTTTATGATCAGGACTGCCCTTATCTATAAAGCTGCTACCCACCTTCCCCACCAGCTTTGAAAGGAAAATATAAACACCAGCTGCCAGTCTTTTGGCTGTACAAGAAGCCCTGGACAACAACAACCATTTTTCTGTATTGGCTCCATCGATGCTTTGTCCCTGAAATTAGGAAGTACCTTGCCAGTAAGGAACTGCCTTTTAAAGTGTTTTTTTTTTTTTATATTGGACAATGCCCTTGACTACCCAGAACACCATAAATTCAACATTGAAGGTGTCAAAGTGGTTTACCCCTGACTAAACACAATGTATTTAATTTAGCCCATAGGTCAGGGGGGTCAGGAACTTTAAGGCTCATTACACACAGTACTCTATGGACAGGACTGTGGACACTATGGAAGAGAACTCTGATAGAGAAAACATTATGAAAGTTTGGAATCTAAGGCCTAACAGACACTACACCAGAGGAATTAACAGAAGACAACTTGATGGAAGTGAGTGCATCTGAGCCAGTGCCAGATGACGAGGAAGAAGACATTGAAGAAGCAGTGCCAGAAAACAAGTCGATGTTAGACAATCTGGCAGAAGGGGTCCAATGATTCAAGACTGCTTTTTGACTTCTTTTATGACATGGGCCCTTATATGATACAGATACTGAAATAAAAGCAAGCAATGGAAGGACTGGTACTGTAGAGAAACATTTTTAGAGAAATAAAAAAGCAAAAAAGTCAAATAAATGATGATGTATTTCATAAAGTTACACCGAGAGTGCCTGACTGTCTGCCTCTCCTTCCACCTTTTCCACCGCTTTTGCCTCTGCCACCCCTGAGTAGCAGAACCAACCCCTCCTCTTCATCCTACTCCACCTACTCAACATGAAGATGATGAGTACTTCCACTTAACATATAGTAAATATATTTTCTCTTCCTGATGATTTTCTTAATAACATTTTATTTATGTTACTTTATTGTAAAATTACAGTATAAAGTATGTATAACCCACAAAATATGTGTTAATCAACTATGTTATTGGTAAGGCTTCCAGTCAACAGTAGGCTATTAGTAGTTAAGTTTTTGAGGAGTCAAAAGTTATTTGCAGATTTTCAACCGTGTAGGGGGTTGGTGCCCCTGATCCTTGTGTTGTTCAAGAGTCAATTGTACTTGGCGACACATTTAACAAATGATGTGCAAAACCTTTACACTGAAAACTACAAAACATTGCCTATACAACCTAAACATAAATGAATAGAGAGATAGAGGATGTTCATGGATTGGAAGACTCGATACTTTGAAGAATTTAAATACATTATTCCCAAATTGGTCTATAGCCTGAATTCAATCCCATTCAACATTCCAACAAAGCTTTTATGCAAGATTGATTCTAAAATTTATATAGACATTTAAAGGATTTAGAACAGCCAAATAATCTCGAGAAAGAAGAAGAAAGTTGGAGAACTTGCACTACCTCATTTCGAGACTTCTAGAATGCTGAAAAATCATTACAGTGTGGTGCTGGTATAAAGACAAAGAGATCCATGGAACAGAATAAATTGTCCAGATATAGGCTCACACAATCAAAAGATGTTCAACAAAGGTCATTCACAGCAATTTGATGAGGAAAAGTAAATATTTTCTGCAACTTTCTGTAACAACTGTGTAAATATATAAAAATGAAATAAATTTTAACCTTTACTTCATACTGTACACAAAAATTAATTTCAGATACATCATAATCCTACATGTAAAAGTTAAAACTATGAAATTTGTAGAAGAAAACATACAAGAATATCTTGGTACAGGCAAAGATTTTTTTAGGTAAGACACAAAAAGCAATGATTATAAAAGAATAAAAAAGTTAAGTTAGCCTCCCAAAATTTAAAAATGCCTGCTCATTGAAGGGCTTAAGAAAATTAATAGCCAAGTCACAAACTAGGAGAAAATATTCATAATGCATATATTCAACAAAGAATGTGAATCCATAATACGTGAAAGCCTTCTACCTCATCTCAAATAAAAGGCAAAAAATAAATTTTTAAAAACAGATAAATGACATAAACAGACACTTCACAAAGGAAGATACACAAATGACCAATAAGCACATTTAAAAAGTACTTGACGGCAGGGTGTGGTGGCTCACACCTGTAATCCCAGCACTTTGGGAGGCCAAGGTGGGCAGATCATGAGGTCAAGAGATCAAGACCATCCTGACCAACATGGTGAAACCCCGTCTCTACTAAAAATACGAAAATTAGCTGGGCGTGGTGGCACTGCACCTGTAGTCTCAGCTACTTGGGAGGCTGAGGCAGGAGAATCTCTTGAACCTGGGAGGCAGAGGTTGCAGTGAGCTGAGATCATGCCACTGCACTCCAGCCTGGCAACAGAGCAAGACTCCATCTCAAAAAAAAAAAAAAAAGTACTTGACATCATTAGTCAATATGGAAATATGAATTAAAGGCATCATGAAATACCCTCCTATATGCACTAAAATGGCTAAAATTTAAAAGACTGACATGAGCAGATGTTGGTGAGGCTATGGAATTTTTATATGTTGGCTTTTTGAAGTGCAAAGTAACGCAACTATTTTAGATTTTGGCAGTTTCTTCTATAGTTAAAAATACATGCAACTTATGACCCAGCAATCCTATGCCTATTTACCAAGAGAAGTAAAACATATGTTGACCAAAAAAAAGTCTTGTGCCGTAATGTTCATGAAAGCTTTATCTAAAATAGCACCAAAATAATCCAAAGTTCATCAATGAATAGAGTGGATAGACAAACTGTGGTATTTTTGTGTATAGAATACTACTCAGTAATAAAAAAGGTACTACTTTGCTTTATATGCTATAAATGGATAAATTTCATAAACAATGTGTGATCCACAATAAGCCAGACACACAAGAAATACATATTTTATGATTCCACTTATATGGAGTTTTAGAACAAGCAAAACTAATCTATGATGAAAAAATGAGAAAAGTGGTTCTCTGGAATGGAGGGTTGGAGTTGACATGGGAATTTTCCCATGATGGAAAAGTTACGTATCTTAATAGGGCTGTGGGTTACACAGGTGTTTGCACTGTCAAAACTCATAGAACTGTAACATGTAATATCTCTGCATTTCACTATACATATAATATGCATCATTTTAAAAAATTAAAACAAAATTAGAAATAGTTTCTTATAAAAAATATTAAATCAGAATCCTTCTAGAAATGAAAATGATTGCCATGTTAAGAATGTAAGATTTCAGGTGATTTTGTTTTAGGGCATTCTCTGTTCATTCATTCATTCATTCAGAAACTATTGAGTAACTATTATGTGTCTGCCACTACTCTAGGTGTTTTGAACATATAAATGAGCAAACCAGACATAAATGCCTGCTTTTAAGATGCTAATAATCTATAAAGTAAGTAGAGAGAAAGAAAATACAAAAAAAAGTAAGTAAACAAGACAGTGTTTAAAAATGTGAGAAGTGCTATGAGAGAAAGAGAAAAAGCCTACCATCCTATTATATTGCTATATCGTGCTTCAGCTGCCTGATACCATTTTATTAAAGTCATGGATATGCCTATATTTATGGATTAGCATTTTTGCCTTTATTAATTGATTGATCATACATTAGAAGCATTCCAGGAATAGAGGGGTGTGTGTGTGGCCTGTGTGTGTGTGTTTCAAAGTGCTGGGTTACCATAGTTGCTTTATTCTTAAGCTTTTGCAATATTTAATGCTTGAATAAATATCTATCAGGATATCACCTGGAGCGTGTGGAAAGTTTGGTTTCAAGGACATTGTGCTCAATGCTAATCGCATTCCATGGGCTACTGAGTCACAGTCACATTGAGTTATCGAGTCAAAGCAGCCTTTTTGTCTTCTGTATGAAAGACAAGCTGCTCAAATGTTACAGAATTCAGACACCAAAGTCATTAAGATGTAGTTGTACATAAAAGATACAGCACTGATAATTCAAAATAGACAGGAAGAATGTGCTGTAGGAATAATTTTTCTTCAAGTCATAATAACTGGCACCAAACATAAAGTCCTATTTTTCTCCTTCACTGCCCAGCTGGGAAGGAGTCACTGAGACAACTTGTTATCTGCCAGTAACACAGGCATTGCAGTTAGGCCTTCAGCTATGGAGAGATCCTGCCTATTTTCTTTAACAAGACATAGACTGAAAACATATGAAATCCTCCATCAAAAAGCAGTAGTACCATTGACTCAAAAGCTTCTGCAATGAGCTTATCCAACATACTGAAATAGGAAGCACCAAGTTGCTTTTCTGTAGCTAGAACACATACACATAAATAAAGTGTTATTAATGTTTGCTCTTTTTTTGTTGTTTTTAATCAGGTCTTTTGGAAAAAATCAATCTCGAATCAAGCTCTATATACTTAGCCATGGATCTCCAACTTTAAATCTATGCTGCAGTATAAGATTCTTCCATGATGACTTCTTAGCTGTCTCTAGCTTGTTTCCTGACCTTTGCCCATGCGTATGTGATTCTGCTCACATGGAATGCCTTCTCACCTTCTAAAATGCCACCCACTTTTCTAGTTCCAAATCAAGTATATTCCCTTGGTGAGATCTTCTGCAACCAACATATTAAGAAGTGACCTGTCCCTCCTCTCAACTCATTGTAGCATGACCTTTTATATTACTTATTTTGTCTAGAAATGTTCCAAGTCATTTTCTGTTATAATTATCCCCCTTACAGGTTCACAGCCAGATTACGGTAATTAGAATTGTAGGCTCTGTATGCAGAACCCTGTTTAAACTGAGGTTGCCGTCTCCAAATTGATTTGCAAATGTTGTTATCTATAGCTTGCAGCCATTATGAATGACCTGCCCACAAAAGCTCATCAAACTTACACCAAATCTGAAGTATAGTATCAATAGCACCCCTTGCAGAATTATTTTTATTTTTCTGAGAAAAATGCATTTTCTCAGAAAATATAATATGCAATTTTGCTGTACTTCTATGCTGCCAACATCAAGCTGATCAAAAGTATGTAGGTGATCAAAAATGCTTAAATGGTTGCTGGTGATAAAATATTCTATTTAGTCCCACAAATTGGTTGATGGCTTCCTAAGGAATCCACAGAAGTAATCCTCACGCTATGTTTTCCAAATTCAGCAGCTTCTGTGAAACCTCACAGGAACTTCAAATGATACATGGTTTCTAGCTGTCAAGAAAACCCTGTCTGGGGCAGGGGCATGGTGCGGAGGAGACAGGTGTTGACTACATAGTGCCACACAGCACTGTCTTGCCGTGATTTCCCGGAGATTTTATTGAAGGGGCTTGGGCTTGCTTCAAGTCATTAAATTGAGTCAATTTGTTGCTTTGTTTTGGCTAAATTTATAAAAGCACAAAAGTTTAAGGTAAGATAATACTATTTGGCCTTTTTATCATCTTTTTTTTTTTTTTTTTTTTTTTTAAATTTTTGAGACAGAGTCTCACTCTGTTGCCCAGGCTGGAGTGCAATGGCAAAATCTCGGCTCACTGCAATTTCTGCCTCCTGGGTTCAAGCGATTCTCCTGCCTCAGCCTCCCAAGTAGCTGGGATTATAGGTGCGCACTGCCACACCTGGTTAATTTTTGTATTTTAATACAGACGGGGTTTCACCATATTGGCCAGGCCGGTGTTGAACTCCTGACCTCAGGCAATCTGCCCACCTCAGCCTCCCATTCAGCATCTTTTTTTTCTTTTTTAAACACTGCTACTCTACAAAAGCATTTGGTAAAGAAGGCAGTTAAAGATAAAGCAGAAGGAAAACAATCTGGTTCATGAATGTGCCTTTGGTCTGAAAAGCAGTCAATAAAAATATGAAAATAAACACTTTGAAACAAAGGAGATTATAAAAATTAAACTAAAGCAAGCCTTCTGCTCATTTCCTTTCTTGTCCATTTCTTTTGGGTGAGCCTCACTTTTTCCTTAATAATTAAAGCAAGAAGAAGAATCATTCCGATTTGTGAAAGCCGCATCTTTTCTCTGAAAGCCCAGTTTTGTGGCAGAAGTGAGAAGAGCTGCCCTTACCTCTCAGTTCCCCCATATCCAGGGTTGTCCCCAGTTGTTCTAACAAAGCAACTCTTGCCGCATTCTTTTTGTGTTTCTTGCCATCATAATGTTGCTGGGCCATCAGAGGGTTATTAAACCAGGCTGCACAGAGCCCACAGTATCTGTCTGAATCTCTTCTTTGATAGGGAGATGCGACCACCGGAGCAGTGTCCATCCGTGGGGGCTTAAGTGGGCTCAGGGGTGTTGCTGTGAAAGGAAACAACCAGAGAACCACAGCCACGTTAGTCCAACACTGAGTCCACTCTTCCTCAATACCCGAAGACCAAAAGTCTCCTGTTCACTCTAGAGCTTAAACATCCCCAAGAGTTCATTGACAGCAGGAAAATTAGCCCTGCCAGCTTTCATTTTTGAGTTGGGACACAAATAAAAATTCTTAATGTATTGAGATCAGAGTTTGCATGTCGTTATACCAAAATCTGATAATTCAAGAGACCATCCCTTAGGGGAATAATAAGATTTTTAAAAATAAATTCTCAGTTATTCCCACTGTGGCTCTCAGGAGCTATGGACAGTAGCTCTAAGTATTTGGCTGCCTGGAGTAGCTTTGAAAACACGGTTATTGAAGGCCTTTCCCACTCACTTTTAAAATGCATTCTGCTCTAACATTGGCATTTAGAGAAAAAAAATGTAGTAAAATACAGGGGACAAGCTCAATGAGCCAGGTAAAACTTGAGCAATAACTTAATTTTTCTAGCATCACTAATAATGCAATAAGCCTATTGTAATTGCCTTCAATTATTTTTGTGTGTGTATAACACTAAAAATAAATATTGGATAAAATGCAACTAAATAAATAAATTCTTAGAGGTAAGGGAGTGATCTATCAGTCAAAATAAAGCTAATACTTGAAGTAAACATTGGACAGTCATGACTTAAAAGATTCCGAATGAATGAATTGGACGTTTGTGTGCTATAAATGTAATTAACCAATAAATAAAGGATTTGGCTAAGTGGTAGAAACTGATCTTTTGGTGACATGGGTTGCATTAATTGAGGAAGTCATGCTAATTTTATTGTCAGCTGCTTCAGTTTATTGTAATAGGCTGTTTTCAACCTCTACCTGCTCACGTTGATGCTGAAATAACAATGTTTTTTTAAAAATCAAAAGAAAAATACTATAGATCAGGTGTACTTATCTAAACAGAATAGACATGTATCACTATTTTGAGATTGCATTGTTCCACCTATTAAATTAACACATTTTACTGTGAGCTTAGGATTATTTCTGGTCCAGAAAACAAACAAACAAAAAAGAGCCTAACTTGAAGGAGCTTACTAATGGAAAGTAAAAATAACTTTTCTATGTATTACAACATACAAGTTGCTTCCATCCTTACAAGGACTATGACTTGGCCTTTTATCCCATTTCTCAGATGAGAGATTGATTTCAGAAATGCCAGTGGCTTACTGAAGGTGAGATATCTAGTGATGGGAAAAACAGGACTAAAATGAAATCTGGAATTCCCAAAGCCAATGTTCCCTTCAATACTTTCCCAAGGATCCTTTTCATACTTCTTAATAAGCTAAGGGACTTTTTTTCTAGATCCATCATCTTTCTATTTCATATAGGATTTCATTAAATTTTGGAAAAAATATTCCGATCCAAATATTTTGGAGAAGAAATCAGTATGTAAATTCTCACATGGGCCATTAGTCCTAAAGCAGTATAGCAGCATCCTGTGTGTGTTCTTGGTCTCTGAGATGTAGGATGCAGCTGGCAAAACCACGAGCATTAGGGTTGTCGTTCCAAGGAAAAGCTGAGGTCCGAGACCTCAATAACAAGTTAAGGAACCAATTAACCAACACCCCAAGCTTTCAGGTAACTTTTAGGTGGACTTTTTTTTTGATTAAATAACTTATATAGAAACAAATACTTGTTAAGTGACATTTTAATTCAAGTAATGCCTGTATCATAACAGTATTTCTAAGAAGCTCTTTTTTCTTTATCCAGAGATTTCATTATATCGAGAAGTTTTAGCTAGTTTAGATTAAACTTAATGGTGTTATTTTTACAGGGACTCACAAACAGTACGCCCCTTAAAAGACTCATTGTGGGATTTGGTCATGTTATCACCATGTAGAAATAAAGCTCAAATGTGGGCCATTCCAGCAGCCACCCAGTATCATTCTGCTATGACTTAGAAATAAAAGCTACAAATATGCAGTTGACCTGGATGTGAAAAGATCTCTATCCACTTTTCTGAAGGTAATTGAATCTCACTTTCAAAGCTTCCCAAATCCTTATCAATTTCTGAGGATTTATAATTAGCTATTGTTTTTGATGGCAATGGAAAACATATCAAATGTCTACAATATGAATAAATGTTGACTCTTGAAGCATAATTTATTTTTCTTTAAAGTAAGCCCTATAAAACATTTTAGTCGATTTTATCAACTGATACCTTCTACACCATATCCTGGTAGGAGTGAGGCACAATAGAATATTCATCAAATAAGATAATCTTATCTTGCACATAAGAAAGTAATTTGATGTAGCTTCTCCCTCTGAATAATTCCACTATCTTGTGTATAGTCTGAAAGTTTAAAGGATTTTTTTTTTTTTTTTGCTTCTGTTGTAACTGTCTTCACTCATTTCAACCCAGCTTATATTCCTTTAGTGCCTATAAAAGCAGGCAAAGGCAGTAGCATAAAAACAGCCTTGAATCAAAGACAGAACTCTGGTTGGGTGGGACTCCACTATCAGTGAGCTGTGTGACCTTTGGCAAATTTCTAACGTCCCTGGTTTCCTCAAGGTAAAAATTCAGACACACCATCTCTTTTAAAATTAACATACTTTGCAGCTAACCCATAGGGTGTGGACAGAACAAATTGTGGAAGCTCTGTCCCTTCTACAGCTTTGATTCAATACCAAATATAGAAATTATGTGGGAGGAGAGCAGTTTCCAGGTTTTAATGATAAATCTGTGTGTGTACATGAACCCTAACACTTACATGCTTTGGCAGAGTGTATTATTCCAATAAAATGAATGAAGAATGGGGCAAAGATTATCTTTTGGTTTAAAAACATGCTTTAAAAAACACTTTAGTTGACATGTAGTTAATTTCTATTTTGATTTCATAGTTTGTTTTTATTCTAATTGCAAAAAATATTAACTAAATATTTACTTTACCTGCCCTTTATATAGATTCAACCAAAAGTCAATTAATCGAAACCAGTAATTTCAACATTAAACTCACCAGGCTTTAAAAGTTTCTGTGTCCAGACTGTGCCCCAGATCAATTGTATCAAAAACTCTGGGGGTGGGAAGCAAGCATCAGGATGTTTTTAAAACCTCCCTCCTCCCACAGCCTGATTCGTGTTTCCAAAGCATGGCCAATGTTGAGAACAAATGATCTAAATATTGCCACATTTTCTTTGAAAATAACTATAAAATGAAGCTTTCTTAGATCTTCACATAAAAGAAAGAAGCATAATACATCCAACAGCAATGGAGCTAGTTTTGCTGTAGGCAATAGCCAAAATGTCATATCATCCATGAGACAGAAAGAAATAATTACTTGCCTTTTTAAAACCCCAATTAATTTTCCCATTTCACCATAACATAAAAGAATCTCTAAAATAGTAGCTAACATTATAAATTAATATTGGTAAAGTTAGATGGAAATTCTGATTCCTTTCCCCATGAAGAAACTCAAGAGAACATTAAGCTATTATCCCACCAGCCTTTGCCCAAGGCCATGACCAGAATGGTGTGCTGACCTGTACCAGGCTCTCCACATAGCCGTGCACCTGTCCCACAAGATGCTACTGAATCCCATATGCTTTGTGGGGCCTTAACAACCTAAGCAAGAAGTAGTTCTCCCTCCTCTAAGCTTATAAAGCATTTACTCACTGCACAATTCATTTGGCATTTCTTAAATACCACCTTGTAACCTTAGCTGTGTGAATGCGCATCTGTGTGTATGTGTAAGGGAAATTGGAACAGAAGCTCCCATTAGACACTTTTGCATTGGCTCTCTTCTAGTACATTTTCACAATCCCTGTTTCAATTCATAAAAATGCAAAAACCCCCGAAACTCAAGTTTTTTCAGATTCATTTATTACCAAAACCTGACCTGAAGTCACATGAGATGATTTATAGTCTTTACATTTGGTATAAACATACATACATATTGCAATAGAATTATTAATATCTTTGGTCATGGACTGCTGTCCTATCTCCATATAAACACAGTGTATGGTATCTGTGCCTTATTATACATCCCAAATCCTACAATTTCTGATTTGCAAAATACAATCAGCCCCAAATATTTTCAACAAAAGATCATGGATCTATGGTTGATTCAGAGTCTATAAAATCAATGCAAGCCCTCTAAGGCTTGAGCTAATTGAAGCAAGTCAGTTTTCAACACTTGATTTCTAAGAATCACCTCATCATGGAATGAATTTCAACATCACTCTTAGTACCTTGTGCAAGATTTGTCAAGGAGTATGTTATCAGCTGCTGTCACCTGTTGGATATGTTGTCTTGAGTAATACTATAAAATAATATGTATATTCATCTTATATTTATTTATTCCATGCATAATAATCATAGTTGATTTAAGGATAAAAATATTTCTGCAGCTCCTGTGTGTGTCTCTATATTAGTCTGTTCTCACCCTACTAATAAAGACATACCTGAGACTGGGTAATTTACAAAGGAAAGAGGTTTAATTAACTCATAGTTCCACAGGGCTGGGGAGGCTTCAGGAAACTTACAATCATGGCAGAAGTGGAAGAAAACACGTCCTTCTTCACATGGCAGCAGGAAGGAGAAATGCCAAGCAAAGGACGGGAAGGCCCCTTATAAAGCCATCAGATCTTGTGAGAACTCACTCACTATCACTAGAACAACAGTGTGGGGGTAACCACCCTCATGATTCAATTACTTCCCACTGGGTCCCCCCTCCCACGACAAATGGAGATTATGAGAACTACAATTCAAGATGAGATTTGGGTGGGGACACAGCCAAACCATATCAGTCTCTATCAGAAAATTTCCTCATTCTGTAATTGTCTACATTGTCTAATTGTCTAACATATTCTACAACCTAACTCTTCATGGTGCCAGCACTTTGCATGCAACAGACACATAGTGTAAATTCCAAGCCTTTTGATGAATAAATGAATGAACGAATAAATAAAATGTTCTTTACACTATGAGAGACTAAAGAAATATGGTAACCAAGAGTTTTCTTGTTTCTTCCAGATTGTGTCATTTAGAGCTTAGGTAGCTAAGTCCTGTGCCAGTCAATATAAATATAAGCCAGTATCTGACAAGGCCCTGGTGGCTAAATTGCAGAAAGGTAACATGTCAAAGTGTACATACATATCACAGTCTCTCTCCTTCTTTTGGATTCAACTAAATATATTAAAAGCCATTATTCCCCCAAACTTATATTTTCTGGGGTGGCCTATATCTGTAAGTTGCAGAGAGTGCACATCCTTCTGAAAAATTTACTTTCAAACAGGAAACCTTTTACTCTGACTTGTTTATCCTGGCATCCAAACCCTAACTCCAGCTTTCAGTATGGCCCCAACCATCCTAGCTTTCCTGGGACTGAGAGGGTTTCCTAGGACCTGTGGTTTTTGGGGCTAAAACAAGGAAAGTCCTAGGCAAATTGAAATTGGTCACCCCAGCTTCGGAGGACAGACTGGATTTAACATCATCCTGGGAAATTAGTAAAGACTTTGGGAACAACTGTTCCAGAGATGAGAGCAGGTGTTTCAACCAAGAAGACAAGATCCACGGACAGATCTCAAAGCTCTGTCAGACCACCAGGTGGGCGTCATTAGCTGGGGAAGAGGGTGACACCGTCAGCAGTGAGATAGATTCCTACCTGCCTGTCTGCCTTCTAGGCCCTTCCAGTTTGCCAAGGAGCCACAGGGTTCTCTGCCATTCAAGCTGACAACATACACTCCTCTCTCTCTCTGTCTCTACATGTCTAATGTACACACACACACACACACACACACACACACATATACTTTCTCTCTCTCTCTACATCCCCCATCAAGCTCCCTCCCCAAGCCCCTGGCTCTTTATTTTCTTCCTTCCTTCTTTTCTCCTCTTTTATCTCCCTTTTCTCTCATGCTTAATGCTTTCTAGGCTTTAGGATAGTGAAGTTTAATTCATTCTCACAAGGGATGTGGGGGCTTTTGATATAGAGAAATAAAGCCAGAATTTATTCATTTTAAAGTATGTGGTTTCTCTCACCTAAGCCATTCTTATCCACAACAATAATTCTTCCCAGTTGTGTGATATTGTGCAGTTTACTATGTCTGTTCCTTGTGTTTTCTTAAGTTACTCAGAGATCTTGTCTGGTCAATAAGGCAGCTTGAAGCCCAGGGAGATGAACCCACTAGTGTAGAGTCCCTTGATTAATAAGCAGCAGAGGAAGTGGTAAAGACCAGATCTCTGGACTCTAAGACCAGCCCCATATTTCAATGTCAACTCGTTTCCAATAATGCCTACAGAGCAATAGGCCAAATAAACAAACAGATTAATTCTAGAATCAAAACACATTTCCTAGGCTTCAACATCTGCTCCCAGTGGGGATTATTTGGAAATGCGCATTTTTTCTAAAAAACACTTTTTCTGATTTCCAGTCCCTATGATAAACTGCCTTTATTTTTTTCCTACCCTAAATCAAATTAATGATAGCAGTATTTCTTCAGCAAATATCACTGTTTTTTTGCAAATGCTACCAACAGTAAAGTTAGATTAGATCATTCAGTGAGTGGCTTAAGAGGCAGCTGTCAGTGTCATTCTGTAGTGCTGTCACCACACAGTCCAGCCTCCTCTTCAGGGAAGCACCTCACCTCCGTGCCCACCACAAAGTCAGGCCTCATACTTAGATTTATTTTGCATCTCTGGCAGAGGCATGGGCCTTTTGTGTAGATAGTAGATGCTCAATGAACATGTGATAAATACATGAAGAAAAGTACTGGTGACTTTTAATATCAACTTGGGGGAATTTTCATGTTTTGATAAATATTATAGCTAAACATTAAATATTTGATAGTTTCATTAAACTTATTTTACAGGGTTAAAGAAACAAGTTAGATACTCTTAATAGATGATAGATTAAATAAATTTTAGTCATCTATACTCTGAAAGACATGCAGAAATAAAAAAAAAAGATATGTTTTAGAAAAGTATTTAGAGACCTGGGGACATGTTCAGAACAGGATGTAAACTAAAAGATGTGGTTTATATGTATAATATCAACAAAATCACTTATACACATAGCTGCAAAACTTTATATAACTATAACTACTACTATTACTATATATATGTATAAAACAATATAGACTAGAAGGCTATAGATAAAAATCTTAGTAATAGGTGTTTCTGAGTTGTGGAATATGGGTGATCTGCTTTGTACTCATGGATATATACTCCCCCATGTAGATGGAAGACATTTTTATTTTACCATTTATATATAGGCCACATTTAATGTTACCTTGTTTTACTACAAAGTCTAAAAAACACTGCTTAGGGACCTTGTGGTGCCACAACCCAGTCTTAAATCTCAGAAGATTTTATTTGCAATGCTTTATTATTAATTTATTGTAGACTTGAGGTAAAATGAGTTGGAGGAAGGCTGGCCCAGTCAGAATATAATGTGAAAGTACCAGCTTCCCTGATTTCTCTAAAAGATCCTGAGAAAAGCAGTTGTCCCACTGTTATCACAGATCCAAATATGGCTCTAATTGTTTAGATAAAAAGAAGTACCTGTCTTCTCACATGATATGTCTGGATGCGAATTCTGCTACCCAGCCCCATGAGATAGAAAAATCCACATGCTATTTATTTTATACCACAAAGGAAATTAAAAAGCACTATAATATATCCGATGTTTCAAAATACATGCCATTTCACATTTCCTGAGAATGAACAAAGATGAAGATGACTTAAGGGGACTGTCCAATTCAATTATGCATCAACCTTCTAAGTATAATCAGCCTATTAACAGAAGTTGCTTCTTTACCCACACTGCATTCATATATCGTCAGTCTTCGTTAAGAGAGTATTCATAGACCATTGAGTTTCATTAATATAGAATAATTCCCTCTAGTTTCAGTCACTTGAATAAGTTCTAAATATTGTAAGTATGCCTGGTTTCTGCAGAATTTTAATCTTTGAAAATAAGCCATTAAATAGAACTTTAGAGGGGATAAAAGTCCTTTTATGACTTTCTTGTGTTGCTTGGCAAAAGAATCCAAAGGCTGTAATATTGCACATTCTTTGCCTTGAAATCAAGAGGCCAGAATCTAAGGTCCATGAGGCAAGGATTTTTATCCTTTGTTTACTGATAGATTCCAGGTACCTAGAACTGGGCTTGGCACATAATAGGTGTTAAATAAACCCTTCCTGAATGAAGGGAGCAGCTTATTCTCCATAGTGTAACTTACATAAGAGAAGAAATCACTTCTCTTACATAAACTGCTGTACTTGAGGACATCCTGCAGGTATAACGATGAATGCCGGAATCAATGATAGCATCCACTCTGTCCAGACGGATCTGAAAATCAGTTATTTCCCTGTAGTATACTCATGGTATTAAATCTTCAAACACTACTCAGTCAAGGTGCTACACTCCCTGAGTTCATTATTAAAATCTCCGGTTATGGCCACAGTTCTCAAACTCTGTGCAGAGCTGTCCTGTGATGACACAATGAACTAAGTCATAGGAAATCTGTAAGGTATTTTAACATTTTGAGGAAAGCCTCATAACATCTGTTGGACACCACAGGGACCATTAGCTTAAGGTAGCTCACAGTTTCAACTTAGATGCTACATTCCTTTTGATTATTTTGATTTCTGTGAAACTGGGTTTTTGGATACTGCTGTGTATGACCAGTCAATCAAATCATTCACTGAGAAACAAGAAACACAGGTGGCAAGGTCCAATTTGGTTTTAAAGTTATGCAGTACTCACCAGGCAAACACATTCATTAGTGTAGTTATTTAAGAAGGAAACAAAAATGTTATGAATTTTTTTTCAATTTATGGGTATAATTATTTCAGACCAGGCACAGTGGCTCACGCTTGTAATTCCAGAACTTCAAGAGGCTGAAATGGGTGGATCACTAAAGCCCAGGAGTTTGGAACCATCCTGGGCAACATGGCAAAACCCAGTCTCTACAAAAAATACAAAAATTAGATGGGCATGGTGGCACGCGCCTGTAGTCCCAGCCACACAGGGAGGGGCTTAGATGGGAGGATTGCTTGATCCCATAAGGTCAAGGCTACAGTGAACCATATTTGTGCCACTGCATTCTAGCCTGGGACCAGAGGAGATCCCGTCTTAGAAAAAAAAAAAAATCAGATGGCTACTAAATTATTGGGACATAAGTACTGAAGTTGTTTTGACCTAGCTATTTAATAAACTTACGTATTAGGCATTTCTTTCGTCCTAAGGGAATAGCAAAAGAAAAAGAAAAGTACAGAGACATTAAGACTGTGGTAAAATTTCAGAAACTCTAAGAGTTATGACTTCACGCATTGCTTAGCAAGAATCAATGATCTGCTAACTGGGCACTGCTAGAAACCATGACGTCCTTTCATCGTAAACCTCAAACCCCACATTTAACATGGAGTTCCAAATGGACAACGTGGGCTTCCCTGACAGGAACTGGTTGAGCCACTGGCACTCCCAATGCCCACTGCAGGTGCCGCTCTTGGAGTACTGAGCTGGAGGCACCCCCTGGATCACAGGCAGTATCCTATAGGAGCTACAGGACTGGTGCACTGACACCTGGGAACTGAAACCAGCTTTGGTTCTTTTAATTCTACCAGTCTTCCCCAGACACCTAATCCATACCCCGTGCTCAGGGTTGGGGAATGATTTACTTATCCGGCAGCATTAGCTATTCAACTAGAGAGCCAGCTTCCTGGATCATTTCTTATATCCTTATGAATATTTATAGAGAATTCAAAGATGAGGAAAGTGATCAGTGCCAGAGGCGCAGCAGAGAGAAAGTGCAGGCTAAGTTTAGAGGAAGAGAGGCAAAGAGGGTGGCCTTTTGTCCTGGGCTAGAATAGAGCTGTGACTTTAGAATGAATTTACGGAAGTTGGTGCTGTTCCATTCTGTGAGTGGAATGCCTGTGTCTATAACCGCTCTTCAGCTACCACCCCCACCCCTGAAAAAAGGGACCTCATGGTTTCTCTATTGAACCTCCATTTTGAGTTGCCTTAAGCATATATCCCTAAAAATAACATTGGTCTTAATAACCTATGGTTTGCAAGCTATGAAAATTGGCTGCGTTTTGTATTTAAATGATGAATATTAGTTATGCATATATTTTGCATGTATCACTTTGAATTTAATCTAGAAATAAAGCACTTTATCTCAACTGCCATTTGGGAACTGCTGTTCTGAGTCAGTCTATGAAATCAAAAGCAACTCTAGAATTCTTGAGATCAGATGTAAGGTAGATGGGGCTACTCTGCTCCATCATGTCAAGTCCCTCCCATCACCAAGATTGAAAGAATTCAGAGTATTAAATGTAAAAGCAAGAAGGTACCCTAGTCCCTGAGGGCTTGAAGACCACACCCCTACACCACTGCTTCTCCAATTGAGCAATGAGGCTGATGAACAAAGGAGCACTGCAAAGGAGGAAGTCAGTTTTAGGGTACATAAGACTTGCAGACAAAAGTTGGAAAATCCTTAAGCAAATTCAGTCCCTAGGGGAGCAGAAGCCTACTTAGAGCCTGAATTATTCTGCTGTGTCACCCACAATTATTAATTTAACTATGGCTTGGTCAAAAATTGCATACTTCATTATTGCCATGCAGACACAGATGGAAGGGAGCACATGAGACAAAATATGAATGATTTATTTTGAGGGATTTTTTTTAGGACAAGTGTATCATTAATAGCCAGTGAGGATGTAGCTGCTTTAAAACCTGCTGCTCCAAGTGTGCACCACCCACCAAGACCATTCAAAGCACTAGGCAGCTGATTAAAGAAGCCCATCTCAGGCCCCAACCTCGACCACAGGATAAGAATCTGCATTTTGCAAGAGGCTTGAGTGACTCATATGCAAATTAAATTAGGAAAGCACTGGATTAGGTTCCTGTCAGAATCACCTTGGGGATGTTTAGACACTCAAAGACTCCAGACCCACTTAGGCCACTGAGCTCAGAATGGCTTGGGGTGGGGCCCAGCCACGATAGATGTTAAAGCTTTGCAGGTACCTCCAATGGGCAGACAGGACTGGGAACCCTCAGACTGGAGCAACAGCGTAGGGATGGGCTTCACTTGCACCTCAGCCATACCAAATATTCATATAGTCATGTTTCATTCATTCAACTATGTTCTGGCACTGTGCCCTGCCTTAGGTATAGAGAGCCATCCATGACCTCAAGGAGCTTAAAGTCTGAAATAGACATATTTTGAACTAATTTTACAGGACTATTTTATTAAGATGTATTAATTCTACAGAAGTCTATGTACTTAAAAAAAAAATCACAGGCGAGGCACGATGGCTCACACCTGTAATCCCAGCACTTTGGGAGGCTGAGGTGGGAAGATTGCTTGAAACCAGGAGTTCAAGACCAGCCTGGACAACATAGTGAGACTGCACCCCCAGCTAATTGGGAGGCTGAGGTAGGAGGAAATCTTGAGCCCAGGAATTCAAAGCTTGAGTAAGCTATGATCACTCCACTGTACTCCAACCTGGGTAACAGAGTGAGACCCCTGTCTCAACGAAAAAAAATTGAAAATTAGCCTGGCATAGTGATGCACGTCTGTAGTCCCTGCTACTCGGGAGTCTGAGGTGAGAGATTCCTTTGACCCCAGGAAGCTGCAGTGAGCCGTGGTTGTGCCACTGCATTCCAGCTTGGGCAACAGAGTGAGTCCCTGTCTCTACAAATTAAAAAAAAGTAATAACAATTTTTAAAAATCATAAGAGCAACAGGTACAAAGAAAATAATATCATGAAATATCATTTTGAAATAAAACCAAAACCAGTTTCAAATCACAACTCTGGTGGGTTATTTTACCTACAGTGAGAATGTTTCCTAAAATAAAATGGGGCCAGTGGTTCAATTTCACAACCTTGTTGTGAGGATTAAAAGTGTCTGTTTGACAAAAGTTACTTTGCAGGCATCTTGACCACAGAGAAAACTAAGACTAGAACCCAGAGCCCCTAACTGCTGCCCTGTGTTCTTTCCTCAATCCCACATTGCTGGGCTGTGAAGAACATGAGGCGGGAAAAGTGGTTGGTAAGAGTGAGTCAGAAAAGTTAGTGCAATGGTGGTGGCATGTTCCTGTAGCTGGTCGTAAGTTTGCTGACACTCCAGCAGTCAGAGATTCCTTCAAAGCTATCTACGATGTTTTACAGAATAATAGAAAGTATATATAAGAGGCAGAGAGATGATATGAGGAAGAAAAGTATATGATGCAGGATAAAGGATGTGGAATTACTTAGCCAGAAGACGGGGCACTGAAGTACAACTTAATGACACTTGAGACACATAGAAGGTGACAGAATTTGGGCTGATGGCCAGCTGTTTCCCAAAGCTGCTGAAAAATAGCTTTGAAACACAGAAGAGAGGGAGCTTAAGGGAGCTGATCCCTGATGTGAAGCCATGCTGACTGTCCCGGGGAGGGCGGTTCTGGGAGGTTGGTAGAATTAAGGATTATTAATACCTGATGGGGGAGGGAGAGATATTGGGTAAAGCATACCAGCCAATGAGAAAGAGTTAAATAGAATCTTATTGGAAACAGAAAACATGTTGGTGATTCAAGATTCATGAACTTCTAGGTAGAAGTCATTCTATACCCTACACTCTGGATGAAACATTTTTTTTAAAGCACAATTTTTGAATATTAAATCATCAGGTTTCATCAATTGTATGGACCTCTTTCTCTCTGACTTACTTTGACTACAAATAAAACCTCCCTTTGTATCAAAAAGGATGGACTAAATGTTCATTTACCACATATACTACAGTGAATCCTTCCCTCACCTTCTCATCAGCATTCTTGATATATTAGTTTTGCTAACTGAAAATGAAAGGCCAGGCATTAAGATTTCATCTGCTCTGCAGAGTGAAATGCAAAATGAAGATGCTAATGATTAGCAGTTTCCACTAATCAGGAAATAATCACAGCAAGAATTCACGGGTAGGCCTTCAACCCATCTCCTGCTTCTCAGTTAAGTGATCTCAACAAGTGGCAAGAGAGCAGCAATCCTTCCTTCAGATGACTGAGGACCCTTAGCTTCCAAAGACTTACTGATTTCTAAGTCTTGAGGATTGCACTCAGAATGCCCAGATCATCTCTTCAGCCAGTACCACGACCGAGACAAACTGCTGCCTCCAAAAAGAGTTGCAAAAACTTCATTGCTTAGTCCTTCAATGCAACTGAGCAACAACACCACCACCACAACAAATTTAATAAAATAAAATAGGCCGGGGGGCGGTGGCTCATGCCTGTAATCCCAGCACTTTGAGAGGCCCAGACAGGTGGATCACAAGGTCAGGAGTTCAAGACCAGCCTGACCAACATGGTGAAATCCCATCTCTACTAAAAATACAAAAATTAGCTGAGTGTATTGGCATGCACCTGTAATCCCAGCTGCTCGGGAGGCTGAGGCAGGAGAATTGCTTGAACCCAGGAAGCAGAGGTTGCAGAGAACTGAGATGGCACCACTGCACTCCAGCCTGGGTGACAGGGCAAGACTCCATCTCAAAAGTAAAAATAAAAATAAAAACAAAATAAAATAAAATAAACTTTGTTGGGCCCCTTTAATCTCCCATTTGCAATTCATGGTACCTCAAGATGGCCAAAATACACTTACAAACCTTAGGTGGATTTATGATTAGAGCCATAAACTACTGAGTGCTCAACAAACAATAGAAGAAAATCACTTAGCAGGAAATCCTACACAAGAGAAACAACTTCTCTGAAGGCTGGTAAAGTGAGGAAAATATATTAAATTTCATATTTCTGTTTTCAGTAAGTGAACATGCTAGGTGTCTGTGTCATGTGACAATTTACATAGCAGAGTAACCTATCGAGAAATTAGAAATTATTTTCTTATAGGCTCACTTCATTAAAATGAGAGGAAATTTTGCATTCCATTCCAAAAACGTAGCTAGGCTCTGAAGTCTGGTTTTCCCCACCTCTGGGAGAGGATGAGCAAATGGATTTGTGTTGAGTTGTCTGAGAGGCAAAGGGATCTGAATGTCAAAGAGGAGTATGCCTGGTGTCAAGAAAGTAATTGGCTTCTTGGGGACTAGGAAAAAAGGGAGTTGTAACTGTTGATAGAGACCGGAGCAGCTTAAAAACAGTGTGTCCAAGGTGGTGGGACCTCCCTAGGAATGCCTCCCATGGGTCCTTGGTCTTCTTTTCCATGGTCTAGGTTGAAACGGAGGAGACTTGGCCCATGAAGAAAACAGATGATTAAAATACACTTCTGAGGGAGCCCCAGGGCTGGACCTCCAGCTTGTGGACGCTGAGAACACAACAGCATCCTGGGTGAGATCATCAAGTAGCCAGAGTCCACAGGTGGAGACTTCTCTGAGCCCTGTGAGTGGCACTAAAGAGGGAGAGGGAGGATACTCCAGTGAATGGCTGGGGCCGGTCTTCTCACTAACCTTCAGGGTCAGAGAACAGAAGTAATTTACATGAATTTAGAAAATATTTTAAAATGTTATGTTAATCGCACTCAAATGCCATGCAGTAATTTGCACCTATTGCATCTGATTCTTAAAGAAACCAATCTGAGCATTAAGTGAGAATTTTGAGGCTGATATTTAAAATGTATAGATATTTCAAAGAATGGGAATATAGTTTGGGACATTTACTACCCATTATTTCAGGTGTGATGCTTACTTTATGAGTGTCTTCTCAATTTCATAGACTAGACACTTTTAGGGTTCTTATCTTTAATAGATGATTCAGGAGTTGTTGCCAGAAAATCTTCTGCTTGTAGTTTTTTTTTGAATAGTAATGTGTTTTGCGTATGGATTTCAAGTCCTGACCATGTCTCCTGTTGACAGTTTCAGAGTATGCACAGGAAATTGATTATTTTATTGTTCTACTATTTTCCTTTATAAAAGTATGTCAAAGAATATTTTCTGAAACAAAGGTATAACAACATCATAAAAGATGCTGAGATCATCAACTGTCTTATACCACTATGTGATCACTTAAAAGAGAAAATCGAGTTTACGGTATTGAAAAGGATTGTGAAAATCACCTAGGCAGTAGGCTCCTTGTTAAAATCTTTAGTTTTATCCAATCACTGATCTCTTGTTTCATTAGTCATCAACTATAAAACAAAAAACACAGCAGTCTTAATCTAATCATTGCCCCAAGCTTGCTATGACCCAGCGCAGAAAAATTATGGCCAAAAGAATTCAGCTTACCTCACATTGCTAATGGATTTAAATCCTACTCGCTGTAGGATAGGCATGGACTAACAGGCATGGTTTCTCCCACCAGTGACACCAGGGAAGCATTACTGCAAGAGAAGTGTCTTTGCTGTCAGCCACTTGTATCACCTTGGGTAAATGGTTTCACCCCTCTGGGCTTCAGTTTTCTCACAAGGTATCTGAGATGGCTAAAATAACGATCACTAAGCCCCTTCCAGCTCTGCAAATCTGTGAATCTATTACTTACATTTATGAGCTTAGAAAAGCCAAAACATCAACTGGAACAAATGCACTGATCTAGAGATGATGCCTCAGAACATGCCAGCTTTCCTAATTTAAAAGAAGATGCACCACTATTAAGATCTGCTTGTTTGACAAACTATTGTTTGCATCTATTAAAGCAAGCATCTAGACAGATTATGCCACACAAACCAAATAACCTGATTCAGATGAAATAACTGCTATGGTGTATGAAATCTTATATGCAAATATGAGGTGCTGATTGAACCTAGAGTGCATGTATTATTCAAAATTTGAATTTATGTAACTTTCAAGCAGATATAGACTACCCTGATCTTTACTTATTCAACAGAGAACTTAAATAAGCAATTCTGTGTCTGGCATGGAAATTTATGTAAAAGTTCTGAAGCTCTGTCTCTCTAATTTTCAACAGGAAATAAGGAAAAAAAGAAGAGAACCAATAAGATTTTAGAAGAGGAATATACAATAAACACACTTACAATACATGCAATGAATGAGATCATTGCTTATCCGTTGCTTTTCTTACATTGTTTACTGTTCCTGCAAATAAGAAATACTTGATTTAAAGTGTATAAATATCTGTCTTTGTTGCTACCAATCCACTTAGTGAGAGCCTTGGATTTTGAAATGTTCTATTCAGTAGACCAGCAAATACCAGTAAATCACTTTGCTCCTAGGAGAAATTCAGGGTTAGGTTCCTAGGAACTTGTGGTTACAAGGTTTTGATCAATCAATATACAACCTTGATGTATGTGTGTTTCTGCTTAAATGTGTCTGATTTAATATAAATGTTTGATTCATTAACTTTAAACTCACCACCAATGGCACTGTAACTCATGTCTGAGCAAAGCTTATTTTCTCAGTAAGGTTCATCACAGCCTTATTGTACTTAGGAATATTAGATAGCACTTCAGCACTGCTCTTGGGGGCCATTTTAAATGGCAAAGTCACCAACAAAAGACACAAAATGTGCAAAACACGTGACACTAAATAGACTGCAAAAAAAAAAAAAAAGAGAGAGAGACTTGTTTACAGAATGAGAGCTGAAACAAGAAGGCAGAATGTCACCGTGTTCAACCTCAGCTGGGAATGTGCACTTGGCATGACTCACATTTTTCACAATTCCACACATGTCTGGGAATAACCCCAAAAGTGCCAGGAGAATTAATTTGGAGTTACAAATAAATCACAGTGGATTCATAAATACAGAATCCTCAAACAATGAGGATCAGTTGTGTGTATGCTTACACTTGTATGTATTTACATACAATAATATATCCATTCCACACTGAATTGTGTGGCAGACACTATAGTAAGTATTTTACTTATATCTTCTGCCTTACTATAGTAATTCTGTAATGTGTTTCCGTCACTTTACCTTTAACAAATTGAGGGCTGAACAGTTAAAACCACCTGTGAATGTTCCCATGGATATAAGCAGAATTTAAAACTGGGTCTGACTTCACAGCCTCTGTTTGTGGCCTCTGGTATTTGGTATATCACCTATTTTACAAAGAAAGGAGTTTTGTAAGATCAAGCAAGTGGACAGGGATGATACATTCCTGTTAAATTGGAAAACCACTGTTTTTTACCATCATACTTGACTAAAATTTAAATAACCAAGGTAACTAAATTTGAAAATAAAACTATAGACACTTAACTGCCTATTATTATTCTAATGTATGCTTCCAATTTTTACACATCGAACAAGTATTAATTAAATACCTACTATGTGCCCAGAGGTACAGTCATGAACAGAGGCAGTAATAACTGTGGTCCCTGCAGAGCACACCTCAGAATGGTTCTCTATCCATCCAGCCTTGTTACTGAAGACACACATAACCCTAGGGCCACTTCAAACTCTGAAGGGTCAAAAATGAAAGAAAGGTTATTGCTAAATTTGATGTCATTACCTGTCAAACTAATGATGTCTGGGAATTATATGAAAGATTGCACTCATATCCATTTTTACTGTGAATGATAGATGTGTTCATAAAAGCTTATAACTGAAACAATAACTTTAAGGGATAATGTAGCCACCAGGATAGATTAGACTCTCCTGTAATACCATACAACCGCAAAGTATCACAATAAAGGCTTATTTCTTGTTCGTGCAAAGTCTAACGCAGTTGAATGGCTCTCTTCCATCTTGTAGCCAGGTCTTAACACACAATCAATTGCAAGTCTGGGGCAGATAAAAAGCAAATGGGTGTCTGATAAGCAAAGTCTCTGCTACAGACACAGATGAATGTTCTTATTAATGCTGGATAGAACCTAACCATTCCAATTATGCATAATCTTAAAAATCACTTTGATGAATGGTGGAAAATGGAGAATAACTATAGTTTAAGGATTTTCTTCCATACATCAGATTTCCTCTCATTCATATTTTCTCCAAAAGTAAGTTTCTAAAGAGAAGAGTTAAATGATGTTTTCTTCAGGATTTTGAATGAGATCTTGCTGATATGGATTTATCATAAAAAAAAAGAGGTTGGGGGCAGGCACAGAATCAGGGCCTATGATCTTTGCCAGCTGCCAGCAGTTAACTGGAGTTTGCTCATATACCGGGTTAGTGTCCCCTCAAATTTATGTCCCCCTAGAAGCTCAGAATGTCAATGTTTTTGGAAATAGGTTTTTTGCAACTGTAACTAGTTAAGCTAAAATGAGATCATATTGGATTAAAGTGTGCCCTAAACCCAATGACTGGGGTCTTTTTTCTTGTTTTCCCTAAGACAGGGTTTCACTCTGTCACCCAGGCTGGAGTGCAGTGGTGCAACCTCAGCTCACTGCAGCATCAACCTCCCAGGCTAAATCAATCCTCCCACCTCAGCCTCCCAAGGAGCTTGGACTATAGGCATGTGCCATCATGCCTGGCTAATTTTTATTTTTTTGTAGGGAAAGGGTCTCACTACATTGCCCAGGCTGGTATCAAATTCCTGGGCTCAAGCAATCCTCCAGCCTCAGCCTCCCAGAGTGTTGGAATTACAGGTATGAGCCTGCTCTCAGTCACATCCTTTTCATCAATCTCTATCCCAGGCACCTCCCCAGCTCCTGACTGGTGCACAGCCTGGGAAGACTGCTTCCATTTTATACAGACACTCACCCTAGCACCCGTTGTGAGTTTCTGTATAAAAAACCCTTTGCCTCCTTGATGCATGTTCCTCAAGATCATCCAGTCTCTAGATCAAGAGTCAAACTTTGTATGTAAAGAACCACATAGCAAATATTTTAGGCTTTGTGACCTGGATCATCCCTGTTATAACAACTCACTTCTGCCATTGCAGCATAAAAGCAGCCACAGACAATATGTAAATGAATGAGTGTTATTCCAGCGGCTCTGCCAAGCATTTCAGAAATTCTAGTAAACATGCACCCATCTGGAGAAGGCGACTCAAGTTGCAACTCATTCTGCAGGAGACCCAGAAGATGCTTGATCAAAGGGCAGCTGGAGGGGGTGGAAAGGTAGTGATTCACAGATCCCAACTGCTCACCCTCATCAGACGAAGTAGCTGGCAGAAGCAATGAGTTGTGGTTCAATTATTCCAACACAGAAATCACCCCAGTTCAAGAGCCTGTTATTCACGGGGGTGGGGGCAGCATACCTGAGCAAAATTGTTTCTCTTACATCTTGATTCAGTTGACTGGATTTTCTGTGTTCCTTTTTTTTTCCTTTTGTTTTTATTATAGAAGCAATTTCAAGCCAGCTTGGTTAATTAGGCAGAGCGGTTCCTAGAGGAGCACAAGGCAGCCACCACGTGGAAGGTGAAGCCCTGGAGAAGCTGCTGCTGGGTGTGGCTGCAGGCAGTAAGGGAGGATGGCCATCCGGACTCCATTCAGGGAGCTGTACTTGATAATTCAGGAGGCCATAGTGTGGGTTTTCTTTTCCAGTGCCTCCTGGTCTTTCTCCTGTACTTGCAGTAACTTGAGAACAAGCCTCCACCTTATACTCTAAGGCTAGAATTCAGGTTCCTGTTTTGTTTTCTACGCGTGGTCTCCAGCCCAGCATGCTTGTATTAAATGGTGGTGTCCTGCCATGGTCTTCTCAGCCTATCCTTTCCTAGAACCCAGGACTGCAGCAGGCCTTGCTACCATCTGCCAGGCTTTCCCAACACCGGCACACTGCTGGTTCATTTGCATGCTCCCTGGGCCCAGAGCCTCCGATGCTGGTGCCATCCTCCTATCAGGCCTTCAACCCTTAACCTGGGACACCCCCACAATGCCTACTTCTGCTGTTGGGACTCAAAACAATATCTCAAAATGAAGACCTGAGCAGCAGCCTCAGAAGTGAAGTTTTTCTCTGACATTCTCCTACCCTCCTGTCTCCCAGTCCCATTCTCCCCCAAGGATAGCCTGGAAACCTGCTTCTCCAAGGCAGATCTTAGAAACCAGAACCGCCTTTTCCCCAAAGCCAGCCATAAAACCTAAAAACTATTGATCTAACTTCCCCTCACTCCCCTCACCTTTCTGTGTAAAAACTGACCATAAAGAAATTATCTGTTTGACCTTGCTGGAGAGTAGGACATGAGACCCCCTTTCCAGAGAGGGTCCTGCCCCACACCCAGAAGGAAGGAGTGCTGCTCAGAGAGGCCAAGAAGAATCTAGACAGACAGGCTTTGCTAGGTGTCCCCACTCTGTCCAACAGCATTAGATCGTTCCCTTTTTGTGCAATCATATTTCTACAAGGCTGCCCTTACTTTGTTGAAGTAACCATAAAAATGGCCAATTTCTACTGCATTTGGGTCTTCATTCTGAAGGCGCTCGTGTACACACATTGCATACATTTGCATGTCTTTTCTCCTATTGACCAAACTGCCTCATGTCTGACTACTTGCTCCCTCTAGTAGGAGGCCTTGCTTTCTCTGCTCCCTGCCAACAGCTGGGTTGACACCAACCCAAGCCAGGAGCCAGTTTAGCTTCCTAGGCCCTCTGATCTGTCTGGTGCTGCCACTTTCCAAGATCCTTTCTGCTCAAAGCAGTGACAGAGGGGAATGGATGGGAGGGCAAGCTGCAGAAGGGGGTATAAGCTGGGTGTGAAGGGGGAGCTGGCGCAAGGCAGGCCCAACCTGAGCCATAGCTTTCGGTGCACCACACCCTATTCGTTCCCTTCTTGCCTATCCAGCAACCTGGTTTCTGCAACAGGGAGGGCTGAGCTAGTCCCATGAACAGCCAAGACTAAGCCATTAAGTAAAGGCTGTACTTCGCTTTTTCCTTTTCCTTTGGAATGTATTGATGATGGCTAACAAATTACACTCGAGTTCTATTTCCCAGATCTGAGGGTGTTTGAATTCAGGAAAACAATTGGATGCTTGGTTGTCTTGAAGCTGTATTTAAATTCACAAAGAACTGGTTTTGCCATGTGGCAATTTTTTTTTTTTTTTTTTTTTTTTTTTTTTTTTTTGCAGAAAGAATAACTCTCCCATTTGCTAATTGATGTGATAAGCAAACACACACCTTCTCCTCTTCCATCATTACCTCCAAAATTTAATTTAACAGTAATATTCTGCTTCAGCAGAGAGAACAAATGGACTGGTTATTAATTCATGGAAAACAGGTAAAAATTTTCCAGTGACTGTTTTTTTGAGGTGTCTATTTTAAGAGATTTGATGGGGAGTAGGTTACAAGGTGAATATGCAACATTTAAGGGAGCAAGAATCAGGAGTTTCAATTGACTGGCTGCTTGTCAAAGGCTGAAACACAACCTGTGCCCCCAAACATACTGAGCTTGTCTCCAGATTTCATGTGTTTTGCAACCTCATCCTATGCCTGAATGTCACAGCCACCTTTACAAAAACAATGTTGTTTAGTTAAACTAAATAGAAAAATACAGTAAAATGATTCCTTGTGATTCTCTAGGTAAAAGAATACATTTTTTCTTAAGAAAAACAGTGGTAAGGATAAAAGCCAAGCATTGTTTTAGGCTCTCTCCAGTTTGCAAAATGCCATTTACAAAATAATTACACCTACAGTTTATGCATGATTCATTAGACAGCAGATAAAATGTACTGCTAAATTTTAATCGCATGGAAAGAGTAGGCACCATGAAATACGCCCCCAACTTCTCTGGATTCTAACCTGTTTGGTCACATTTCTGCCACAACATAAATCTTGTCCAAATAGTTTATCTTGATTAAATTATAACAGTGTTTTAGTTTCATGATGTGATAGACCTCTGAAGAATTTATTTTAGTTAAGCAATTAGAAGGTCAAATCATCGGTTATCAATATTTAAGGTTTTACTTGTGAAAGTTAATAGGCTTGAATCACAGGATCTCCTGCAAGATGAATCACAGGATCCCCTGCAAAGATGATGAGAATGTCATCTCAGAAAAAAAAATAAATAAATCAGTTCTTGGCACACTAAAGTACTTTTAAAGATTATAGTTTTCCTTTCTTTTCCTCCCACTCTCCCCTGCCAAGGTAAAAAAAAGGATGATGTCCTGCATTATAGACATTGGTAGGGGACCTCTCTATTACACATGACACAGCATGCATGATCCACACTAATTGCAGACGGAATCTAGAAAACAGAATAGATATCACATCTTATATAATACACAGTAGGAATGATAGACAATGCACACAGCTCTTCAGCAGATGCAAGCTGCTGCATTACTTCATCGAAAGGAACTAGGGTGATAGAATGAGCACCTGAAATGGTATTTAGGGGTCTTAGGACAGCCAGGTCTGCTGAGGTCAGCCACTCATCCCTTTAGGCTTTGAATGACGTCTACCATTAGGCTCTGGTTCTGGCAACTGCGTCTGAAGGAGGAGCATGATCTGCAAGACAGGCCAGCACTTGGTTTTCAGGGTCTCCCCACGATCACTGTTCCTGCACGTACCTGTGGTCTTTAATGGGGTCTTCTCTCCTAGCAAGAGTTTTAACCTCTTGGCGTGGATTTTGCCTTGATAATGGGAATCGGCCACCACCGCTGAAGTGAATGACATGTTGCAGAGTGTGCAGCACTTGTTCTTATCCACCATGTCGGCATCACTTCCCTGCGCAGGGAGAAAGAAAGGCCACGTGTGAGAGAAACCCATTCCATTCTTTTACAAATGAGACTTACCCAGACGAACTAGTGTATTGAAATATCTAGTTTTTGTTCTGCAAGCTGTCTCTCTCTCTTTTTGCCTTGCTTTCTACTCTCTTCTTTTTTAAAAAATTTTTTTATTATACTTTAAGTTCTGGGATACATGTGCAGAAAGTGCAGGTTTGTTACATAGGTATACATGTGCCATGGTGGTTTGCTGCACCCACCAACCTGTCATCTACATTAGGTATTTCTCCTAATGCTATCCCTCCCCTAGCCCCCCCACCCCCTGACCGGCCCCGGTGCAATCTCTTTTTCTTCATGATAATCATCATCAAAACTTACTCAGTGACTGACTTTGACATACAGTTAGTAGCTATTAATGCCAGATACTGGGATTTCAGGACAAATTTGTAGAGATGAGTTATCCAAATAAAAACGGGGCCCACAATTAAGAGAGGGCACATTGAGCCTGGCATGGTGAAGGAAAGCAGTCTCTAATTGGACCCATTATACTCATTAAAGTCTGTAAAATATCAGAGTTCAGATAGCCTGAATTATTTAGCAGAAATTATCATTTGTTATTCCGCTCTGCTTTTGACCAATTTTAGCCTCACCAGGATACATGGCCATGATGTTCAAGATTTTTAGAGATTTCTTTAAGGAATTGAGTGTTTTTCATAATTAACTCGATTCTGTATCATAAAGCTATGATGACTGTGCTGGCTGGATTTTCTGGGAGAGTTTGTGTAATTTTCCTTTTTTTCAGGAAAGGTGATTCATTAAATGCTGCACAAAATGCTTAAATCCAGCTGGATTTTTATTCCTTTGTAATACTTAATGAAAATGAATCATAATTCAGAAAAAAATAAAACCTTGGTCAGACCATGTGACCTGCTATTGTGCTCGCAGGTCATCAATTACCTATACTTATGAAGGGAAGGAGTAATCCATTGCTTCCCCTCCTGCTTAGTTAGAAATGGAGGGCAGAACAGACTTTTAAATAAGAAGTTAATCTATTCCTTAATGGTGCAGCAATAGCCGAACATCTCTTTGTTAAAGAGCAAGCTGGAATGAGTATATGGCCCCACAATGGCCGCTTCTCTTATTCCTAGTGAGCCCAGACAGTACAATTTAAAATTGGATGGTGAGGAGGATGAGGGTGGCAACTGGTTGGAGGAAGGGAATTACATATTTTATCTGCATAGTAATAAGATGTCCAGACTGCTAGAGAGAGTGTTGCCTTGCAAATTATGTGGTAGTTAGGAAATGAATTCCTTCCTCCTTAAGACATTAGTCTGTAATATCTCTGATAATTAGCATTTCATCCTTGGAAGGAAGGGGTTGTGTGTGTGTCCCAGGAGCAGGAGGCTTGCCTGAAGTTCAGGGAGAGACTTCAAACATTGGGGCTGGGATGGAGGTTGTCAGTGAGTGGAAGGGACCACTGGAGAGAGGAGGGGCTTTCCCAATAGGTCCTCTCCTGCTAGGAAATCTAGTAGCCCTGAGGCTGTGCTCATTGGCAATACTCTCGCTGAGGGTTTAAAGCCAAAGTGCTTTCAGTTTTCTCCATAGAGAAAAAAACAAAATAGTACGAATACTTTTAGTTCTGTGTGGAATACTATGGAAATGAAATGGACCTGGAGGTAAGGGGCAGGGTTGGCTTCCTGGCTCCCCTGAGCTACCTACCTCCTCAGTCAAGCCTAGGAGACAGGATGGAAGCCAGGGAGATGGCATATACCAGGATCACCAGGAAGAGGCAAATCAGGGAGTTCCTGAAGGGTTCCAGCCCATTAAATGAGGAGTAGATTATGCAAGAGGAATGAGAGACCAAACTTGGTGCCTCTTTACTACATGCTGGAGGATATATATTTGTCTCACTTTTTAAAATTTGTGTACATTTGAGGGATACAAGTGCAGTTTTGTGACACAGATATATTGCAGAACGGTGAAGTCTGGGCTATTAGCGTAACAAAGAACTAAAAATAGAACTATCATGTGATCCAGAAATCCCACTAATGGGTATCTACCCAAAGGAAAAAAAAATCATTGTGTTAAAAAGATAACTTCACTCTTATGTTTATTGCAGCACTATTCACAATAGCAAATATATTGAATCAACATAAGTGTCCATCAATAGACGATTGGATAAAGAAAATGTAAATGCACACACACACACACACACACACACCATGGAATACTACTCAGCCATAAAAAAGAATGAAATCAAGTCTTACCCTTTTTTAAAAAGGAAGATTATCAGGGTGAAAGTGAGTGTTTGAATTATACCATTTTTTTAACTACTTACGCATGACATAGGTCAAAGCGTGTAATTTTTTAAAATTAGGAACAAGTTCATAAGCCAGAGCTTAATTCTCAGTCTTAGAATCTGTGTATCTGTTCATCTGTGCATTCTCTTTAGAATCTATGCATCTGTTCCACCACTTCCAGTGAAAACTCCAGCCATGCCTGGCCTTTCTCCCTGAAGCTCTAACTGGTAGAAATGCCTAAAGAAAGTCTAGAGGCCCAGACATAGAGGCCAGCATCACCATACAAAATGACTGAGAACTAGTTTCCAGGACAAAGAGTTGCCCTTAATGAATGAAAAATGGACTTATGGTATGTATTTACCCAACACATTTTTAAGGACCTACTAATTGTGTTAGGTGCTGTGGTAGATGAATATGACTCCATGCCCTGTTATCAAGGAGGCTGGCACCAGGAGAATTGGAGAAGTAGACAGAAAATAAGGGGAAGTATTATAATCAAAGAACTAGAGTCTCATATTGGACTCACATACTCCTAATTGTAAGATTAAAAAAAAAACATTAATGTAAATCAGGACTGTGTGGGTTTTCATCTTTAAGCCTTCTTAAAGGAAATGCTGGAATGCCCTTTTGAATCACTTCGTGTCTAATTCAGTCGTACCAGAATCTGTCTTCCTGGCTCATCACTTCCTTGAGGGGAAGCTGCTGCTTTTCTTTTTTTTTTTTTTTTTTTTTTTGGCTACAGAGTCTTGTTCTGTCACTCAGGCTGGAGTGCAGTGGTGCTATCGTAGCTCATTATAGCCTGGAACTCCTTAGGTTCAAGCAATCCTTTCACCTCAACCTCCAGAGTAGCTAGGATCACAGGCACATGCCACTACACCTGGATAATACTTTTTTATTGTTTGTAGAGAGAGAATGTCTACAACCTGTTTTCCGGGCTGGCCTCGAACTCCTAGGCTCAAGCAATGCTCTTGCTTTGGCCTCCCAAAGTGCTGGGATTGTAGGAGTGAGCCACTGTACCAGCCTGAAACTCCTTCTGGCTCCCTCTACTGTCTGGGAGAAGTGAGAACCAGCCTTTGGGTCTCCTGGGTGCCTTGTACATTCTTCTTCTACAGAACATGGAATTATTGCACTTACTTGTTTTCATATTTGTCTGCCTCATGAGATGGCAAAACTTCTTTAAGGTCTAGGAAACTGTCTCATTGATAGTGAGGAGCCAGCACCTAGCACCACATTTACCACACTGGAGGACCTTCAAGTGTGTACTGAATGAGTGGAGCAGAGGGTTCATTTGTGGGATTAGTAACTTGTATGACATAAAAGTCAAAAGAGGAGGCAGGTAACACAGGGAGGTCTATGGCAACCCACCATTTTTCCAACTGACAGAAAGATGGCCAGGTAAAGAACCAGAGGTGACAACAATTTATAAACCAACTTGAGGGTTCAGTAGGGAAATATGTTAGTTTCACAATGGTAGTTTTAATATATATTCCTAGATTTCTGCTCTCCTGAGCAATCTCATTATCATATAGAAAAATTAAAAATAATAGAAGAGGAAAACCAATTCTTATACAATAATGTATCATGGGATATAGGTATGCCATAGTTGTAAAAGAGGGACCAGGCAATTTTAGGTACCTGACAATAGAGGGGCTGTGAGGCCCTGAAAAGTTAGGCAGCCTTTCATGCCAACAGTACACACTTAGTGAGATACTTTACAAAAGGGGCCAGTTATTCACATAGTGCAATTCTAACTGCCACTAACACTAACTGCTCTAATGACGCTGGTGGATACACAACTATGCAGAATTTTTTTTTTTTTTTTTTTTTTTTTTTTTGAGATGGAGTCTCACTCTGCCTCCCAGGCTGGAGTGCAGTGTCACGATCTCGGCTCACTGCAACCTCCACCTCCTGGGTTCCAGTGATTCTCCCATCTCAGCCTCCTGAGTAGCTGGGATTACAGGTGCACACCCTATGCCTGGCTAATTTTTTGTATTTTTAGTAGAGATGGGGTTTCACCATGTTGGCCAAGCTAGTCTCGAACTCCTGACCTGAAGTGATCTGTCCACCTTGGCCTCCCAAAGTGCTGGGATTACAGGCATCAGCCACCACTGCCCAGCCCACTATGCAGAGTTTTAACTGCATATTCTTAGCCACCAAAATCCCAAATTAATGGCTCTTTGCAACTCTAGATTATATCATCTGCTATGGTTTGAATATGTTGGAAACTTAATCCCCAATGCAACAGTGTTGAGAGATGGGACCTTTAAGAAGGCTGAGCCCCCATGAATGGATTAATGCTGTTATGGAGAGAGGGGGTTTGTTATCAAGAGAGTGGGATTGCTGTAAAAGCAAGTTCAACCCTCACTTGCTTTCGGTCACCGTGTGATGCCCTCCACCATGTTATGACACAGCAAGAAAATCCTCACCAGATCCAACCCCTCAATCTTGGACTTCCCAGCTTCTAGAACCATGAGCTGAATACATTTATGTTCATTATGAATTACTCAGGCTGTGGTGTTCTGTTACAGTAGCACAAAAAGAATTAGGACATCACTTTCATTAGAGTATCTTGCTGCATCCAGAGCAAGGTTGATATATAGCCCGGGGTAGAAACTCCATACAGTTTGATTAATTGACCTCAATGAATATATTTAAAGTTTCTGGCTTAAAGATTATCTTTAAAATATGAGTTTCAAACTGGAGGCAAAAATTCAGTCAGACTGTTTAAATGCAACGTCCACATTGCTGAAAGAAATAAAAAGAATGTTTGTGGAGTAACCTAAGGCTGCTCAGTCAAAGCATTTTGCAAAGTTAAAAAGTTTTCAGAAGAATTCAATCAGGATGGAAAACCTCACTGACTGGCTAGAAATTTAATCCCCAAACACCTTTCCCTTTTGTTATAAAGATTTCTTTAATTTAATTCAGATGATTGTCCTCATTCTCTTTTGCTTTAGGTGAAGGTAGAAAGCCTAAGAGAGAGGCATGCACTTTCAGAATGGCAGAGTGAGGAGTTCGGTGAAACTCCTTATGGAGAAAACACACGAGTTAGCTAAGCTTCACTCAGGCATGCGTCATAGTGCTGCTGGCCTTGAGTTCAATGTGAAGCAATCACTACTACTTACATCCAGAAGGAGAGAGAGAAAATTCACTGGTCTGTATGTGAGACCACTCCAGAAAATGCTAAAGAAACACGCATAGAGAGTAATGGAGCGATGGAAAACAGTTGTCTAAATTTGTGAATTCCAGAGATAACAATCGATTAAAAAGCATAGTGGATAGCAGTGTTGTGAGGCTAAAAAGCAAAGAAATTTACTATATATATATATATTCAATAAGGTGTCTCTAAACAGAAACACACACAAAACAAGGTTACATATGGATGGATTGACAAAAATATTGTGACCAGAGGTCTCCCAGACCTAATCCTGAATTTTACTTAGAAGCAGTGGCTCAGCATTTGCTAATTCAGTGTTGATGACAACTTTATAGAACATAGCTACTGTGGAAAATGAGAACTGAATGTATTTCATTCAAGAGAAATAAAAATATATGTCCACATAAAAATTTTTACATGAGTTTTTATAGCCACATCATTCATAATAGCCCAAAGTGGAAACAGCCCAAATGTCTGCCAACTGCAGAGGGAGTAAATAAAATGTGGTATGTCCATACAATGGCATGGTATTTGCAACCAAAAGATTAAAGAACTGATACAGGCTACTGTATGGATGAATCTTGAAAACATTATGCTAAATAAAAGAAGCCAATCCATCACAAAAGACCACATAATGTATGACTCTGTTTATGTGATATTTCCAGAATAAGAAAATCTATAAATACAGAGAGTGAATTAGTGATTGTCTAGGAATCAGAGGGCAGTGGGGGAGCAGGGAGGAGGGAGATGGGAGGGGAAATGAGGAGTGATTGCTAATGGGTAAAGAGTTTCCAAGGTTACTGTAGATCTGGCAGTCACACGGCTCTGTGAATATACCTAAAACCCTTGAATTTTATACTTTAAAAATAGGTGAGTTTTGTGACATATGAATTGTATCTCAATATTCTGTTCTAGAGGAAAAGTCTAAAAGATTCATTTAAATGATTTCAAAAGCCCAAAGATATGTTGAAATTTGAAGCTTAAGGTGTTGTTTTTTCTCTTTTCCAGGCATCCTCTTCTTGTAGGTGAAACTCTTTCAGGAAGCGAATCATAATGAGGAGTATTTTGTTCATGATGGCTCCCATGTAGTATATGGAATTTCTTTGAGCACTGGCTAGACATTCTAAAATCCTGATCACTGGTGTTGATTTTGGCAAGACATTCTGTGGCTATAATGAAACTCCACTTGCAGCTGCTACTAAGCTATACCTGAAGGCAACAGTCATCTGATACCTTCTGCTAGACGCAGAAATAACTGCACCTCTCAGCACATACCCTGTAGTAAGATAGAATGTCCAATAAACGCCACTATTTCCAGTGTTATGCATGTTGCTCCTTATATTCTGGTACTTAACTTTGGAGAAAAGCAGAATGCAGAAAATGATGTCTCTTCTCTCCCACTTTACTGGGATCAGAAGGCCTGGAAGTCACATTTCCTGATTGACTACAGGGTCCTGGGTAACGTTATCTCCCACTGTTCTCTCTCATGCATCCCTTTCCACTCCATTTGGGTCAAGCTGTTCTCTCTCCTCCTGACCTGTTTAAGTCACATCCAGATATTAAGGTCCATTTTCTCCAAGAGTTATTTCAAGACGTCTGCAAATTTCATCCACATCTTCCTTCCTGACCTCTCCCAGTCCTTAACATCCTTGCCATACATTTTGATTTGGTCCTGCCCTTTAATTGCTTTATTAGCATTTTGTTTTTGTTTTAGAATTGTCTTTCTAAAAACATCTTAAAGGCAGGAAATTTATAAGAACTTTAGAAGTTATCCTCCCATCATAGCCAGTGCCTGACACAGGTCTGGATTTATAAAACAGACTTGATAAACATGAACTAAATAGTTGAACGACTTGACATGGCCATTCATTAACCATTTCTAATTTGGTCACTTAACTCTGTTTTCCACCTAATGTACTATCTCCCTCGTTTTCTTACCAATATGACTGCTTTGTCTTAGGAAAAGGCCAATTGGCATAAAGTGGCATCATACTCTGTACTGAAATGGATATAACTGCAATGACATGTTATTGTGTGAGTTTGTCCACATACAAAGGATGTGTCCTATGGCTAGAAGGTGGGTGATGTTCAGAGTCCCATGGGGAAGCTGTAGTGTCTACAGGAAGGATGGCATGAACTAGACAGATATATGCCCTGCTGTTTGGATACAAACTACACACTCTGTGGATGAAAACTCCCAATTTCCATAGTATTGGGGGAAATGGTAATTTTTGACAATAAAGGAAAGACAGAATGAAGATTTCTACTGAAGAGAGTTGAAGAATTTTGTTTGCCTTTGGAATTTGGATGGCTTTAGCTTGTTTTTTCAGTCATTGAAGAAATATTTAAACAGATGGTCACATTAGTTGCAAGACCCCAAAAGGGAGAAATTAGCCAGAGTTCCTGAGAGAGGACAACTATGTAAGTTAGATAAGCCCCACTAACCAAGAGAAGTGGCTAAGAAAATGCTGCAAATGAATAGAGGGGCCCGAGAGAGCAAAGGTGGGATGAGAGGCAGGTGGGAAGATCACAGCACTTATTTCACAGTCTAGAATTAGATGACTTAGATATTTAAATGTGCTTATTTACTATCTGTCTCTGACCACTATTCAATATTGTACACTCAGTATCTAGAGCAGCATCGTCCAATAGAAATACAGTACAAGCTGTAAATGAGGCCACATTTAAATATTCTAAATGACATATCTTTGAAAAAATGAACCACAAAATTAATTTCAAAAAACATTTTTTCAAATTTATTTTTTAATTGACAGATAAAATTCTATGCATTTGAAGCATATATACATTGTGGAATGGTTAAATCTAGTTAATTAACATATGTATTGCCTCACATAGCAATAATTTTTGTGGCAAGAGCACTTAACACCAACTGTCTTGGCATTTTTCAATAATATAATCTATTATCATTAGCTATAGTCACCATGCTGTACAATAGCTCTCTTAAACTTATTTCTTCTTTCCTTTCAGGAAGTATTCAACATAAAAATTATTAATGAGGTATTTTATATTCTTTTTCTCATACTAACACTTCCAAATCAAGTGTATATTTCACACTGATAGCACATCTCAATTCAGACTATCTGCATTTCAAGTGTTCAATAGCACTTTTGAGTGAGTGGCTACTGCATTAGACCATGTAGCTCCAGAACTGAGTATTTACTTATTTATTTATTTATTTATTATTGGTTGTTTTTTCTTTTGAGACAGAGTCTCGCTCTGTCACCCAGGCAACAGTGATGCGATCTCAGCTCACTGCGAACTCAGCCTCCCAGATTCAAGCGATTCTCCTGCCTCAGACTCCTGAGTAGCTGGGACTACAGAAATGTACCACCATGTCCAACTAATTTTTTGTATTTGTTTAGTAGAGACGGGGTTTCACCGTGTTAGACAGGATGGTCTCAATCTCCTGACCCCGTGATCCACCCACCTCAGCCTCCCAAAGTGCTGGGATTACAGGCGTGAGCCACTGCGCCCAGCCAGAACTAATTATTAAATATCAGTTGAACTTAAAAATGAATGAATAAATGAGGTGTCAGTGGATAAATACATAAATAAATTCCCAATTTTAACAGATCAAGAAAATGAAGCTCAGAGGGTTTAAATAAATTCTTCAATATGTCATCTTTTCAGAAAGTGGTGGGACTGATTTTTGAATTTTTGGCCGAATTCATGGACACACTGGCATCTTAGGTCAGTCTTCTTGTCAAAAACTCTCAACCACACTTTACTACCCCAAAATAAATTCCTTATCATGACATTTAAATTCCGCTAACATCTAACACTCAATACACTTTTCTAGTCTTTTCCTCCACGGGTGCTTTTCAGACATAATATGCTCCAAGCAAATTGATTTTTTTCAAGGTTAGGAACACCAAGCAGCCTGCCAAGAAAATGGCTCAGAATCCCAGCACTAAAATCCTCTGCTCCTCATCTCCCGGCTGCCTGTTTTTGTTGGATGCTGCAGGTAAGTGAAGATTCAGTCCCACTGAAAGGTTTCACTTTCGAATCAGGTGGGGAGCACACCTCTCCCCCACTAGACTAAGCTCCTTCCCTATCTATCTTTCTATCTCTGCCCTGGCACATAGTAACTTAAAAACTCATTGAATGATGAGTGTATGAAGAAAAACTAAACAGTTGATTCAACTCTCGCTCTCCTCCAGCTACGTTAAGGATATGTCTACCTGTCTTTGTTCACATGGTTCACTCCAACTAGAAATGCCCCGTCTCTCTATATGCAAGGGCCACTCAGATGCAGTCTCCTTCATTAGGCTTCCCCGGGACATCCCACCACAAAGACAGCTGATGCTTCCTCACTCCCACAGAACTTCCTTCAGGCCTGCCCCCCCACCCCCCCACCCCCATCTGACAGCACTAAGCATATATCTTATTGTCTCTCATTGAAACTCAATTATTTGGGCTGAAAAGGTGTCATCTCTAACCCCCAGCACAGTGTTTTATGTAATGTGGTACTAAAAAATAGAATATTAAGTTTAAAAGAGCAGATTCAGATTCAAAAGATACTTGATGAAGCTTTGGCTGTAAGTGTATTGGATATCACTTATAATTATTAAACATGAAATTCCTCCTCTGTCACATGGGGAGTAAAACCTACCCTATCTGCCTATTCATAAAAAGATAAAAGAATGCATTGTATGGAAACACACTTTGTAATCCAGAAAATACTATTCAAACATATTTGTATGTAAGTCAAATATCTTTGTGTGTGAGTATGTATATGTGTGTGTATACATACATATAAGTATATGTGTGTATATAAAGTATGTGTATGTATGTCTGTGTGTATATACATGTAATCAAATGGTTTAAAAGAATAGATACATATTATCTCATTTCATTTACTTCATGAAATTGACTTATATTTGATGTTTTTTCACTTATTTAGTGGTGTATATGTTCAATACCATTCTTTTCCTATTATATGTCTTGAGGGTAGAAACTCTGTTTTGTTCATAGCTATATCCTTGGTGTCTATAATAGGACCTGCCATAGACCATTTAATAAATATCTATCGATTGATGAAAACTACGTACATACAAAATAAAATGAGAGTTCTCAGAAAATGTTGGCAGCAGTGGTATCGTTTTTTTAAAATCTCTCTAAATTCCCAAATAAAAATAGAACTAGAAAGGCAAATAAAAAACTCACAGATAATATTTATTACAAAACTAGGTGACATGGTTGTTCTCATGAACCTCAAAAATAAGTGAATGGAAATAAACCAGTAATAGCACAAAATCTGCATGCTATCAGCATCTGTGCAGGGAAATAGAGTGAGGCAATGAGAGCTCTGCTGGACCTGGAGCCAGAGGAACCCTCAATAGCAGCAGGTATTCACAGAAAGCCTGGCAGCCCTGTGTGAGAACAGCAGCTGGCATCAGGAGCGCATGTCCCATCCCCACAGCAGATTATAAGAGAGGTCTGTGGAGAGCCTGGAGGGGCAGACACAGCCTAGACCTGCAAATTTTCTGTACAACCCACCAGAACTTTTTTCAGACCACAGCTTCATACTGAGGAGAAACTGCTGAGAGTAGAATTAAAACTGAGGACAAAAACAATGGAGACAAAGCAAAGGTTCAGACAAATGTGGGGGAGAGTGGAGCTAATACACTTCCGTAAACAAACCATTCTGTTCTTAAACACTATGCTACACTACACACACACACATACACACTCTTTCTCTCTCTCTCTCTCTCTCTCTCTCTCTCTCTCTCTCTCAAAGAAGCTCTGTTAAGTTAGGAAAGCAATCTTGATTTTTTTTTTTTTTTTTGAGAGTGAGTCTTGCTCTGTCACCCATGCTGCAGGGCAGTGAGTGGCGCAATCTCAGCTCACTGCAACCTCCGCCACCCAGGTTCAAGTGATTCTTCTGCATCAGCCTCCCGAGTAGCCGGAATCACAGGTGCGCACCACCGCGACAGCTAATTTTTGTATTTTTAGTAGAGATGGGCTTTCACCATGTTGGCCAGGCTAGTCTCGAGCCCTCAACCTCAGGTAATCCACCCACCTCGGCCTCCCAAAGTGCTGGGATTACAGGCATAATCCCAGCAAACAAACCAAAACAAAACAAACTATAAATTGAGAAAACTCTCCTACAATTAAAATTAAAGGAAGTATAAGCAGTCATCCTTCAGTATCCATGGGGAATTGGTTCCAGGACCCCCTACAGTTGTCAAAGTCTGCAAATGCTCAAGTCCTTGAAAGAAAATGTCAGCGTTTGCATATAACCTACATGCATCCTCCTGTAGACTTTAAATCATCCCTGCATTACTTATAGTACCTAAGAGAATATAAATGCTATGCTAATAGTTATACTGTATCTTTTATTTGTATTATTTTTATTGTTGTATTTTTTTTATTGTTGTATTATTTTTATTTCATTTTATCAAATATTTTTGACCTGCAGTTGGTTGAATCCATGAATGTGGAGCCCATGAATATGGAGGGCCAACTGTATTGAAAGAGCCTCATGTATACCCCTAAATGTCAACCCAAAACAATCAACACAAAAAAATTTTTCAGTAAAATTACTAAACCGTATAGAAAGATATTTTTAAATTACCTGAGCCTTTAAGAAAAAGATGGAAGGAAAACAAAATTAGATTATCATCAGACATTTCAACTGCAATGTTTTACTTCAAAAACAAATGATGTAACATATTTTAGACTTGCAAAATAATGTGTGACAAATTTTGTATATCCAGCAAAGCTGACATATAAGTATAAAGGACCCAGTGAGAAAACAGGCCAGAACTCAGGGAAGCTTGTTCTCATGAGCTGTCTCTGATGTGCCTACTAGAATGTAAGATTGATTTTAATAACCAAAATGACTATGGAGACATTGATATAAGAATTGGTGGTAGTTGAGCCGGGCGTGGTGGCTCATGCCTGTAATCCCAGGACTCTGGGAGGCTGAGGCTGGTAGATCACGAGGTCCGGAGTTTGAGACCAGTCTGGCCAACATAGTGAAACTCTGTCTCTACTAAAAATAAAAAAAATTAGCCGGGTGTGGTGGTGCTCGCCTGTAATCTCAGCTACTGGGAAGGCTGAGGCAGGAGAATCTCGTGAACCCCGGAGGTGGAGGTGGCAGTGAGCCGAGATCGTGCCATTGCACTCCAGCCTGGGCAACAGTCTGAGACCCAGTCTCAAAAAAAAAAAAAAAAAGAAACAACTGGTGGTAGTCTGAGATATATACATATAGATATATAAATAGATATAATTAAGATAAATAGAACCAATGGGGATAAAGTACAGTGTATAATGGCTGTGAACTCAGATACCATAGATACAGCATATTTAAAGATGGGGAGACACTGGGGAGAATATGTGCTGCAATAAAGAGATTTAATTTCTCAGTTAATTATACTGGTGCTGTAGCATCAATATTGTTATTCACGGGATATGCACAATATTATTGGATAAAGTATATCAATAATTATGGGATATTCTAATTCATCGTTTCCTGCGTCTTTGTGAACCAACATACTCAGTGTAGAAAAAGAGTGAGCAGATGGCATACAGGCGAGTATCAAACCCTGTAATTGTGATTTGAATTGGAAGTGTTAGTATAAACCCTTGAGATATCATATAAACATATATGTTTCTTAATTCTAACCAGTGAAGAGGGCTTAAAAACAATGACAAACTCTACAAAATTTCCCTAGCACTCAAAAACCCTAGCAATCTTGAAGTGCCATTGCCACAAAAAGAAACCCAGCCTTTTGTGGGGGGAAAAAAAAAAAGACTAATTCTAAGAAGTGTGCCACATGATCCTGGAATATCTTGCCATGCTAGACAACAAGAAAGCTAGGAATGACTACTACAGTCATGACACAAGGACTCAAAGGCAACCTTGAAGCAAATGAGACAATTGGATCTTTAAAAAGATCAAGACTTTTCTTTTTTTTTTGAGACACAGTCTCACTCTGCCTCCAGGCTGGAGTGCAGTGGCGCGATCTCGGCTCACTGCAACCTCCACCTCCCGGGTTCAAGCGATTCTCCTGCCTCAGCCTCCTGAGTAGCTGGGACTACAGGCACGTGCCACCACACCCAGATAAATTTTTTTTTGTATTTTTAGTAGAGACGGGGTTTCACCATGTTGGCTAGGATGGTCTCGATCTCTTGACCTCGTGATCCACCCAGTTTGGCCTCCCAAAGTACTGGGATTACAGGCATGAGCCACCGTGTGCGGCCAAGATTTTTCAAATAGCTCCAAATACATGAATTCATAGTAATATTTCCTAAAAACCTGTTTGTTCACCTTTGTAGAATGATAGGGAACCAGTTCTTTAATTAGACACTGATAAAAGAAAAGAATGAAGTATTTTTTTCTGCTTTTCCTAAAAGCACAGAGTATCAAACAATAAATGAGGAAAATCACTTGTTATAAAATTATTCCAATTAATCAATGAAAAAAATAGAAGAAAACAGCTTTGCAACCTCCAATGAATTAATGGATCTAGGCATTGGGCATCAACAGCTGCTAACATCACAAAAAGAGAGACAATCAGATATCATCTGCCTCTTAATGAAAGAACTCAACACCATTTATAGTCTTGCCAAATGTATCAACCCCAAATCCAATCAAGTCTCTGAAACCATCTGCCAATTTTCAGAGGACGGAAAGGACAGAGGAAAGTGTTGAATGGGGATCACAAGTACACAATCAGCAAAACCTATACTTTAGAAAACTCTTTAGGTCAAATGCCCCCAGGTTCTTTTATAGGTAAATGGTAAAGAATAAAAGATGAAAAAGAAACCTGCAGACTAAAATAGATGTAAAAAGTATGTCAAGATTTTAAAAATTGGGCAAGATTAAACTATGCTCATTAGAGGGGTACATTAGTGATAAAATTTTACAAAAACTCAAGAAAGTGATTCTGGAAAAGTCAGGATAGTGGTTACTTCTGTGGAAAAGAGAGAGTCAACCTTGGTAGGAGACAATGGGAAAAGCTTCTGGAATGATTGGCAAAGATCTATTTCACAACCTGGGTAGTGGTTATAATAGTGTTTACTTTAGGACTCATTAAGGGATACATCTGTTTTCTAAATTTTGTATGTGGGTTTTATTTTCTAATAAAAGGTTTATAAAAGATGAATTCCAGTTTAAAATGTACCTGGTTAGCAGCCCTAGATGTCTCCCTAACTATAACTTTTAAATATTGACGAAGATAGAAAAGGATGAAGCACACACTAAAAATTAATTTGATAGACCACCTGATGCCAGAATCTAAAGTGAATTTCTACCTGCTGTAAGGCATAAGGAGTTCAATTGAGATAAGCCATAAAACTCAAATCATAATAGGATTTCTCTCATAAGGCAGTCTTGAGAATTAAATGAGTTTGTATGTGGAAAGTACTTAGAATGGTGCCTAACCTAGAGAGCAAAAACTATATTTAAGAATAAGCTACTGTTTTTATTAAAAACCAACCAACCCAGAGTTGTGTCCCATAAAAGAGAAACCTCTGAAACAAAGATAAGACATGGAGGATATCTCCACTGTGTCCCCCAGACTCAGATTTGTACTAACAAAATCGCTGACCTGTTATCCTGTACCATGGGCTTCTGTTGTTTCCATTCTTTCTTTAGCACATGCTATCACATCAATAAATAAAACACACATTGTTTCGCCATCTTTCTACATCCATTCTGTGACATCCATGCCTACTTAGCAGTCAGGGTGGGGAAGGCAGTTAGTACATTGCATGCTGGTGAATGCAGCTCCCCACCTTACCCACAAACAGACAGGCTACATGGGCAGACAGGGAAGCTCCAATAGCGCCATATCCTGAAATCATGGTTTTCACAGAAGGCCCTGTCTCCTAATGTTGGGAAACCAGGTAGCAAGGAGCAGGAAAAGATGGCACCTGGAGGAACAGAGCTTTGCTAGCTGAAGAACTTCCAGAAATTGGGCATTGCCCCAGAAGCAGTGCATATCAAATCACATCTCATAATGGCACTAAAGAAAGGGACTAAAGAATTTGCTAATTGAATTAGCCAACAGCAATAATGTCTTCCCATATGTATTTGCAAAACTGATGCAAGTTTGAACACTGGAGGTTGGAACAAAATGATTCTGAATTTCTTCTTCAAGAAAAATACGGATACTAAATAATTAAGATAATTTTGAAAATCAAAAATGAGAAGTGGTTGTAGTCTGAAATGTGAAAAACATATTATAAAACTCTAATAATTTTTAAAGTGGGTTTCTGCTACAGAAAGGCACAAGTTAATAAAACAGTCAGAGCCAAAACAACAAAATAACACATTCAAATTAGTATGTAATAAAGGAAATGTCAAGTCAGGGAGGAAAAGGACATTATTCAATAAATGGAATTGAAGGACTGAATAACAATTTGGGGAAAATAATGAAACCATAAAGTCACTAGGAGAAATAAATAGAAATACTCATACAGTCTTAGGATGAGTTAAACTTTTTAAGCCTTACATTGAAAACAGTTCAAAACATAAAATATATGCATATCCTATTTCATATAAATGTTCTGTATATCAAGAAATAACACGAAGCCAAGATCAAGGTAAGGTAATGGTAGAAAAAAAAAACAACATGAAGGTATTTAAAAGCAAATGGCAAAAAAATATTAACCATACATATTTTTAAATGCTTAGCTATATAAAGAACACTTGCAAAGCGTTAAAAGAAAGCTAGTTAACACCCCACCAGTTAAGCAAACAACATAAACTAAAAATGGATAAAAAGAAATATACATATCCAGGCCAGGCGCAGTGGCTCTTGTCCCTAATCCCAGCACTTTGGGAGGCGGAGGCAGGTAGATCACTTGCAGTCAGGAGTTCGAGACCAGCCTGACCAACATGGTGAAACCCGGCGTCTACTAAAAACACAAAAATTAGCCTGGTGTGGTGGCAGGTCCCTGTAATCCCAGCTACTTGAGAGGCTGAGGCAGGAGAATCACTTGAACCCAGGAGGTGGAGGTTGCAGTGAGCCAAGATCCCACCACTGCACTCCAGCCTGGGCAACAAAAGGGAGACTCCATCTCAAAAACAAAACCAAAAAAAAAAAAAAAAAAGAAAAAGAAAAAGAAAAAAAGAAAAGAAAAGAAATATACATATCCAATTTTAAAAAATATAAAAAAGATCAATTTTACCAGTGACCTAAGGAACATAAAATTATTTAATGAGTTACCATTTTTTACTCATAAAAATTGGAATATTTTTGAAAAATAATGTCTTATTGTCAAAGGTGCAAAGAAATCAGCATTAGAAATCTCTGCTTAGAGAAACAGTCTTTTGGATAGTGATTTGAGAATGTGGATCAAACACCTTAAAGGTACACTCTTCTTGACCCAGAAAGTTAATTTCTGGAAATTTATTCTAGGAAAATTATCAGGATTTGAGCAAATACATACAAGGTTGATTGCTAAGGTGCCGATTATAACAGCAAAATAAGCAGAAACTTACAATACTGAAGTTAATAGAGGATAATATTTGAACAAACTGTTGTGTATTCATTATTAAATTCATGTTTAATTAACTGTGGTATAGTCATATATTGATACATTAGGAAAAAGCTATTATTGGAAACAGCTATTAAAAATCATGATATAGAAAAATATGCCATGGAATATGGAATATAATTTATGATGTATTGTTGAGCTCATTCATTTGACATCTTAAAGCAGCTTTTTATGGGGTGTCAACCCTCCACCAGGCACTGTCCTGGGGACAGTGCAGAATGCAATCCATTGATGCCTTTTGTCATGGAGTTTATATTCTAGCTGGAGAAGCTGACCATAGTTGACAAGTAAGTAAAATGTAGAATACATATTATGTTAGTTAGTCATGCTTTCTAAGGAGGAAAGAAATGAAATAAGTTTACAGGAAGAAGTGTGTGAAATAGTCCGGGGGCAGTGGCTCACGCCTGTAATCCCAGCACTTTGGGAGGCCAAGGCTGGCGGATCATGAGGTCAGGATATTGAGACCATCCTGGCCAACATGGTGAAATCCCATCTCTACTAAAAATACAAAAATTAGCCAGGCGTGGTGGCACGCACCTGCAATCCCAGCTACTTGGGAGGCTGAGGGAGGAGAATGGCTTGAACTCAGGAGTCGGAGGTTGCAGTGAGCCGAGATCGCTCCACTGCACTCCAGCCTGGCGACAGAGGGAGACTCTGTCTCAAAAAAAAAAAAAAAAAGTGTGTGAAATGTTAAAGGGGTCCAAGAAGACCTCGCTATGGAAGGGACTTTTGAATAAAGGCCAGAAAGAAGTGAGGAACTGGGGAACAGCATTCGAAGTAGAAGGAACAGTGAGTAGAGAGGCCTTGAGCATGAGGTGAGCAGCATGTGCACAGATTAGCAAAGGAAACCAGCCAAACGAGAGGAGAGGGAGTAAGAGGCGATGAGCTCAGGCAGTGATGGGGAAATGATAACTACCAAACAGAGCCTTATAGCTGATTATAAAGACATAGCTGGTACCCAGAGTGAGAGGCAAAGCCATAAAGAGGCAACAACAGCCATGATCTACATAGTACCCAGAAAGATTTGCACATGTGTGAAAGAGCAAGAGTAGAAACAAAACCTGAAAGGCAAGCCTCTAAATATTAAAAAGGTGATATATATATACATCTGATTATGCAAAATTATTTTTTTCTTTGTCCTTTATGAATTGTCTAAACATTCCACAGTAGGTGATACTTTTTTACTTTTAAAAAAGAAATCAAATTTTGAAAAATAATTATTTAGAGTAAGTAAACCCCTCATCCCACAATTTTATAGGGTTAACAGATGAAAGGGGAGAGAGAGTGTGTGCTTTACGAGATAAGATCTCCTTTCGCTCTTTGGAAGGAAGCCCAGACATGCATGGGGCAGATCTACAGAGATGTCTCTAGTTGGCACTGCCACCAGCGTGGCCCACCTCACTAATCTGGGTCCCTTCGTTCAGCAGGTTCCCCTGTGGGTCCATTTACATGCCATGTGGACTTCCAAACAACCTGCAACCCTGACAACAGCCAGGCCCTCCAAGTCATGGAGAAAAACTGCTAAGGCATCAACACGAATGTTTTCTGCCCAAGCCTATAAGCGCCTGTGGTTTTATAACTTTATCACCCCAAGTGCTACCTCAGGTCCTCAGTTCTGTAGAGAAGCCAATCAGAGACAGACACTTGTCCTCCAATTTCCACTGCTATCTTTATCACTCAGCACAGAGGAAAAGAAAAGGATCAGACCTAAAGAAAAGATATAACTTTAATGGAGGGCTTTATAGGGGAAAAGATTTCAAATCTCAACTGTATTCATGATACGCAGAAAAGAAAGTCTGGATTCTCAAAATGTGGTACCCGGATTTGCAGCATCAGTGTCACCTGAGAGCTTGCTGGACATGCAAATGCCCAGGGCCCCTCGCCAGACCTGCTGCATCAGAAATATGGGGAGGGGATCAAGCCCTCGGAGAGAGTCAGCCCCATGCTAAAGAATGCCACAAATCCACTACAGGAGGTGTTTCCTTGGACCCTTCCTCCCTTTACTTAAGAGAGAGTCAGTTTGGGCCAGGCACAGTGGCTCATGCCTGTAATCCCAGCAATTTGGGAGGCCGAGGCAGGCAGATCACCTGAGGTCAGGAGTATGAGATCAGCCTGGCCAAGATGGCGAAACCCCATCTCTACTAAAAATACAAAAATTAGCTGGGTGTGGTGGTGCATGCCTGTAATTCCAGCTACTTGGGAGGCTGAGGCAGGAGAATCGCTTGAACCTGGGAGGTGGAGGTTGTGGTGAACTGAGATCGTGCCACTGCACACCAGCCTGGGCGACAGAACGAGACTGTCTCAAAAATAAATAAAAATAAATAAGAGAGAGTCAGTTTGATTAGGGTCCAAATGTCTCGCCCTCTAGCAGGAGATCTTCATTACTACTCTGTGCTCCACGGAGGTTTCTAAAAGCAAGTCTCCTTGAGATATCAACAAAGACCTAGGCCTTTTTACTTTGTTAGCTGGTCAGACTGAGCTGGAGCTTTGTCATTAGCAGTTTCTCCAGGAAGCCCATGGGTATCACGTGGACCTGCCTTTTCTCCTCCTGTTCCCTGGACGCTAGCATACCTATCATTGTGAAACTGTGTCACTGGAAAGTTAATCTCTCTGGATATAAAACTCTGTCCTCCTATGAAAAGTTCTGAGCACTTGATTTTAACAAGGAGAAGAGCTGAAACATGTTGTATCTCGTCTATAATCCTGTAATTTTATCTTTGATTGCTCAGTAATACCATCTTTTCCCAGTAGGGTGAAGTCATCCTTTTGCTTATCAAACCTTGCACACAATGAAGGTCCTTAAGTCCCAATTTGAAGGACCCAGATGGAAAGTATTCTGAGATTTCCACTCACCATTTAATAAGTAGTTGGTCTCTGATACAGATTGTACAAAAAGGTCAAAACAAATCACATATTTATTAGCTTTTCTGTGTTAGTTCCATCAAGAAATATCTTCTAATATAAAATACTCAAAATAAAGCATTCAGGCAGGGTACAGTGGCTCACGCCTGTAATCCCAGCACTTTGGGAGGTCCAGGCAGGAGGATTGCTTGAGGCCAGGAGTTTGAGACCAGCCTTGGCAACACAGTGATACTCCATCTCTACAAAATAAGAATAAAAAATAACTAGCCAGGTGTGGTGGTGCATGCCTCTAGTCCCAGCTACTGGGTAGGCTGAGGCAAGAGGATCCCTTGAGCCCAGGAGTTCAAGGCTGCTGTGAGCTGTAATTATACCACTGCACTCCAGCCTGGGTGACAGAGCAAGACTCTGTCTCTAAAAAGCAAACAAAAAAATTAATTTAAAATCATAAATAAATAAAAACAAAATAAAGCATTCAGTAAAAATGTATATTTCTTGAAAAAATACATAAACTTAAAACTTCAAAGAATCTGTCAATAGGAACCTACTTTACTAAAGTTATGGTGACTCTGGATGGTGTTTCTTTTTATTTTTAATAAATTTTTAATTATGAATAATTTTAAATTTGCAGAAAGTACAGTAAGTTCCCACATACTGTTGTTCTCTGTTTCCCCTCCTGTTAACATCTTACATAACTGTGATACATTCATCAAAACTGAGAAATTAACTTTGATAGCTTACTATTAACAAAACTCCAGACTTTATACAGATTTCACTAGTTTTTCCACTCATGTTCTTTTTCTGTTTCAGGATCCAATCCAGGATACCACACTGCATTTAGCATTTTGTTTTTCAGTTCTCTTTTACTTCTTCCTGCCAACTTCTGGATTAGAACCTCGTATAGATAGCCACTTATAAATAGCTGTTAATTAACCAACACAGCATCCTGCACTTCATAACTGGTAGCAATTCTGCCCAAAAATAAAGCAATCCACAGGGCAGTGACCAGTCTGCGTCAGCAGTGTCACCAGCCTGCCATGGAGGTTAGGCTAGCTCTACTCAGACCCCAGCATCCTCTTAGGTAGGCCTGGGTTAGAGGAGGAAATCTGCTTTGGGCCCAAATGAACTGGACAATCTAGCCAAGCTTACTGATCCCATCCTTGAAGATAGAAGTAAGCCAGTTTGTTCTGTGGGAAACTCCTTATAACAATACTTGCAGGATGACTGGAGTGTCAAATGATTTAGGAAACTGCAATTATGATTTTTTTTTAAATTTCCAGTTTATTCAAAGGCAACAGTAGAAAGAAAGTCTGGGCAAAGGTGGAGGAAAAACATAAATCACCCATGACCCTTGGGTAGGATTCTCTGGAGAACAGCTACTGCACAATTACCTGCTCACCCAGCCTCCTTCTTCTTTCCCTCATCCAGTTCGTCTCCATGACAGTGACAGAGACACACACAGAGAGAAAAGCAAGCAAAAAAATTTGTAGCACAAAGTAAAATGTGCAAACAGCCCATCTAAACCATAGTTCTCATGCCTGCTCTATAGATAAGAGTTCTGGGGGCACAAGATAATGACTTCCAAAGTGGAAGCAATTATCTCTCATACTCTTGTGGATTCAAGTTCCAATTTCTGATGACATTCTTCCTCTAAATTTCTGACATATATACACTTTCCAAGGTTCCCCTGTGGCACTGACCTGGAATCCCAGGAATCCTTAGAAATGAGAGGAAACTAAATGATCAAGTCCAATTCTTGGAGGCAACTTCAAAATACTGCTCACTCAGATGAGAACCGGATGGGGCCTAGAAATCAGCCTGAGGGCTCCCTTTAAATGCATTACCCCAAACTGATGTTTTCTTCTCTCTCTTTTGGTAATTAAGAAGTTGACATATGAGTTGTTAAGACTTTGAGGCCAGGTGTGATGACTCATACCTGTAACCCCAGCACTTTGGGAGGCTGAGACGGCGAATTATGAGGTCAGGAGTTCAAGACCAGCCTGGCCAACATAGTAAAACCCTGTCTCTACTAAAAATACACAAAAAAATTACCCAGGCGTGGTGGCAGGTGCCTGTAGTCCCAGCTACTTGGGGGCTGAGGCAAGATAATTGCTTGAACCTTGGGGTCGGAGGTTGCAGTGAGCTGAGATCGTGCCATCCAACCTGGGTGTCACGCAAGATTCTGTCTCAAAACATAAATAAATAAATGAATAAATAAATAAATAAAATACTTTAATGAAGGTAAATTAGAGAAAGCAGGGAGAAATATTCAGCAACAGTGACTGACAGGCAGCGAGTTCGTGGAGAAGGCACTCAAGGCCCTTTTTTTGTTTTTTGTTTTTTGTTTTTTTTGAGACGGAGTCACCCAGGCTGGAGTGCAGTGGTGCAATCTCAACTCACTGCAACCTCCGCCTCCTGGGTTCAAGTGATTCTCGTGCCTCAGGCTACAGAGTAGCAGGGACTACAGGTGTCCACCACCACACCCTGCTAATTTTTGTATTTTTTAGTAGAGATGAGGTTTTGCCATGTTGGACAGGCTGGTCTTGAACTCCTGATCTCAGGTGATCTGCCCCCCCTCAGCCTCCCAAAGTGCTGGGATTACAGGCATGAGCCACCATGCCCAGCCCATTCAAAGCCTTTTAATGTGCTTGCTCTCCCTGGAGGCAAAGGGCACAGACCCCACACTCCTCAGCAGCCCATGCTTCTCCAAGGTGAGTCCTGTCTGGATGTTAAGATCTGTAGACAATTCCACCATGCCCTCTGCAGTAGGACCCAGTGACCATCTACTTCTCTGCCTCCCATGAACCTAGGTCAACAATGGACTTGCCTCTCCCTAATTGCAAAGTAATAATGAATGTCTGCAGCTGAACATTCTTATCAACTTTTGGGGCATGTTATTTAGTCTCAGAAATTTGTTTGAAAACATCAACATGGTCATGATTCATGATCTAAATAAAAGCAATTCCATTCAGGTGATTGTTGTCACTATTGATCTTATTAACCAGCACTATTATTGAGTATGAATGTAAAGGGTGTTAGCAGACCATTCAGAGTAGGTGTTCCCAACTTAATAAAATCTACACTTGGTTTTCTAGGACTCTTTATTGTGGCTCTGGATGAATGCAGGTATTAGTCTGTGGTCAGAAGGACTTGCATTATCCCCTCCTCCTTGCTGTAATCATCCATCTGACTTACAGGACAAGGCAGACAGGAAGTGTGGCATCAATGCCCAGCTAGATCACAGGCCAGATAAAATATCAGCATGCCTGGGTAGAATCTTTTTTTTTTTTTTTTTTTTTTGAGATGGAGTCTTGCTCTGTCACCCAGGCTGGAGTGCAGTGGCATGATTTTGGCTCACTGCAACCTCTGCCTTCTGGATTCAAGCAATTCTCCTGCCTCAGCCTCCCAAGTAGCTAAGATTACAGGTACCCACACCATGATCAGCTAATTTTTGTATTTCTCTAGAGACTGGGTTTCACCATGTTAGCCAGGCTGGTCTTGAACTCCTGACCTCAAGTAATCCGCCCACCTCAGCCTCCCAAAATGCTGGGATTACAGGCATGAGCCACCATGCCCAGCCCGATAGACTCTTTTAGAAGCCCTGTTTCCTTTTAGCACAATCTGAGTAAGGTGGGAGGGAGGGAAGGGGGGGAAATAGAGGCTCAGAGGCAGAGTAGTCAATGTCATGAGAAAGCTATTTTTTGTTTGTTTGTTTATTTGTGTTTTGTTTGTTTGTTTGTTTTTTATTATACTTTAAGTTTTAGGGTACATGTGCACATTGTGCAGGTTAGTTACATATGTATACATGTGCCATGCTGGTGCACTGCACCCACTAACTCGTCATCTAGCATTAGGTATATCTCCCAATGCTATCCCTCCCCCCTCCCCCCACCCCACCACAGTCCCTAGAGTGTGATATTCCCCTTCCTGTGTCCATGTGATCTCATTGTTCAATTCCCACCTATGAGTGAGAATATGGAGTGTTTGGTTTTTTGTTCTTGCGATAGTTTACTGAGAATGATGATTTCCAATTTCATCCATGTCCCTACAAAGGACATGAACTCATCATTTTTTATGGCTGCATAGTATTCCATGGTGTATATGTGCCACATTTTCTTAATCCAGTCTATCATTGTTGGACATTTGGGTTGGTTCCAAGTCTTTGCTATTGTGAATAATGCCTCAATAAACATACGTGTGCATGTGTCTTTATAGCAGCATGATTTATAGTCATTTGGGTATATACCCAGTAATGGGATGGCTGGGTCAAATGGTATTTCTAGTTCTAGATGCCTGAGGAATCGCCACACTGATTTCCACAATGGTTGAACTAGTTTACAGTCCCACCAACAGTGTAAAAGTGTTCCTATTTCTCCACATCCTCTCCAGCACCTGTTGTTTCCTGACTTTTTAATGATCGCCATTCTAACTGGTGTGAGATGGTATCTCATAGTGGTTTTGATTTGCATTTCCCTGATGGCCAGTGATGATGAGCATTTTTTCATGTGTTTTTTGGCTGCATAAATGTCTTCTTTTGAGAAGTGTCTGTTCATGTCCTTCGCCCACTTTTTGATGGGGTTGTTTGTTTTTTTCTTGTAAATTTGTTTGAGTTCATTGTAGATTCTGGATATACAACTATCTGATCTTTGACAAACCTGAGAAAAACAAGCAATGGGGAAAGGATTCCCTATTTAATAAATTGTGCTGGGAAAACTGGCTAGCCATATGTAGGAAGCTGAAACTGGATCCCTTCCTTACACCTTATACAAAAATCAATTCAAGATAGATTAAAGATTTAAATGTTAGACCTAAAACCATAAAAACCCTAGAAGAAAACCTAGGCATTGCCATTCAGGACATAGGCATGGGCAAGGACTTCATGTCTAAAACACCAAAAGCAATGGCAACAAAAGCCAAAATTGACAAATGGGATCTAATTAAACTAAAGAGCTTCTGCACAGCAAAAGAAACTACCATCAGAGTGAACAGGCAACCTACAAAATGGGAGAAAATTTTCGCAACCTACTCATCTGACAAAGGGCTATTTTTAAGCTTTAAGGTGACACTGAGGGTGGAGGTTTCCTACACCTTATATAGCTTTGTCTTAAAGCCAGGCCATGCGACTGTAATTTAGAGCTATTAGCCAGAAGCATCTTAGTAGGGAGGGAATTTGTATTTATAACCAGATAAGTACTGTATACAATTGGATCACACACATCTTAAAGCCACTTCCCCAGCTTTATTATGCTTGTAATGATTTTTTTGTAGACTCTCTGCATTTCTTTACAAAGAGCCCTAAGTGTGTCCTTAAGTAAATTGCCATCAAATATGATAAAGTCACATTCACATTACTCTCAAAAAGCCTAATATTCCTGCTCTTTTTTCTTTGATGCATAAAAATAAAACTATCTAATGAAATCCCAAAGGAAAAAGCTGCACATACACCACCAACAAACACCCTCCCTGCTCACAGTCAGGAGGAGGAACCTGCGGGGATTGTAGCAGGCTGCACGAAGCACCTCCAGAATGGTTTGACTCTACCGGGAGAAGGAGACAGAGGTGGAATCAGACACCGGGTGATAAGTGCTCACATACATCTCCACCTGTGAGCGTCCACATGCATACTCAGAAGTTAGTCCTCAACATCACCAACATACAAATTCTCAACACAAGAATGGCTCATGTACAAGAAAAGGTTTTCCAAAGCATGTGAGGCCCCTACCCACTGGGACCATGCCATTTCTTCCCACCCCATTGTAACTGGAATTGCATCTTCACTTGGGGAGAAGACAGGGATGTGAAAATGTCTTCTCAATGCAGCAACAGAGGTGTCACTTGTTTTAAAAGTGAGAAACTAACCAGTGCTTAGAACTGTAACCCCCAGAGCATTGCCTATGAATACCAAGGACCTAGAAATCTCCTCAGGCAGGGAAGAAAGGGATAGGAGAATGAGTATCTACATTTAGAGCCCAAAATATACCTTCTAATAGAAATCATGCTCTAAAGATTGGGTAGGACTGGGCACGGTGGCTCACGCCTGTAATCCCAACACTTTGGGAGGCCAAGGTGGGCAGATCACCTGAGGTCAGGAGTTTGACACCAGCCTGGCCTACATGGTGAAACCCCGTCTCTACCAAAAATACAAAAATTAGCTCGGCATGGTGGCAGGCACCTGTAATCCCAGCTGCTGGGGAAGCTGAGGCAGGAGAATCGCTTAAACCCCAGAAACAGAGGTTGCAGTGAGCTGAGATTGCACCACTGCACTCCAGCCTGGGTGACACAGCAAGATTCCATCTCAAAAAAAAAAAAAAAAAAAAAAAGATTGGGTATTAATTAAATTAAAAGAAAGCCAAAAGTTTAATTCTCTAAATTAATTCTAAATTAATGAGGATTGGTGGAATCTAACCAGATTTAGGAATCTAACCAGATTTTATATTATTCCTGTGGGGTAAAACTGTTTCATACTCTAGGTAACATATTTATAAATCAACCATTGGAACACAATACATTTGTCCTTTGGTGACTAATGAGGAGGGCCAGGGGATAGATTTTTGCCCTTTGTCTTGGAGAAAGGTGCTGCTGGTGGAGAGGGGGACTGTGTCCCCTGCCCCTGTGTGGGTAGTGAGAGCCAGCAGAGAGCTGCCACTTCCTGAAAATGCCACATGTGAAAATGCACCCTGGTTCCACCCTCCTGAGTCCCTATGTGCAAAATTGCTTCCCCAAGTCTTCCTGGTACACATCCCTTCACTTGCTCCCAGCCAAGGCTCTTCCCCAAAGATCCAGATAAGCAACTCTGCTTAGTTTATGTGAGGTTTTTTTTTTCTTTTCTTGTCCTTTGGGCTTGTTCTTCCCACTGCACTTAGATTTCTCTGCACAAAAGACGTTCCCCAGTGTTCTCATTGTTTTCAGTTCTCTGTCCAGCAAAGCAGCCCTGGGATAAGAACCACAAGAAAAGGGGTAGGTAGACCTCATTCTGGGACTTTACTTGGTAATAAAATCCAAAATTGGATGGGGAAAAAGGGATGGCAACACCATTGGAAAAGCCAGATGTGGTCTCTATGGTGGACCAAAGTCACATAGGAAGTCCAGATGTGAAATCATTCTCTAAGCTGTCAGATTTGGAGCTTATTGGCTTTCGGTTCAGTAGTGTGTTCTGACAGCCTTGCAAAGAACGTTTGACTTTGTTTCAACCTGTTTTATAAATAAGTACATCATTGGACAATGTCTGAAGATGACATCTAGCTTTTCAGTGGTCTGACTCATACTTACAGATATGTATTGATCATCTACTATATGCCAGGCATTGAGGAGACAATGATGAATAATTCCAATCTTCAGAAGTTTGCAGTGAAAGAAGGAGAATGACACATCACTGGGTCAGTCAACCTCAATGCACTGTGATGGGATCTACAGTAGACAAGGGGAAGCACAGAAGAGACAATAACTTTCCCTAAGAGCACTGGGGCCTTCACAGAGGAAGAAGCATTTGAACTGAGTCTTGAAGGATGCATAGGACTTGGCCAAGCCTATGTGAGATGTGGAGATGAGAAAGGAGATGGCATCATCTGGAAAAGGGAAAGAAATGCAGAGCAGGAGATGAAGTGGATAGGGAGGCAGGATCCAGGCCAAAAGAAGGTTCCAGACCTAGCTGGGATGATACCTTTAGCTCCCCACACTCACTGCAGAATATTTTTACTAACTGAAGGATTGGAACTCAGCATTATACTTCTTGTTTAACCTGTCTATATTTTCCATTAATAGTGCTAAAATTATGACTCCTTTTCCATCACTACATGACTTGCAAGTAAACCACTTTGCTATGGAACGCCTGCCTACTTAGTTGCAAACTGCGGGAAGTGCCATCAGGAGGGAAGTCATCAAAAATTCCTAGGCATTAGAGTTGTGCTTCCTGAGACACCTGTAAGTGTGTTTATTCCTGCTAAGTCATCTGGCATCAACTTAAAAGCATAGGTTTTTCAATTAATTGTAAAGTGGCAGTCAGGCTGTGGGGAGTGACTGGATGAAAGAGTTAGAGGGATTCAGGTCTCCTCCATTCCCCAAAAGGCAGAAAGGACCTAATTAGAAACAAAGCTAATGTAACGTCTTTCCTGAGGGGCCTTCCTCAGGGGGGATATCTTTTGTTCTATTTTCATTTTTGTATGTATTAGTATTAATCAGAGTCCACTAAAGTCCTGGATAAAAATGTCTCGAGATGGCATGTATTCATGTGAAGCATGTATACTTCTGTTTGGAATGGGCTTCAAAGCCCAATGTTGCTTGAAAACAAAATGCTTAGTCTAAGATGCATGTGCTTTGCGGATCCTCTGCAGCTGTCACAGAGGAATCAAGTGATTCGCTGGGATGCTTTCACTCTGGGGCTTATGTACACTAAATATCTCCTTTAAAGTCATGATTTCCAGGAGGCTGAGGCAGGAGAATCGCTTGAACCTGGGGGGCAGAGGTTGCAATGAGCCAAGATCGTGCCACTGCACTCCAGCCTGGTGTCAGAGTGAGACTCTGCCTCAAAAAAAAGAAAAAAAGAAAAAACAATCATGATTTCATGTCAGCCTACTTTCAGAGACAGCATTGCATTTAAAGAAACAGGGGAATGAGAAGTAAGAGATGGGCTTTGTAAAACTGATAATAGTATTCTAAAGATGTGCTGTGCACATTTGCATAATTTTTATCATCGGACCAGCTAAGCCAGGATGCTCCAATTTCCATTCTGCTTTTCCTATCTTACTTATTTCTCAACAGATACTCATCACTGGCATTTTCCTAAATCAATCATACCTGATTTCCATTACCCCTTGTTGTTTTTGACAGAGGTTTATTAGATCTCAGAGTATGCTGGCTAAATATGACAGGCTGGCACTTTCAGAATTAAAGACTTTTCCATTTCCCTAATTAGAACAGCATCCTTGCACAGACTGCCCAGATGCACCTGCCTTTATGCAAACTCTGAAGTCGGAACATGTTGCCTTTTATTTGGTCAAAGATATTTTGTGTTAAAACAGACAGATCAGAGTAAACCTGGTTCAAATGCATTTTTCTCATTCATTTGGTGGCATCAAGATCGTGGGCTTTTCTAGACAAATAGTTTCAGAGGAGTGTAGCCAAACATTGGTTATTCAGTAACTGATTAAGTAGAATGTCTATGATGTAAATCTCTTGTTCTCAATTTTCTCTCTCCTGACTTTTGGCCTTTCTGCCGCCTTACTGCAAAATGGTTATTCTACCAGAGGGCAGATAATGCAAGAAAAAGGAGGGAAAGTGGAGCCAGGTAAGTAATCTCATAGCTGTTCCGTGTCCCCATCAACCTAGATTAGCTATAGTTGGACTGAATGTAATTTAGGTCAGAAGTCAGCAAACCACACAACCCAAACCATAGTCAGCAAACCCACAACACAAACCTAGCCCACTGCCTGCTTTTTGTGAAAATAGTTTTATTGGCACACAGCCATGCTCACTCACTTATGTAGTCTCAGTGGCTGCTTTTGTACTATAACAGCAGAGTTGAGGAGTGGCAACAGAAACAATATGGCCGGCAGAGTCTAAAATACTTACTTTCTGGCTCTTCACAGAAGAACTTTGCCAACTCTCTTGGGGGCTTGGGCTAATGCGTTCCGCTTCTTAGAGCATAGTTTGACTAAGGTAAAGGTCTCACATCCTCTAGTTCATAAGCCTGGATTTCATACTGGCCACACACAGGAACATTGTAAATGTTAAAACCACCCTAAGTCATCGGAGAGGTACAAGAAGATATTTCGGAAGGATACTTTCAAGTACAAGTACAAGAAAACCCTAAACCAACTGGCTTGAGGAAATTATTTTCTCATACAACAAAGGGAGAGGGAATTTAGCTCTGGAGTCCTTTTAGTTAGTGGTTTGGAGGTCTAATAAACACTCAGGTTCTTTTTTATCTCTTTGGCTGCTATCTTTGGCCTGCCTGGTTTGTGCTTCTGCCTAACTCTCCATATAGTCCTGTGATGGCTGCCAGAGTTCTCGTCATCTCAGGCAGATACAACAGTGTCCACAAGCAACAGAACAATCATATTCCCTCGTGTCTATTTCTAAGGTTGAGGAAAATCATTCCTGGAACTTCCACTCCCCACCTCAGTTGGCTTCTGCATTTCAGTAGCCAGAATAGCACCACCGATCCATGGATTAAACCAATGACTGACAAGGAGGCAAAGGCCACAGCTTAATCCAACCACGATGCCACCCGTGGTGCTAAGTGGATGTATTTCTCCCGTGAAGCTTATAGATTAGCTGAAATGAGTGGATACTTGAACAAAATTGGAGATCTGCCAGAAGGAAAAAGGAGAAGAGGGTGGATATTGAGTAGGCAGCCAAGAATGTCTACTACAGAGTGGCATGAATCCCATTTCCTTATCAGAAGAATAATTCAAAAGGTGTGTCCAATTAGAGATGAACAAGTTATAATCCATGTATAAAGTATAGAACTTTTATATACAGTAGAGAACACCTTCTATTTTAGACATGAAATAATTTTATGAACTATCACTATGAACATTTTATCTCTCTCGATCTTAAGAGGTTAAGACAAGATAAAAATCCCTTCAAGGTCTGAGATACAAAAACCATTATTAATTCAAAACCTAAAATAAAGGAATGTTAAGTATTTGAATAACATTTTATTTATTTTTTATAAGCTGAATTTTTATGCAAAGAATATGAGCTAGCCTTTAAAAAATAATGAAATACCAAAAGCAAAAATAGGTAGTTATGGGATTAGTGCTAGGAAATAAAGATAGAAAAATATTAAAGACAAGGGGAGCATGCAGAAACGCAAATCATATGTTCCTGGAGAGTTAAGAGCTGCCTAAGAATTACTCTCTGTGATTTGAAACAAGAAGGGAAACACACGAAATTATAAAACTGACAATGTCCTTAAGATAAAATTACAATAATGGTTTAGAGGAAGCATAGCTTTGCTTGATATTAAAACTTAAGATAAATTTCACTCACATTTCCTCATAAATATTATTCTTAGCATCAAGGATTTAAAGTCTGGTATATTAGTTAAAGTGATGCTAACCACTGAAACAAACAAACTCTAATACTTCCGTACCTTAACACAGTATAAATTTTTTTCTTGTTCATGTAACATCCTGTGCTGGTGGCAAAAATGTTTCCATCTTGTGGGTCCATACTGCATTCAGCTATAGCAGTTTCCCAACCTGAGCATCACTGGTATTTCAGAACATGTGATGCTTTGTTGTGGAGGGCCATTGTGTGCCATTGTAGGATGCTGAGAAGCATCACTGACCACTACTAACTAAACACCAGAAGCACAACAATCAAAAATGCCTCCTACTGCTGCCAAATGTCTCCTGGGAGACAAAATTGCCTCTGGTTGAGAACCACTGAGTTGGAGGATGGGGAAAGAGAGAGTCAGGAAGGCACATCTGGTTTCATTAAAATGTAATTTACACATGCACACACAAATGCTTGGATCTTAAGTGCTGAGTTCAATGAGTTTTGACAACTGTTACACCTGTGTAATAACCATTCAGAACAAGACGCCAACCATTTTTTTTTCTACCTAGAATGTTGTCTAGTGCTCATGTGTAGTCAACCCGCCATTCCCCGCAGGCAACCACTTCCTGATTTTTCTCACCATAGACTAGTTTTGTCTATTACTGGACTTCATACGAATCGAATTATACAGTATGGTCTCTTTTGTGTTTGGCTTCTAGCACACAATGTTTTGAAACTTATCCATGTTTTGCCAGAATCAGTAGTTCTTTCCTTCCCATTGAGGAACAGTATTCTAATGCATGAATACATCATGAATTTGTTTCTTTGTTCAACCGTTTTACATTTTCTTTTTAAACAGTTTGACCTAAAAGCGATGCATTTCACTTCTGTTCACATTCCACTGGTAAGAACTAGTATCATGACCCATCTAATTGTAAGGAGGGCTAGGACATGATGTCTTTAGTAGGGAAGACACTTGTCAGCAACAATTCTGTACTCTAGGAGGTACGGTACAAATCTTTTGGAGGACAGTTAATTATCTCTGTCATATCAAGTATCCAAATGGGAGGTCTGTGTATTGTGCTGACCTTTAAGCTAGAAGAGCTAAGTAAAACTGTGGGGGTATTCATGCTACATATATAGTACATTTTGAAATCCAGTCTAAAGCATTATTATTCATTTACACATTTTACTGTTAACCATGTTAAACAGCAAAGCAACATCATATTTCAAGTAGTTATACACATGTTCTAAGTAGATACTAAATAATCAACCAATATCCAAAGCAACAAATAATTTTTAGTTAATGCATATTAGTGCTTTCTTTGTATACTTCTTTCTTTCTTTCTTTTTTTTTTTTTTTTGAGAAGGAGTCTCGCTCTGTCACCAGGCTGGAGTGCAGTGGCACAATCTTGGCCCACTACAACCTCCACCTCCCGGGTTCAAGTAAATGATTCTCCTGCCTCAGCCTCCTGAGTAACTGAGACTACAGGCACGTGCCACCACACCCAGCTAATCTTTGTATTTTGAGGAGAGATGGAGTTTCACCACGTTGGCAAGGATGGTCTCAATCTCTTGACCTTGTGATCCGCCTGCCTTGGCCTCCCAAAGTGCTGGGATTACAGGCCCGCTTGAGCATATATTTCTTTCTTGAAGCCTCAGTATTTAAAAAAACAAAATTATTTGGCATTGATTAAAACATGGTTGATCAGGCATAAACAATATATTTGAGTAACCATAATTATGTTTAAAATCTGCAGACCTGTGATTCACAGAAGGCTTCACTTGAATTTCATATGTGAGTACATTATGTTTTAATCTAAACTAAAAAGAAAACAGATAATCCATAATAATAGAAATGTAAATGAAACATTTATCACAATTATCCATGAATGGAAGCCCATAGTCATGAATTCATGAGTATTTTTACAGTAAAATTTTTCCCAGTCCCTTTAAATGTTGGCACCCTAAAAACACATTGTGAAAACAGTCATCTTTCCTGCTTCAATAATGCTGAAAGATGAAAGAGACCAGCATTCTTTGCTTTACTTTTACTAATGATTTCACATATATGAGAACATGATAAAAATACATAACAGGAAAACTGTGATTGAAGATGAATTGATTTAAATCTATCCCTCATTTGGAAATATGAGCATGTCTGTTGGGATTCCAACATACAAAAATAGAAATGTTATTTATAAATGTGCATGAATGTGCCATCCTATGATGATCCTTTTTTATTTGCCCAATCTAACACATTCACAATACTTTATTCCTCTAAAATACTTAATTTGTACTCATTCTATGTTCTGTGTATGCAGGTTCTTAAGGTGTTCCCAACCCATGTTGCCCCAAAGGATTCAGATCTAAGTGTGTGTCTGAGTGGGATTGACATAGCCTGGTGGGGATTTCAGAAGGCTCTAAGGAAACCCCAGGGAAACAACTCCCCTCAAAGAAGGGCAAACAAATCTGGCTCAAAGAAAAAGAGCCCAAGAAAGGATTCTGGGAAGATCATGGGAGTAGGAAATTCCTGGAATCTGTTTCCCCATCAAGAAAGCAGTCACACTTATGGACTCTATCTAATGTAACTGTTTTGGAACTCTGGAGTCCATTGAAGGCTTGCAACTTCCAAGAGAAGGCTTGAACAGTAAACTGCAGTGAATTTCAGTCAATTTCAGCTCCTTGCACAGTAGCAGCTACTCATCTCCCAGCCACAGCCCCATAGCAGGATACTGTGTATGGGTTCCTGGAGCAACCTACACAGATTTGCAGGAGCCAGGGTGGGCAAAAAGAACCCTGGCCTTCAAATATCAAGGATCTGCACCCTAATCACTGATCACTGCTTCTGATCACAGAGGTGCAAAGAGCTGGGGGGACACTATTGTTGCACCTCCCCATTTGTTGCAAGCCCCACTTCCCCTGGTTGGAGGGCGTTCCAGGGGATTTATAGGACTGGTACCCATTCCCTTCCCCTGTATTTTTCTTTTTTGGGAGCCAGCCAGGAAAGACTGGAACATTCCAAAGTAACTGCATATGGGCGGGGGAGGGGGGAATTAGAAAATGACTGCACATGCCCAGTAAAAGGCACAGGCTCAGAAAAGACCTGAGAAGACTTTAAATTCATACTTCAGGTTGATCCTTGGCACAGAGACAGCCTACAATGATCAGACAGAGAGAGAGAGAAACAGACAAAAACAATAACAAGAAACAGCAAACCTAAGGGAAGAAGAAGAATCATTTCCAGAGTTACTACCTTATTAGACTCAAATTATCAACAAAAAGGAAAAAAGTCACAAGACATACAAAGAAACAGAGAAGTACATTCCATTCAAAGGAAAAACAGTAAATCAGTAAATCAGCAGAAACTGCCCCTGAAGAGCACCTGATGGCAAATCTATGAGACAAACACTTGAAAACAGCTGTCGTAAAGCTGATCAAAGACTACAGGGAAGACACGGAAAAAGTCAAGAAAATGATTTATGAATAAAGTCGAAATAAGAATTAGAGATATTCGCACACACACGTTCACAGCAGCTTGACTCACAACAGCTAACAGGTGGAAGCAATTCAGTGTCCATGGATGGATGATTGGATAAACAAAATGTGATGTATACATATAATGGAATAGTATCTAGCCTTTAAAAAGAAGGAATTTCTGACAAATGCTGAAACATGGATGAAACTTGTGGACATTATGCTAAGTGAAACAAGTCACTCATGAAAAGGCAAATACTGTGCGATTCCACTTACATGAGGTACCTACGGGAGTCAGAGACAGGAAGTAGAATGGTGATTGCCAGGGGCTGGGAGGAGGGGAATCAGGGAGGTATTGTTTAATGGGTATAGAGTTTCATTTTTATCAGATGGAGAGAGTTCTAGAGACAGACAGTGATGATGTTTGCACAACACTGTGAATGTATTTAATACCAATGAACTGTATGCTTAAAATGCCTAAGACGGTAAATTTTATGTATACATGTTTTACCCCAATTTTTAAAAATTGGGAAAAAAAGAAAAAAAGACAAAGGGACCTTAGAAGAGTGCCTACAACGGGAAGGTCAGACCCTGCAGCAGGTACTGGCAGGCAGTCAGCTCCAGCAAGAAAGAGATGTCAGCCTAGGCACACACTTGGCACCAGACAGAGCTGGAGCCAGCACAATGAGGTGCCAGGGCCTGCAGCCTTAGGAACCCAAGTAGAAAAGAGGCATCTGGCATCTGTACAGTTGGGCAGCAGTGAGCAGGGCCCAAGCCATTGGGCTGGATTCATATCCAGGACTCTTCTCCCTGGTAGGAACAGGCACCTGCTCCAGAGTGGCAGCTAAATTACCAAGATGCCACAGGGGCAGAGGAGGAAGGACAGTCTATAGCTATCCAAAATATCCACAGGTCCATGAGGGCAGGATAAGCCTTGGAGCAAGCATGACTGATACTGGTGTCCAACGTTATGGGGTAGGCCTTCATCATCTCTTCCCAAAAAGGCCCTGAGGCCTGGATGCCCCAGTGGCCTCAACTGTGGGAAGAAGAAAAAGGCAGACACTGGGAACCAGGGACATCTGGCAGACCTGGGCTGAGCAAGACCTCCTTTTTTTTTTTTTTTTTTTTTTTTTTTTGAGTTGGGGGTTTAGCACTGTTGCTCAGGCTGGAATGCAGTGGCATGATCATAGCTTACTGCATCTTCGAACTCCTGGGCTCAAGCGACCCTCTCACCTCACCCTGCCAAGTAGCTGGGTTGACAGGCACAGGCCACCACACCAAGCTAATTTTTAATTTTCATTATCTTAGAGGTCTTGCTATGTTGCCCAGGCTGGTCTTGAAATCCTGGCCTCAAGCAATCCTGCCTCCTGAGTAGCTGGGCTTACAAGCAAAACCCAACATGTTTGGCTGACCTCCATACTTTTAACTTAAAAATCTGAGCACAGTTAAAGGGAGCTGACATCCTTTTTTAAGAGCCCTGAATTCATCTTTGCAAGCAGACAATTATCGCAGGGGGTTCAGTGACTAGAACAGACCCATTCTTGGTCTTTCATTAAGTTTGTCATTGTCTTTGCAAAAATCAAAAATCTGGTATATTTCATTTCCAAGCTTAAAATGCCTTGAAACTCTATTATGTTCTACATTTTAAAAAGTCAGAGAGAGGGTAACTGCATCTAATTTGCAATGCATGCCTAGTCACAATGTTAACTCACAGGACTTGTGTTAATATTATTATATACTTCAAAGTGAATCTTGTGTATTCTACAGAATTAACTAGAGTTGTTTGGGGGCCTGTTAACAAGTTGCTGAAATGCAGAAGCTTTTGGATTTGTTGAGCAGTCATAGCCTATTACAAGTTGTGTCAAGACAATTTCAGGGACAGGCCAACGAGAATCGCTGTTCTTGGTGGAGCCTTAGGCACTGCTTTCAGATTTCATTAAGAATGACATATGCAGGGATTTCAGATAACTATTATAGGTGGGATCCAGTTTAAGAAATACTGGTTGTGAAAGGCAGCCTTAGAACAGGTCTAAATTAGCAGGAATGAAGAGTTTTCTATTACTCAACAACTCTCGTTCATTCATTCAACAAATGTTTCCTGAGCCTTGCCATGAATCCCCATGGTATTCCAGGAATACTCTGAGTAAGACACATCCTTGCCCTGAAGGTGCTGACACCTTGGAGGTAGATATTAATAATTAGCTACATCCAGAAGTGATCTGTAAAAACAAGATACTATGTACACTAAAATGGTGGAGACACTATTTCCAGCAAGAAATTCAAGGAGAGTTCCACAAGGAAGGTAGTTCCTAGGTAAGACTCAAAGATAGCAGGATTTTAACCATTAGTGGTTGCAAGTAGGAAAGATGAACAATGCTTAACAGAATGAGGATAGCAAGCTACAAGGAATGCGCTGGACATGGCAGTTATTTCTCAATAGGCACACGTTTGGCATTTTAGATGGGACTAGTCTTACTTACGAAATATTGCTCTCCAAATTTCAGGACATTTGGCATGGCTGGCCTCTCCTGCTAAGTACCTGTAACACCCCACTGCAACAATAAAAAACACCCTGGCACATTATTAAATGGCACTTAAGAGGAGTTACAAGCCCCAGTTTTAAGATGCAGTGTGTGAAATATGTAATGTATCATCGGCACCTGCGTGTGAACCACAATTGACTTCGTGAGACTTTACAAAATAAAAGAAAACAAAGTCTGGAAGATTTGGGTGTAAATTTAGACGATTTCCTTGTGAAGAGACTGCCCTGTGCCCTAGGTGAAAGATTCTGGAGATGGAAAAGTACAACCGAGCGGAGAGAGAGAGAGTAGAAGTAGCCTGTCGGCATGCTCTAACATTCTGGAAGACTCTGGTAATCACCCGTCTCTCATTAGAAAACATTCCCCAGTCTGTTCTCCCAACTCTCTGTAGAAACCATCTCCAGGTTTAAAATGAATGTCAAAGGGAAAGTAGGAGTCACCTTACATTTAACAGCAACTATTCCAGAACACCACCATCCCATAATATGACTTAAGGCTGTTTTCAAGGTTACTGGAGGCCAATCTTGAAAATCTCCTAAAGAAAAAATTATATGATTGGAATTGTCCAAAATTTAAAAAAATCTCTAAAGACATTAATACAGAAATTAAATATTTTGCAATAATGCCCTCTTGCTTGAAATAAAATAAAATTAGAATCTACTGGGACCTAAAGATTACAGAGCCTGTTGAGTTTGCTGTTTGCTATTTCAGACTCTTTGTTGTGGGAACGCCTATGTCTAGATGACTAAAATGGCTGGTGTGAGACACAGCTGACTCAGCTTTTTACTGACTGAGCATGTGACAGTTTGAATTGCCCACCAAATCTGATGCTCTAGGCAGAAACTCTGCCTTATCATTGCTCAGAACTCCAAATTTAATATATAAAATCAAAACAGTCAACTTGTATAAATGAAGCAATAAGGAGGAATCTTTGGTGGTAATACATCTGCAAAGTAAGACATGAGATACCCATTACTTAAGCACAGTGCTTAGCATATATTTGGAGTTTAATAAGTATTTGTTGAATAAAGGAATAAAAGACATGACTTTAGTCACATAGGAAATTTAAATTATATTATACTCAATATTTTCTCTTTATAGGACAAGACAATGTTCTATACGTTTTGTAAGGATTTCCATCCTTATAAAAAGAGCACTATTCAGTTTTTGTGCTCATAGAGTCATAGTCAGTTATCTGAAAAACATACTTACTTAGAATAGTCCATTTTCAGACAGTGCCAGATTTTTTTAAAAGCATTACTAAAATAAAGGATATGAGTTAGAAACTGGATCTAAAAAATATTTGAGAGCTGGTTTCAGGAATTTAACCCATCATAAAGCTTGAGGAAACAGGTTTTGTGTTATAGCCACTTTTTCAACTCTCCTCTCAGAAGGGACATTCCTATAGCTGGCAATCACAATTTGCTAAGCATGGTGTTCAGTGTATTCAATAGTCTCTGTAAAGCAGTGAGTTCAGTGTCTCACTATTAAGACACTGTAAACAAAGACATATGGACGTTTAACCGCAGGACCCATCACAACACTCAGAGTCCCAGAACAGCATGTCTGGATGGGCGCTCGGGAAGCATCTTCCTTTTCCAGAGAAAGAAAGAGGCACGGGGAGTGGGAGTGACTTGTCCCAGGGCACACAGTAAATTGGTAGCTGAGATGAAGCTGGAAATTAGATCTTTCAAATTCAGTCTTCTTAGAAGCTAAGAATCCAAGATGGATTATTTAGGAATGCAGATAAGACAAGTAAATGTCTCAGTAGATGCAGTAATGCCACAGTGCAGAGCGGGAGAAACACTGTATAAAGTCAACCAATGCTATTCAGACCTACAGCCCATCAGTGGGGATCAGGAAGACTCTGACCAACCTCACCTTATCTCCTAGGAATCTTTCAACCACAATAGCCTCAGGAACATGGAGAAGGACTGAGTCCAGGCAAACACATCAAGCTGGTAAAAATGATGACAACTCCTCTAACCTTTCCTGACTGCTGCAAACAGCTCACCAGGAAAATGTACAGGAGGTGGAGGAGGGACCCTGTTGGCCACATTATACCAATATCAAGGAACAAATGTCAGTCAGGCAATGGCAGATATTACCCAGAACTCTTGCTTTCCTGGAATGCTATTTTTACATCTTTCAGCAGTAAGGTCTAGCTCACAGTCTCAAGTGGCATCTCATGATTCTCATTCATTCAGTGAATATTTACAGAACACCCACTATAAGAAAAGTACCATATAAGCACTTGGAGGTACAAAATGAAGAGGCATCATGGCTGCCCAGAAGGCACACAGAGCCCAACTAAAGAAAGCAGAAAAACCAGTCACCAAAATTCTTGGAAGCATTGCACAAATACATAACAAAAGGAGTTAAGGGAGGCAGTCCACAAGAATAAGGAGTGATTGGAGGTAATAGTATGAGCAGAGGAAGGCTCGTGAAGTAATGGGTTTTGCAATTGAGAACAGTCCTCTGGCAGTCTGTGAGGATGGGCAGGAGTGAAGCAAAGCAGGATGTGAAAACCAGTGAGGGACGGGTGGAAGAAAGAGATGAGGGGCTAAGCAGCTAACAACAGAGACGAGGTACTCATGGACTGAAAATAGGGGTAAAAGTGAGATAGACTCCAGCCTAGCTGACTGGGCAGGCTTCATTGACCAAGATTGGAAATACAGGGAATAGAGGTAGCTCTGACTGGACATAAGCAGTGCCTAAGCAACTTCCAGATGGAAAGATCTATAAAGCATTTGGGCACAGAGGTCCAGAAGTAAGCAGGAGGTCTGAAGGTCAACAGGCTGGGTGGTGATTGAAGCCACTGCAGCAAATAAAACAACACAGAGAGCACATTTAGAGCAGGCTTGTCCAACCCATGGCTCAGGACAGCTTTGAATGTGGCCCAACACAAATTTGTAAACTTTCTTAAAACATTATGAGATTTTTTTTGCGATTTTTTTTTTTAGCTCGTCAGCTATCATTAGTGTTACTGTAGTTTATGTGTGGTCCAAGACAACTCTTCTTCTTCCAATGTGACCCAAGGAAACCAAAAGATTGGACACCCCCGATTTAAGGAGAAGAGGGATGGGAGGCAAGGATGAGATCTCTGGGTGGGTCAGAATTTGAAAGAAGAGCAATGGAAGGCAAGCCAGCCACAGAGAATGAAGTGGTCAGAAATAGAAGGAAAAGGAGGAGGAAGAAAAGTCACTGAATCCAAGAGGAAAAAAATAAAGTGTTGTTTTAAATAATACTTGAATAATTGTTGGTATCATATGCTCAAGAGCAGGTGAGAAAAGAACTAAAAAGGCCTACTGGCACGGTCATTAGCAAGTCATCAGTAACCTTGGCCAATGTTTCAGAGGTGCCCGTAGCCATGTGAGCGGGACGTAAATGAGATGAGAAGCCTGCGTAAACTTGCTCAAGGAGAGGAAGTGGAGTTGAGAGGAAGTCTGATTATGTATACATATAGCGGAAAATCGCATAAAATATCAGGTCTGAATTTTCAAATCATATGAGGCAAGTTATTTAATCTGTCTTATCCTTTGCTTATTTTTTTTTTTTAATGAAGAGGATAATAGTACCTACATCAAAGAGTTCCATGAAGCAATGCATGGGAAGCACTGAGCCTAGAGTCTGGTCCACTGCAGGCACTTGGTCATGTTAGTGATTAATATGACTGCCATTGTTCTTATTACAGCTAAGATATTGAGGATGCTGGCAAAAGACTGGTCTAAGGGAGAGCTGCGAAAAGAGAAGCAAAGAAGTCAGTATTGGATGGGTTGGAAAGAAAAGCAGGAAGGGACGGGGGATATGGATGAGGTAAAGAATGAGTCCCAAGAATCAGGAGTTGGAGAATTAGACGAGTAGGAGGTTCTGACTAGAAGTTTATATATTGCATTTTAATACAGAAGAGGTACCAGGTGTTAACAAAGGAATAAGAGTCGAACTGGGGAGTTGGATTGCAGTGGAGACAAAGAGAATTCATGCATTATTAAGAAACAAACATTTCTTGAGAAAATGACTCTGCTTTGTTTGGGAAGCTGGAGACACGCCTTGAACAAAGTTCAGACCCTGCCACAGAGCTCTGAGGTTAGAAGGCAGGATACCTTGTCCCCATGGGAGGTGAAAGTTGTGCAAGGCGGTGGCTGGACAGCAGGAAGGCTATTAACTCAGGGATCAAAGAGCATAAAGGCTAAAACAGCTTACAGCAAAAGGAGAACTATCAGGATGATATCTGTGGATAAAATGAATCTTAAAGTACAGGGGATGGTTTTGCACTGAGTAAAAGCATGCAAGCAGCAAGGAAGAAGTAGGAATGTGCTAACACTGCCTGTTGTCCCCCCAGCAAGGGGCAGCCAATAGCCTCCACTCCTACAGATGGCGGCAGGAAAGTCCTTGCGCGAAGAGAGGTAACCAAGTGTTCAGTTACTGAGAGGAGGTGGAGGATGTGCTCTGTGAAAAGGTTGAGTATAAAAGGCTGTGGCCCCTGTCAACATTTAATCTGTTAGACACTGGCACAAGCGTCTAGGTGCTTTCCAGGACCTATAAAACAGACTTTAAAAAAATGGCTCCAAAATATGAAAAGAAAATCACAAAAATTGCTATTGCTAAATGTTTAATTAAATGTACACAAAACGTATCGTGTGTCAACTTCATTAATCGTGAAATTTAGTGCTCATAAAAGTTTCATTACATTTAGAAAACAATTTGTATGTTAGATTTTCCCTCTTTACTAGAACCCCTGAGTAAGCACACTGGTTGTCAAGAAATTGCATTCAGTTGTAAATTAAATTAGTTTCTCAAAACCAAGGATTTAAAAAACAAAATTAAATAATTTTTTCAAGTTTTTATAATGAAAATGCATTTAATGTGGAACGTGGGTGGATGTTAATACATTTGATACAGCATTTGAGAAGCTTCCAGGAGCCTCCGAAAAGCTCTTAACTCAGTCACATGGGCAAAAGAATACCCAAAAGGAGTCACGGCAACAGAAGAAACCTTAGCTTCTCATCAAGGAGCAAATTAGACCCTTCTCGTAACTTTAACGCTGTTTCCAGCTCAGGGATTCTTAACCTGTGGGTGCCTTGGATGCCCTTAGCAGCCTGTTGAAGCCTAAAGACCCCTTTTCAAAATAACATATTTCTTTTGAAATCTCCCCCTCCTGAGAGAAGAGAATATTAAAGTGTGTAAGACACTGATAGTAGATGACAAGCTTGATTCTGGAAATTCTTTAATTTGGGATTGTAAAAGGTAATACAGTGATCTATTTGAGTTCCAGCAGTACAACTGACACAGGAAGAAAAGAGCTGACATAAGCTACTTACTCACTATGTGCCCACTTAAACTCTTTACCTATCAGGGTTTTTGTTTGTTTGTTTGTTTTACTTTAAGTTCTGGGATACATGTGCAGAACGTGCAGGTTTGTTACATAGGTATACCTGTGCCGTGGTGTTCTGCTGCACCCATCAACCCTTCGTGTAGGTTTTAAGCCCAGCATGCATTAGGTGTTTGTCCTAATGCTCTCCCTCCCTTTGCCTCCCACCCGCCGACAGGCCCCGGTGTATGATATTCCCTCCCTGTGTCCACATGTTCTCATTATTCAGCTCCCACTTATGAGTGAGAACATGCGGTGTTTGGTTGTCTGTTCCTGTGTTAGTTTGCTGACAATGATGGTTTCCAGCTTCATCCATGTCCCTGAAAAGACATGAACTCATTCTTTTTATGGCTGTTTAGTATTCCATGGTGTATATGTTGCCACATTTTCTTTATCCAGTCTACCATTGATGGGCGTTTGGGTTGGTTCCAAGTCTTTGCTATTGTAAATAGTGCTGCAATAAACATTCATGTGCATGTGTCTTTAGAGTAGAATGATTTATAATCCTTTGGGTATACACCCAGTAATGGCATTGCTGGGTCAAATGGTATTTCTGGTATTTCTTGAGGAATTGCCACACTGTCTTCCACAATGGTTGAACTAATTTACACTCCCACCAACATACAAAAGTGTTCCTATTTCTCCAAATCTTCTCCAGCATCTGTTGCTTCCTGCCTTTTTAATGATTGCCATTCTAACTGACATGAGATGGTATCTCATTGTGGTTTTGATTTGCACAAAATAACATTTTTAAATGCATAAAGCAAAACGCACAGGGTCACGATCTATTGAAATGCAACCATCAAAATATGTAATGCTTGTGTGATAAAAGATACAATAACAATATGCTTCTTTATAAAATAACAAAATCTAGTTTCAATTCATAGTAGTGATATTTTAAGATATCTTCAACAACAGTAATGTGATTTTAAAATATCGGTTTTTATTGGTGTCAGAAACTGCTAGCATTACTGTTAGTTGTTACTCACATTTATAATTGAAAGAAATACTAACTTTCAAGAGATTGGTGCATATAAAGATGCAATTTTTCCCATCTAAGTTCACAGACCTCTAGGACTGTGCACACAGCAGTTTATGGAGCCTTGTGAAAAATCTGTGTGCTCTAACTCCTTACACATAAAACGAACGAACTGGGGGCTGGTGTTGAAGGACTGAGATGCTGCAGCAGAAATGTGTGAACTGATTTTATAGGAACCTCAAATTCAAAGGTGTTCCCTCCAATTTTCATTTCCTCCCTCTAATCTACTTTATACATTCTTGAAGAATCTATTTCAGTGGGTGTTACCTCCTTTAGCAAAAATTCATTTGAACAGCACTAACCTTTGATAAATGCGCACACACACACACACACACACACACACACGCACACACAGCTATCTCAAAGTTAGAAGACAATTTCACAAACTTGGAAATAAACACAAAGAATAAAATGTAAAAGTCAATAATTAAAGAGAAATAACAATGGAAAATTTGGAAAAGGTTGTGAAGGTTTAAAAAAGACATTGGCCGGGCATGGTGGCTCATGTCTGTAATCCTAGCACTTTGGGAGGCCGAGGAGGGTGGATCACCTGAGGTCAGGAGTCCAAGACTAGCCCTGCTAACATGGCGAAACTCCATCTCTACTAAAAAAATACAAAGATTAGCCAGGCGTGGTGGCATGCACCTATAATCCAAGCTACTGGGGAGGCTGAGGTAGGAGAATCGCTTGAACCTAGGGGGCAGAGGTTGCAGTGAGCCTAAATTGCGCTACTTCACTCCAGTCTGGACGAAAGAGCGGAAGTCTGTCTCAAAAAAAAAAAAAAAGACATAAACGTAGGAAACGATGATCTTGCTAGTGATTAAATCTGTATTAATGAAAGAAATTGCATTTTTGCCTATCAAATTTATAAAGATTAAAAAGATTGGTAATATCCAGTATTATTATATTAACAATATCATTTGTGAAGATGAGGTAAAGTGGAGACTTTCATATATCGGTGCTGGGAATATCAATGACTCCCATCTTTCTGCAGGGCAGCAAGGGCAGCCTGGCTACACAGCTCAAAGGCTGTGAAATGTGCATTGCATTGAATTGTGGCAATGACAAGTGTCGGACTGTCTCTAGGTAAGTTCCTGTACCAGTGGACAAAAATAATAGCGAAAAGTTGGAAACAACATAAATTTTCAATTGTAAGAGATTGGTTAAATATATTAGAAAATATCCATCAATATAACACCAAACAAGAAAGCATTAAAAATAAAACATATGTATTGAAATAGAAATCTGACTAAACTATTTTAGTATATAAAAAGTAGAATACCCAGGTATGATGGCTTACGCCTGTAATCCCAATACTTTGAGAGGCTGAGGCGGGCAGATCACTTGAGGCCAGGAGTTTGAGACCAGCCTGGACAACATGGCAAAACTCTGTCTCTACTAAAAATACAAAAAAAAACAAAAAACAAAAAACCAAGCTGGGTGTGGTTGCACCTGACTGTAGTCCCCAGCTACTCAAGAGGCTAAGGTGGGATCTCAGGAGGTAGAGGTTGCAGTGAGCCGTGATCATACCACCGCACTCCAGCCTGGGTGACAGAGTGAGACCCTGTCTCGAAAAAAAAGTAGAATACAGAATATTACTGATAATGTAACCCCAATTCTGCCTAAAAAACCATATATATATAATATGGAAATATAGTTTCTATGTGTGGTTTATATATATAAATATATATCACTTGTATATAAATATATGTGTATAAATATATATATATATTTGCAGATATATAAAAGTAAAGAAATCTGAAAGGATCAATCTATATCCCACTGTTAACAGTGATGTGTCTTAGGAGAGGGATTTTAATTTTCAACTAAAATAAATAAACAATATTTAAAAAACAATAATTGGGGGCCAGTGTTGAAGGACTGAGATGCTGCAGCAGAAATGTACAAACTGATTTTATAGGGACCTCAAATTCAAAGGTGCCTCCCTCCAATTTTCATTTCCTCCCTCTAATCTACTTCATACATTCTTGAAGAATCTATTTCAGTGGGTGTTATCTCCTTTAGCAAAAATTCATGTGAACAGCAACAACCTTTGATAAATGTGCACGCATGCACACACACACACACACACACACACACACACACACACACACACAAACAGCCGTCTCAAAGTTAGAAGACAATTTCACAAACTGGGGAAAAAGCACAAAGAATAAAATGTAGAAGTCAATAATTAAGGAGAAATAACAATGGAAAATTTGGAAAAGGTTGTGAAAGCTTAAAAAAGACATTGTCCCAGCACGGTGGCTAATGCCTGTAATCCTAGCACTTTGGGAGGCTGAGGCAAGTGGGTCACCTGAGGTCAGGAGTTCAAGACCAGCCTGGCCAACATGGTGAAACCCCATCTCTACTAAAAAAAAAAATACAAAAATTATCCAGGCATGGTGGCAGGCACCTATAATCCCAGCTACAATATTAAGAAACAATCATTGTACATCATTTTGTAATCAGAAAAGAAAATAAATACATTTATTTATTTTCTGTGTTGGCCAAAGGCTGACCTCTCTGAAAGAAGCCTTTGAATAATTGAGGTCTTTCCCTACTCAGGAAGAATTTAGGGCTTTAAAACATTTATTTGATTGCATCGTTTCAGTGAACACCTGAGAGCAGTGACCTGGGATGACAGCTGAACAGGGAGCTTCCTTCCTGATTATTCTCTAATGGACTCAAGAAATCGGGAGGAGCCCCAGACAGCGGATTGGAGGTTCTCCTGCCTGAGTTGTCCACCAAACACTTCCCCAGGGCCAGGATGTCAGCTTCGCAAGGGACGTTCTGCACTGACAGAGGTCTGGCTAAAACCCAGGGGCTGTTCTCTCATTCGGTCCTTCATTTATTCATCCTACACTCACTGAGTGCCTACAACGCACAAGGACTTGAAGCATGAGTGACGCAGGAGGACCACAGCGGACTAATAGAATCCCATTGGTCCTGGCTCCTCACAGAGAGTTGGAAGCCCTGGGTACACAGGACACACACATACACCGCAAAACAGAATTGGGATAGCGGCATGGGCAGGGAGCGGCCGATTCCGGCGTGAAGCCACAGATCATGGTGGTCATGGGGACTGGGGCACGGGGAAGGAGCGGCCGATTCTGGAGCCACAGATCATGGTGGTAATGGGGACAGGGGCACGGAGAAGGAGCGGCTGATTCTGGCTGTGGAGCCACAGATCACGGTGGCCTTCGTGGTACAGGTGCTGTTTGAGCAGATCCGTGAGTGAGGAATGGGCTTCTCCAGAAAAAGGAAGAGGAGAGCATATGTCCATTTCTGGAAGGGTGAACAGCTTTGAAAAAATATGGCTAGAATGAATGCTCCCAGGAGCAAGGAGTATCAGGTTTGACATGATTATGGTTCACCTCAGTGAATGCCCAGCACTGAGCCCAGAAAGATAGAGACTAGAATGAGATAACACAGGCCTGTGAAGGGCCTCTTTATGACAAGTCCCCTCCGTGGGACCTTGGATTCTCCAACCCTACCTGTTAAGATGTTTCTTCCTCCTGGGAAGCAGAAGAGACTGCTTCACAGATCATGACTACTGTCTTGGATTCTTAATCCAGATGAATCCAGGGAGTCCGTGTCCCTAGCCAGCAGAAGTCAAAGGCCAGTCTGCTCCTGCTAGGGGTGAAGATGGGGTAGGGAGATGGAGCCGAGGCCAGGTGGCAAGACACATCTGCAGGTGTCCAGCTGGCTTAGTCATCACGCTGGCTTCCTTTTATATTTCTAGAAAATATTAGGAACACCCTGCTCTTCAGCATCTTAAATAAGGGCATCTTAAATAAATATTAAGAAATGTGATAATATTTACCCAAGGGCTCACCATTTCTGTCCTAAGCAAAAGAATACATCAAGCTGAAGCCTTCACTCCACTTCCAGCACCCTCCTCACTGCAGCCTCCTGGAGCTGCTCAGCCGTAACCCACAGAGTTCCTCCCCATTGAATGATTAAGCAACACCCACCCCAGGTATTAGGTTCTTTTGGGTAGTTTGAGACTTGCATCTTCACAAAGAGGCATAAAATGATAGACCCCCACCTTCGGCTAGGAATGAAGAAAGAGTAAAATGTTTTAGCTGGTCTCTTCTCTTGCTATCCTGCAATTTTCAACTAATGTCAAACAAAAATAACAAGTAAGGCAGGCAAGCTCTAGTTCGGCAGCCCTTAGAAGGACAATAGGTGCTTTGAGAAATTTAGGCTTTAGGAGAAAATGCACCAGCAAAGATGTATAGAGAGGATGGGCCCAAGTTCAGATCCTTACATAAGAAAGGCAATTCTGTTAGCACAATTTCTAGGCTGAATAGAAGAAAACAGACTTGGAACAAGGGTCAGGAGGCAGAGGCATGAAGCCAAGGGGGAGTTGATAAAAGCGTGATCTCACTCTGAAACCACAGGAAGGGACAAAGATGAAGCCAGCAGTGGCAGGCAGGGCCGACTCACAGCATCCGGATGTGGTGAGCTAGCAGGTCAAATATAATTCAATCGTTTCTAGCCTGGGTGAAGGGAAGAAGGGAAGAAGTTGGTGTTATTAATCAAATTCTAAAAGGAAATTTAAAAGAGGAAGCAGGTTTGGAGAGAAAGGAAAGATAAGTCCTCTGAGGTGTGATTACTCTAGACTGAAAGCACCCCAAAGTCTACAATTGTGTGACCCTAGGGTTCTATTTCGAAGGTATTTAAAAGCAAACTACAAGCAAGTAATTCAAGTAAAAGAGGCAGGTTCAGAACATCCTCCCCACACTCAGAAAACTGCATTTTCCAGAACAGAGACAGTTTTATTGTTGTTTCAGGTGTAGTTCTCTGAGCAAAACAATAGACTTAGGCTTATCAATCCTTTACACCTTAGTATAAATGAGTTTACAAGGTCCTTTCCCAAGCCAAGGATCTGGAAATAGGGTGAAGATCCTGTTAGAAATTCAAGCACGATGGCTCTGAGAGAGAATAAGTGCCGAAAGAGGACGGCAGATGGCACATTCCTTAACTTAGGACAATGTTCAGAGCCAGATCTGCCAGGCAATATTCCCCCATTTCCAGCCAGAGGATGGATTTCTCCTACGCCTATCTCTAAGATCATCAAAATCACTGTGAAGGTAAGAAAATAGGGACATTTGGTGTTTTATATTGCTCATCACTCAATTCCTCTCTTGAGGAAACAAAAATGGTCCACTCAATATATATGTTATTGAACATACAGTAATAAAATGCACATGATTTTTATTTCATCCTCTAGAACTAATTTGTTAGTACTCAGCTAAGCATCCCTTAGCTTCCCTGACACAACACACTCCTAGTTTTCCTCCTACCTGCCTGTTTCTTCCAGATCTCCTTGGTGGTCTCACCATCTTCGCAGCCAGTAGGTTTCCCGGCTCACTTTTCTTCTCTCCTCAAGCTTTCTTGGTAGACGTTCTCAACTGCAGAGCTCACACACAAATTTAACTCTTCCACCCAAATCTCTCCTCTGAGCTCCGCAGAGGAACTGCCACTCCTGGTTAACATCTCTTTCTTTCTTCCCACCTTCCTTCCCTCCTTCCCTCCTTCCCTCCCTCCCTCCCTCCCTCCCTCCCTCCCTCCCTCCCTCCCTTCCTTCCTTTCTTTCTTTCTTTTCTTTCTTTCTCCCTTCCTTTCCTTTCCTTTCCTTTCCTTTCCTTTCCTTTCCTTTCCTTTCCTTCCCTTTCTTTCCTTTCTTTCTCTTTTTTTTTTGACAGTCTCGCTCTCTTGCCGAGGCTGGAGTGCAATGGCGCAATCTCAACTCACTGCAACCTCTGCCTCCTGGGTTCAAGCAATTCTCCTGCCTCAGCTTCCCAAGTAGTTAGGACTATAAGCGCATATCACCACACCCAGTTAATTTTTGTATTTTTAGTAGAGACAGGTTTCACCATGCTGGCCAGGCTGGTCTCAAACTCCTGACCTCTGCCCACCTTGGCCTCCCAAAGTGCTGGGATTACAGGCATGAGCCACCATGCCCGGCCCAGTTTTACTACTAATAGTGCCCTTTCACTTTTAGAAGTGTCATGTTTGGATGATAAATGATATTGTCACTCCTTCCCTAAAAACCGCACATGGTCTGGCTCCTACCATATTGGTCATGCTAGCCTTTTCTATGACGACATCCTGCTTTGTTCTGCACTAGCCTCACTTGCCTTCTTTCCGTTTCTCCCCAAACTTTCATAATGCTGTCCCTCTTCCTGGAATGCTCTTCCTTAACCTTCTTACCCAGTAAAAGCCTGTGCACCCTTCAGATGCCACTCAGAATCACTGCTGCAGAAAAATTCCCTCATTCCGAGGCTGGTGATCTCTCCCCACGTGCTCTCCCAGGGACCGTGACCCTTCATCCATAGCACTTATGAGAGCTGCCACTTTCAATGGAGGGCAGGGACCCTTCCCGGCTGTGCTCACTACTTATGCTATGCCAGAATACGCACGAAACTTGGATTAATGGTTTATAAAAATGGATAATGATTTCATGATAAAATAAAAGAATTACTTGAAATTATCAACAATCCACTGATCCGTTTGGTTTATTAAATCATGGTATTGGTTTCCAAGGAGCTTTTAAATCACATGCTATTAAAATTAGAAAGGAACAATTGATCATTTATTGCAGAGGAGGAAATAATGCAGGGAAGTTACATGACTCGCCCATGATCTCCCAGCCTTTCTGGAAGTCCAAGTGAAATGCACACAGGAGTATAGATTTCTATTTTATTTCTAGGTGGCAAGACTCCATTGAAAAGCCATATAAACCCTTCCAGGCTCAGATATTCCTTGGTTATGATTCGGTTTTACTTTTCCCTCGATAGCACTCTATTTCTTCCCTTTCTCCCTCCCTTCTTTCTCTTTCCCCTTTTTTTTGCATCATCAGCCATGATAGCAGAAAACTCATGCCCAGGAGTATGTCATAAAGCATACAGAAAAAAAAACAACACATAAAAATGCAAAGTATGTATGGTAAGAGAGGTGGGAGGAGGGACACACTGAAGATCCCTAATTCTTGGTGTTCAAGACATTGCAGGCCACAATTCCATCTTGAATTTTTTCATCCCCCATTACAGTAAGGGATATAATAGATAATGAGAGACCAAACAAACTAATTTGTTAATTCTAGGATGTGACATCATGACCATTCATTTCTGGGGTTGCTAATGCCAACCAGTGACCTTCTAGGATTACATACAGATGAAATGTGAAGAGGAAATTTAATAAGAAAAGGTCAATCATCACTCAATGTACCAATGAAACAAGATTTTTTTCTTTTACAATAAAATATCAAAAATTTTAAACGACCAACATTGTGTCTTATGATACATACTCAGTGCTTATAGACAAAGCTATAATGACTATCTAAAATTATATGGAGGATAATATTTGCTGAGCTCTGGAGTATTTAAAGTCATAAACACTCTTTTAAAGGTCAGCTGTAAAACCGAGATAATAACTTTGAAGGAAAATGCCTTTTTCCATCAGGAATTCACAATAAAAATAATCTTTTCCACATGATTTTTCTTTTAACTATGCTTGGCACAAAGACAAAACTAATAGATGAATTATACGTGATTACAAAACTATTTTGCTATACGGAGTCACAGATCAAAAGGAATGGTTCCTGTTGCAGGCAGGTAATGGCCTTGTACCATGTTCAGTCACATATGCTGCTGTAGAGCATTTCAATGGGGCTTTGAGAATGACATGCTCAAATAGCTGCATTTTTAATATCTATTAAAGTCACTGTGCCATGACTGAATAACACCACCCATAAGCAGAAAGGAGGGGAATACAACCAGCTGCTCCATGCACACAGTTCAGGGCTGTGTGTGCTGTCATCTAGAGCTGTTCAAAATATCTTAACTCTCTTCTGGCTAGACTTAAATATTGGGGCTGGATCACAGCCAAGTAATGACAAGTTGTGTTCCTCCAAGCAAAGCCCCAATGTGCAAATGCCAACACCATATTTTTTTACTCTTTGTATTCGTTTAGCTTCTTTAAAACAAGAATGGTATTGAACACAGTAATATTTTCTCTCTGTTTTTCTAATTCATTGACAATTACTTAGGGCTTTTATTTTTTTTTAAGAAATGCATCTCTAAGCAGAACTTGATCTTGGAATACAGACCCACTAGCTCATTCTAATCAGTCTTTTTTTGTTGATTTCTCTTACTCCCTATCAGATATGGTTTGGTTGTGTCCCCATCTAAATCTCAACTTGAACTGTGGCTCCCACAATTCCCATGCATTGTGGGAGGGACCCAGTGGGAGATAATAATTATGGAGGCTGTTTCCCCAGTGCTGTTCTTGTGGAAGCGCATAAGTCTCATGAGATCTGATGCTTTTATAAGGGGTAACCCCTTTCACTTGATTCTCACTGTCTCTTGTCTGCCACCATGTAAGACGTGCCCTTCATCTTCTACCATGATTGTGAGGCCTCCCCAGCCATATAGAACTGTGAGTCCATTAAACCTCTTCCCTTTATAAATTACCCAGTCTTGGGTATGTCTTTATTAGCAGCATGAGAACAGACTAATACACTATCAAATATCCAATCAGAAAGAGGTTCAGGATCATCTGGTCCACTGGAAAGGAGAAGGAGGTAATAGTTAATGAGCACCTGTCTCTCACCACATCCTGTACTCCTTGCTTTAAGCTTAGATTATCATATTTATTCTTTAAAATTTTTAGATGAAGAAACTAAACCTAATAAAAATTAAGGAAATTGACTGAGGTCATTCAGCTAGCAGGAACTGGAGGCCCAACTTGACCCCAGGGGAGTTTTCAAAGCCTATGACCTCTCTTTTACATGATGCTGAATTAGTGGCATCACATTATCTGACCCCTCAGATTTTCAACAAGTCTGCAAGCCACCAACTCTCAGCAGGCACCTGGGAAAAAAGAACAAAGTTAGGATGACCCTGTGAACACTGTTCCACCCACTGCAGGCTTTGAGGGGAAGAATTCCTTGAGCTACTCTCACAAAAAATGTTCTACAGGAACCTGGGACTACTAAGGTCACTTATGCATGAAATGGTTGAGGCAGGAGTGAGTGAAAGTTATGTTCTTAAAAATAAAGAAATGCAATGCATCAAAGGCGGCCACAGGGAGGTGACAAGATAAAAAAGGTGCTAGATTTAGGTGACCTCACTTTTGATCTTATCTCTACTTCCACTGCCCTCTGCCCCTTCCTTAGATCATTTGCAAAATGCACACAGCAATGCTTACATGATAGAATTTTCTGAAAATTATGTAAGATAATATATGCAGATTTCCCAATGCAGCCTGTGACACAGGGCAGGTGCACAGTAGGGGTTTGCCAGACGTAAGTCCAAAAAGACAATTTACTGCAAATTAGTAGAACTCAGTACATCACTCCTATTTTTAAATGTATTTTCTGCAAGGTTTTCTGGTGTTGATCAGGAGACATTCATCATTGTCTCAGCATGACCTGCACCAAATCCAGGTCACATGAAGTTATAAATGTATCTTGTATTTTAATGTCACAACCCTTGGCTGATTCTAAGGCAAAAAGAAAAAATATATATATATATTCTTAATACATGAACCTAAACAAAGCCAAACAGTCACAAGCCAGAATGTAGTGAAGGAAACAGACTTCTTCGTTCTGCAAGAATAATATTTTAGGCATGGGGAATGCCCAGAGGTTACTAAAGAGAAGCAGAATGGTCACAGGGGGTCACCTAATAGGAAGACAGCAAGCGTGATTTATGAGAGCCATATGAGAGTGAAGACTCACGGTGCTATGTAGGACAAAGGAAGGCAAAGAGGCGAGATCCTCCCAGATCCCTCCCTGTATCCCAGCAAGAGATGAAGACAAATGGACCCAGACATAGAAGGAAAGGAATTTTATTAAAAGCGAATGATACAAATTTTCAGGAAAGAGTTGAGATTCATGAGAAAAATAAACTTATGTTTTGTGGGACTCTAGCATGTTAACCAAAGAAATCCATCTATCAGGGGAAAAATGGGGTCAGGAAAGATATACTGGAGAATCAGACACCTGAAAAAAAGAAACAGAGCAGAAAGGAAAGAGAATACTGAAGAACCCAGCTGCCACACCCAGGTGGGCCATCAGACCATGTCTGGAGATTCCTGGCCACCCCAGTGGGGCCCCCCAAAAACAAACACCAGCATTGGAAATTAACCTTGCAGAACTGAAGTTAGAGAGCGATTGTGATATAAAATAATCACTCTCTTTTGCAGTCTGTTGCCACCAGAATTCTTTTATTCAAACTACCCTAAACAAAAATAGATTTGGGCTCATTTTCAAGGGCCCATTTAGTGTGTCAAAGGAAAGACACTGCTAAAGGATGTGGTGTATAATCTTCCATGACAAAGGGTCATGCAATATGTATGATCAATCCTTTCACCCCTGAGGCACAGCCATAATGTCTTCCAGATAAGAACTTCCTGAGGAACACACTCCTTCTCTCTTATGGCTGAAATATGGATTGAATCTGGGAAGGACATTGACCTCTGCTAGCTGCAAATCAACTTTATTAAGCCACTCTTGCATTGCTATAAATAAATACCTGAGACTGGGTAATTTATAAGAAAACAGATTTAACTGGCTCACGGTTCTACAGGCTTTACAGGAAGCATGGTGCCAGCATCTGCTTCTGGTGAGGCCTCGGGAAGCTTCCAATCATGGCAGAAGGGGAAGTAGGTGTCTCACATGGCAGGAGTGGGAGCAAGAGATGTGGGGAGTAGGTGCCACACACTTAACAATCAGATATCATAAGAACTCACTCACTCTCATGAGGACTGCACCAAGGGGATGGTGCAGTCCTCATGATAAACCATGAATTAGATAAACCATTCTAAACCACCCACAAGAAATCCATCCCCATGATCCGATCGCCTCCCACCAGGTCCCACTTCCGACACTGGGAATTACATTTCAACCTGAGATCTGGGTGGGGCAAATAACCAAACTATAACATCAACCCCTGAACTAACGGGCCTGATGTGAAATAAGGTCAAGCTTAGGGCAGCGATGACCAAGAGAGACAGCCAGTAAGAGGGCGGTTACAGAAGAAGAGGATGACTTCGATAGGTGTATAATGAAAACCAGATGCAATTCTGTTGCTCTGTAAGACTTTCTATACAAATGACAGGTTTTAATTAAAATAATTTTTAAAATTATAATTGTTTCAAAGAAAAAGAATAGGGCAGTATTATGAAAATATGAACATCAACCCCCCCTGTGCAAAATGCTGAGGATGCAAAGATGTATAAGGGAAGACCCCTGTCCTCCTAAAGTCTAACGCTGTGATCTCTGGGTCTTCCCATCTCTGCCTTTTAAATTTAAGGAAGAACAGGGTGGACCCTCCAGGAGTTACTGAGACTGAGATCCCAAGACCACACCTGAGTTCTACCAGCTGTTTAAGTAACCCCAGTCCTCCTACTGGAAGCACATATCAGATCACTGCTGACTTCCTCATTCCCCCAGGAAGCCATCCAGACAACCTTCTGCTGCCCTACTTTGTGACACCAGGGTGCCCTCTCACTTGGCACCTATCTGGAACCCAGCCCCCTCTCCTGGCTTTGGGCATCAGCACAATTGCAGGGTGCCTCTAGCCTGTGTCCCTGTGTCCCTCTGCCACTGGGCTTGCCCTGACTTCTCCTCCTTCCCCCTACTCCTCTTGTCATCAGAGAAGGAGAAAGTCTTGGCTTAAAGGAAGCTCTGAGAACAAGAGTTTGCCCAGTCCCTTCTACCAGGCTGCCCACTACCCCCTTGGCTGGAAGCAAACTGCATCTTCATGCAACTTCACTCCTGCTCCACGTGAAGAACCTGGAATAACCTGGAGAAAGGGTTTTTCCTCACATCCTCCCTGCTTCTCAGGTCCTCCCACTCTCTGCAGTCATGGACTTAAAGATCAGCATCCCTGTGACCGCGGGACGGGACAGCAACGTTCCAATTCTCAGCCTGGAAGTCATTTGGAAACCTCCTTTGGTCTTACACTAATTATCCCATTCATCTATTTTTACCTACTCAGGTATCCTCCAAATCTATCAATGTCTCATTTTTCACTTCTGCCATCAGCCACACTGATTCAGTGGACTCTTGCAAGGCTGACACTCGACAGCTCCCCTCAGCTCTTCTTACCTGAGTCCACTCTGCATCTCCCATCACTACCTGCTTCTGTCTCCAGACACCAGCCGTGCTCATGCTGGCTGTCTTCTTCTTTTTTTTTAATTTTACTTTAAGTTCTGGGATACATATGCAGAACGTGCAGGTTTGTTACATAGGTATAAATGTGCCATAGTGGTTTGCTGCACCTATCAACCCGTCATCTAGGTTTTAAGCCCTGTATGCATTAGGTATTTGTCCTAATGCTCTCCCTCCCCTTGCCCCCCACCCCCCAACAGGCCCCGGTGTGTGGTGTGTGACTTTCCCCTCCCTGTGTCCATGTGTTCTCATTGTTCAACTCCCAATTACGAGTGAGAACATGCAGTGTTTGTTTTTCTGTTCCTGTGTTAGTTTGCTGAGAATGATGGTTTCCAGCTTCATCCATTTCCCTGCAAAGAACATGAACTCATTCTTTTTTATGACTTCCTTCTTACTCCTTCCAAAGACCATGTTCTCTCAGACCTTAGGGCCTTTGCACATCCTACTTACTCTACCTGGAATTATCACACCACACTCTTCCCCACCATCACTGCAAAACATATATCTCTGTGCTTAGTTAATCACTAATCAACTTCCAGACACAGCTCAAGCATCACGTATTCAGGAAAGCCCTTCTCTGATTCCAAAGACCTTGTGGAGTTCTTTATTCTAAGCTTTCCACTATGTTTCTTTATTTAAATATTTGTACGATTTTTAAAAATTAACATCCATTCCCCCCCACCACTATCCTTGTAAGTTCTGTAAACAGAAACTGCATCTGTTTCATTCACTGTTAAATTCCCAGCAATCAGCACACTGCCTGACTCTTGGTAGGCAAGCAATTAATATTTTCTGAATGAAAAAATAAATGATTGAAGATCACAGGATAATACAGACCTCAGGTTCTAGAGCCAAACAGTATTGAGTTTGAATCTTGGCTGTATCACCTACAAGGTGTGTAACTTTGGATAAGATTCTTGACTTAAGCTCCTTCCACATGTTTTTCACCAGAGGTGACAAAGATTCTTACTCATATTTATAAAGTTCACATGAAATTTCTATCAAGTATTTAGCATAGGGCCTGACACATTAAATAGGTTTAGGCTGGGCACAGTGGCTCACGCTTGTAATCCCAGTGTTTTGGGAGACCGAGGTGGGCAGAGATAGAGACCATCCTGGCCAACATGGTGAAACTCCATCTCTACTAAAAATACAAAAATTAGCTGGGCATGGTGGCACACGCCTGTAGTCTCAGCTACTCGGGAGGCTGAGGAAGGAGAATTGATTGAACCCGGGAGGCAGAGGCTGCAGTGCGCCGAGATCACGCCACTGCACTCCAGCCTGGCAACAGAGCAAGACTCCATCTCAAAAAAAAAAAAGAAAAAAGGTTTAACAAATGGCATGCAAACAAACAAGAGAGTATATGCAATGATATGTTAACAATAAAACAGTGGAGTTAGAGTACAGGAGGGGGCTACCAGGCTTTCCAATGATCAAAGACCCATGGCACTATCTCCACCAGGGAAAACAATTATTTCCACAGCTGTCTTTCCAATGAATCCTTCTTTCCTCTCCTCTGTATCAGATTCTAGGCATAAGTTATAACTATGATATATATCTCAGTATAAATGAGTTTCAGAAGCAGAGTCCCAAGCTAGAGAATTGGTCTCAGGCCGAGAAAATCATGTGTAGCTGAAGCAATATGCCATATGTTTCCACCAATGACGAGTTCTACTATTTTTTTTCATTTAAATTATTATTTGTGTATTTGTACCTGTATAACAAAAAATTTTTATTCCACCTGGGGGTATAGTTTGGTGAGGTGATTTGTATTGACAAGAAAGAACATATTAAATCTGGGCTGTCCTAGAAGACTCAGGAATTTGGGTTACCATAATTTGGCTTGGAGGACAGATGGCATAAAACGACCAGGTGGGCTGACTGTTGCCTGTAATCCTAGCACTTTGAGAGGCCAAGACGGGAAGAATCGTTTGAGGCCAGAGGTTCGAGACCAGCCTGGGCAACATAGTGAGACCTTGTATCAACTAAAAAATTTTTAAAAATTTAAAAATTAGCTGGTTGCCGTGATGCATGCCTGTGGTCTGCGTAATTTGGAGACTCAGGTGGGAGGATCACTTGAGATCATGAGCTATGATTATGCTATTGCATTCCATCCAGCCTGAGCAACAGAGAGTGACCCTATCTTGAAAGAAGGAAAAGAAAGAAAAGAAGGAAAGAGAGAGAAAAGAAAAGAAGAAAGAAACAGAAATAAGCTGTCCTCATTGTTTCCACATCATATGTTCACAAATTTCAAACTTTTCTCTGAAAAGAAACAAAGCCAAATAGCAACAATGCAAATGGAAACTCGGGGGTTTGAAATGATGCTTCTCTCTTAGGTGAAACTCTAACAGCCACAAACTGAAAGTCTGATAAGGAAGAGAAGAAAGGCACCTTTAGAGTTTCAATGGGCAGCAAACATCTTCTGTAAAGGGTCACAGTAAATATCTTAGGCCTTCTGGGATATACCATCCCTGTTGCAACTACTCAATTCTCCCCTTGTGGCATGAAAGCAGCTGTGGATAACATGTAAAGGGATGTGTGTGGCTGTGTTCCAATAAGATTTTCTATTTATGAATATTAATATTTGAATTTCCTGTAATTTTTTTTGAGACAGGGTCCCACTCTGTCACCCAGGCTGGAGTGCAATGGCCCGATCTCGGCTCACTGCAACCTCCGCCTCCCGGGTTCAAGCAATTCTCCCACCTCAGCCTCCCGGGAAGCTGGGACTACAGGCATGCACCACCATGCCCGGCTAATTTTTGTATTTTTTGTAGAGACAGGGTTTCTCCATGTTGTCCACTCTGGTCTCAAACACCTGGACTCAAGCAATCTGCCCGCCTTGGCCTCCCAAAATGCTGGGATTAAGGGTGCGAACCACTGCACCCAGCCTGAATTTCATGTAATTTTTATGAGCCATGATATACCCTTCTTCTTTTGATTTTTTTCAAACATTAAAAATTTTTAAAATAATTCCTAGCTTACAGACCACACAAAAACAGGCAGTGGCTGAATTTGGCCAGTGGTTATTTTCTGACTTCTGACTTGAGCCAGTGTGGCACATAAATACTAAATCGCATCTATTGATTTTCTAATTGCCCTTCAGGTCTTCCAGGTGGGAACAGCAGGCCTGTCCTAACTGGACTATAGAAGTTGCAAATTACCCTGAAGAGACCCAAATGAAGGGAACCCATACACATTGATCCTCTCCTTGGGACCTTAAACATTATTGCTTCACTCTCCTCCCACCAGGGGTACTTTGAGTGGGGGAAGATAAAAAGCATCTGGATGCTTAAAGTTATTCTCATGCCTCTGGCATACAGAGCAGACTCTCAAACATCAAGTTCTGTGTATTTGTCTTAAAAAACACAAAGAAAAGTCCAAAGTCTGTGTTCCATTCTGCCACCAGGCTTGTGGAGAAAGGTGCTCCAGGAGACTGTAGGTGCTGGCAGCCCCGGGCAGTGTAGACGAATACAGCTTCCATGGAGAAACACAGCAACACTTATCAAAATTATAAATGCACACATGTTTTCACCCAGCAATTTCATGTCTAGGAAATGTTCTTTTATATATATATATATATATATATATATATATACACACTTGTATACCTGAAAAAGAGATACACACATTTATTCATCATGGCATTCTTTGTAATAGCAAGTGATAGGAAAAACCCAAATATCCGTAAGTAGGGGACTACATAAATTATGGGATATCTTTACAATGAAATACTCAGCATCTGTTCGGGTTTATGTTTGTAAGTGTGTGTGTGTGTGTGTGTGTGTGTGTGTGTGTGTGTGTGTGTACTGGATTCTTATTATTTGTGGTAGTTCTGTTCTATAAAGTTGCTATGAACACTGAATTAGCAAATACTGAACCATTGCTCTTAAATACAAGATTAGCTTCCTGTGAGCCTCTGTCTATAACATTTTCAACTGATCAATATGTAACCTCATTTTACGTACGTTTCTGTTAAAAGACACATTATTTGATATACATTGGTGATCTGTTAGCACTGAGCTCACGGCCAGCATTAGCCGTGAAGCAATGTCACTCAGCCTGAAGCACTGTCACTCAGCACTGTCACTCAGCCTGAAGGAAGCTTATTTAATGCATGTCTTTTCTCCCTGAGGCACCTTACAGCCCTCTCGTGTTTTGGAACGCAGGGCAGCACTTCAGTGTTGCGTTTGGAGGCCATTTTAAACAGTGAAATCGACAACAAAAAGCACAGAAAGGTAACAAGCATGGCTCCAAACAGACCGTGAGAAGGACACTTGTTCATAGTATGGAAGCCGAAGCAGGAAGGCAGAGTCTTACTTGGTTTGACCTCAGCTGGAAACATGCACTTTGGGTGACTCAAACTTTTCACTACCCTGCCCATGGCTGTGAATGACTACAAATGTGTGCCAGTACTGATGGGAGGTTACAAGTAAAGTTCAATGAGTAGGCGAATCTGCTCATATGGAATCCACAAATAATGAGCATCCACTGTACACACATACACACACGCATGCACACAAACACCCTTTACCTCATGTCAAATGACCTCCAAGATGTGTAAAAATACAAAAAATTAGCCGGGCATGATGGCACGTGCCTGTAGTCCCAACTACTTGGGAGGCTGAGGCAGGAGAATCACTGGAACCTGGAGGGCGGAGGTTGCAGTAAGCCAAGATTGTGCCACTGCACTCCAGGCTGGGCAACAGAGCAAGACCCCATCTCAAAAAAAAAAAAAGAAAAAAGAAAAGGTAAAATGGTACATATACTGTACCATACTTTATGTAAAATATAGGAAAATAATATCTTTATTTATGTATCCATCAAATATCCTTGGAAGGGCAATGAATTACCTCTTGCGATGGTTAATATTGGGTGTCAACTTGATTGGATTGAAGGATGCAAAGTATTGTTCCTGGGTGTGTCTGTGAGGTGTTGCCAAAGGAGGTTAACATTTGAGTCAGTGGACTGGGAGAGGCAGACCCACCCTCAGTCTGGGTGGGCACCATCTAATCAAGGCTGCCAGTGTGGCCAGAATAAAAGCAGACAAAAGAAAATGAGAAGACTAGACTGGCTGAGTCTCCCAGCCTAGTCTTTCTCCCATGCTGGATCCTTCCTGCCCTAGAACATCAGACTCCAAGTTCTTCAGCTTTGGGACTCCTGGACCTTCGACCACAGACTGAAGGCTGCACTGTTGGCTTCTCTACTTTTGAGGTCTCGGGACTTGGACTGGCTTCTTTTTTCCTCAGCTTGCAGGCGGCCTATTGTTGGATCTCACCTTGTGATCGTGTGAGTCAATATTCCTTAATAAGCTCCTGTTTATATATACATCTATCCTATTAGTTCTGTCCCTCTAGAGAACCCTAATACTCCTCTGAACAACTGAAGGACAGAAATGGCAGGAAGACTTCATTGTATTCCCTTTCTCTTCTTGTCATGAAGCCAGTCCCTCCACAGTCACCACTCCACATCAGTCGTAAGAGAAAGTTGGTAGACTCAGTGAAATGACAATCTGTAAGGTTTTTTCATTAGTCACCATGACTCTTTTCAAATGTATGTTATCATTATCCCTTTCAAAAAATAAACAGAGCAACAATTCCTGTGTTGACGTATTAAAGAACTATGGCACGGTCATCACCAGATTTTAGTTATTAAGGACCCTTAACCATTCCTTCCCTGAATATAGATTTTCTGTAAATGACAATGTCTAATTTAAAATTCTGTCTGTGGTCTTTTCCATTTGTGTGAACAGCACACAAAAAAATTACTTATTATGAAAAAAATACTAAATAGAAAGAAGAAGAAAAGCTGAATACCTGGTGGTCTCTAGAAGGAAGCAAAGAAAAATGGATCTTGGGAATAAATAGGATTTTGACCCTTCAGAGTTGGATGGTGACAGTGCTCCCTAGCATAAGCGTGCAGCAAAGCAGAGACACAGACTTGCTAATGCCACAGAGAGAACTGTCTCTACTGGTTAAAGACAGAACAACGGAAAGGACACTAGACATTCAAAGAAAATGAAACAGAGAATCAGTAATGCTTTCTAATCACCTACTGGAGAAAAGAAACATGCATAACGCTATTGCAATCATAATTGTATTACATCAGCCCTTTGGAATGGTATCTGAGAAAAGCCAGTCTAGGCCAGGTGCAGTGGATCACGCCTGTAATCCTAGCCCTTTGGAGGCTGAGGTGGGCAGATCATGAGGTCAGGAGTTCGAGACCAGCCTGACCAACATCATCAAACCCCGTCTCTACTAAAATTACAAAAATTGGCAGGGCATGGAGGTGCGGGCCTGTAATCCCAGATACTCAGGAGGCTGAGGCAGGAGAATCACTTGAACCTGGGAGGTGGAGGTTGCAGTGAGCCGAGGCTGGGCCACTGCACGCCAGCCTAGGCAACAGAGAGAGACTCCATCTCAAAAAAAAAAAAAAAAAAAAAGGGAAAAGCCAGTCTAGAATCTATGGTTGCTAAATTCCTATATTGAAGACCTAATCCCCAGTGCGATCATATGTAAAGGTCATAAGATAGTATTACCTTTGAGAGATGACTAGCTCATGGGAGTGGAGCCCTCATGAATGGGATTAGTACCCTCACAAAAAGAGACACAAAGAGGTGATCTCTCTTGCTATCCCATATGCCACCTGAACTGCCATAAGATGTTCATCTGCAAAGCAGGATGAGAACCCTCGCCAGAAACTGAATCGGCTGACAACTTGATCTCAGACTCCCCAGAACTGTGAGAATTACCTTTCTGACGTTTAAGCCACCTAGGCTATGGGATTTTGTTATAGCAGCACAGGCCAACTAAAACAAGGGTCGACTGTCTTGGTCGCGCCCCACCCACATGACAATGTTGAACTTCAGCTGAAGTCCTGGAAAAACATGAGCTCCTGCTTCTGGAAAACAGGAATAGTTTCTTTTAAATCTCCCATCCTTTTCTGTTCCAGGAAAGAGCTTGCTGCAAAGACCAACCTTTCCCCAAAAGACATAGATAAGATGTGTGGATGATCATCTTATTTACCTATTGACAAGGCCAGACACAAACTCTCCCAATTCCCATTCTTCAGCTCATAAATAATTAACTGAACTATCTGTCCCCACTAACAAATCTGGACAAAATGCCCACTAACGCAGCCTGACCAAACTTTGGTCAGTCTTCTCTGCTTTCCCACGGTCCCTGAACTTTGTCCCACTCTTATGCTTGTGCGAGCACTGAGAGCTTATGCAAGAATGCAGACAAGACACCACTACTGCCAACAGCCTTTCCCTATAATCGACTGACTACATATGCAGAGAAACGTTCCTGTTTAGTTGCTCACTCACAGCACCTACTCCCTTGACTCTCCAACACCCAGCTCCTTCTAGCCGTGCTTTACTTCTCCAAGTGGTTGGGACATTCCCCCTATTGCAATAGACTTCCATATATGATCAGTCCTTACCTAAGTGCTGATTTTTTTCTTTTATTTGACCCTTTGGAAACATCTGTAAGTTGGCATACACTTGCTTCTGCAAATCTTTCACCTGCCCTCAGGAACCGAGCCCCTCCTACTGGCCAACCCAGTCTCCATCCCTCCCCAAACATACCCCAGGCTCTAGCCCTGCTTCGCAGCACCCTCACCAGAACCAGATTGGGGGTAGGAGAGCTAAGCAGCATCTTGGGTCACCTAACTAAAAACAGTACAAAATCTGCAATGAAAGAAGTCAGAAAAAACAAAATTCCTGTTAAGCCAAGTTTCCACTCACTAACTCTGAATGGTTCTTGCTTCTGGCAAAGCTGACTTTTTTCATGGTCGAGGCAACATTCTGACCGCAAAGATCTCTCTCTCTCTCTCTCTGTCACAGTCTCTCTCTCTCTCTCTCTCTCTCTCTCTGTCATGCTCTCTCTCTCTCTGTCGCGGTCTCTCTCTCTTTCTCTCTCTCTCTCTCTCGTGCTTTTGCACCATGCACCTGCAAGTTGCACAGAGCTACAGCAGATTTTATCACCAACCTGGGGCTTGGCCAACGTAGAATTGACAGCTATGGTCAGCTACAATCCTGAACCCGATACTGCATGTGGTTTCCTAAAAATGAAGGATTTGTGTTACCTACATTATAAACCTTTAATTGTCCTCCCAAGAAATTGCTAGTTCGGAAATTAACAAAAGGAAGCTGAAGAAGAGAAAAGAAGGAAGAAAGAAAGGTGAGGGTGGGCTGGGGCAGTGGGGCAGGGGGGGATAATTTGCTATAACAAAAGGCAATAAAGGGAAATTTTAAACATATGTCATATAGTACTTCATAATTATATCCACAAACATAATCTCTATCTTGGCCAAATGTGTGTAACTATAGCTATCCACAAGAGATCCAATTCCAAACAAGTTTTAATGTTATAACTGGGTTATGGACTTGATTCCTTATTTTGAATATAAAACAACATATGTATTGCTAATTTTTCAAAGGGGCTTTCTAAATAAATATTGAATGAAAGTCAGTTTGAAGGGCCCCTGCAAGTCTCTGCCTAACCAGGTCTCCCACAGGCCTTCCTCATTGTTCCCTCTAAGGCTTTGCACAGCAGGCAGCTCCACCAAGAACAGGCGCCCCGTCATGGTACAAATCTTCCAGAGCCTTCTAAAGCTTTTGCCTTGGGGAAGCCATTGTTAAGCACTCCAGCTTCCATCAAAAAATCACTTCTCTGATCATCAACTTCATTAGAGGCAGGGCCACACAAATTAGCCCTTGATTGTTTTTAAATTGCTTTCTGTATGACTTTTCTCTCCAACTACCTGATGAACTCCATATTTCATTTTTTTCTGTGTCCTTTACAGCATGCGGCTCTGTACTCTGTACATAGTAGAAGCTCAGTAGAAATTGGCTGATTGATTAATTATGAAAGGGCCCATAGATCAGGAGATACTCCACAAGAAAGAAGAAAAAATTCCACGACAGAATACTTGACACACACTTTACAATTTATCATGCACCTTCACAAACATGACTTTATCTTGAGTCCCTTAACAACTCTGAGAGACAGTCAGGACAGCAATTATATTGCTTGATTATAACCATGGTAATTGAGTTTTAGAAAGTCTAAAGCAAAGTTGTGAAACTCATGCGTAGCAGAACTGGGGATAGAATCTCCACTTCTAACTCTCAGTGCTGGGTACTATTTAAGCTGGAAGCCAAACACACAGCACTTGTTGGTAAACGCATCTGTCTTTGAGAACTGACCACGAAGTCAACAGCAGACCACTTGAGAAGACAAGGGGACATTTGACAAAGTAAATGTCAACGTTACGCACAATGTCCCACCATCCCAACCTCGACTCCTGCCTCTGCCATAGTACTAAGTGAATAATGTCCCCCTCCAAATTCATATCAACCTAGGACATGCAATGTTATTTGGAAATGGGGTCTTGCACATGTACGTAGTTAAGAAGATGTCATGTTGGATTATATTGGGCCATAAATCCAGTTATTGGTGTCCTTATAAGAAGGAGAGAGAACACACAGAGATACACACAGAGAAGAAGGCCAGGTGTGGTGGTTCATGCCTGTAATACCAACACTTTGAGAAGCTGAGGTGGGAGGATCACTCAAAGCCAGGAGTTCAAGACCAACCAGGGAAACAGCAAGATCCCATCTCTACAAATTTTTTTTTTTAAATTAGCCAGGTATGGTGGTGCATGCCTGCAATCCCACCTACTTGGGAGGCTAAGTCTGGAGGATCCCTTGAGCCTGGGAGTTCGAGGCTGCAATGAGCTATAATCATGCCACTGCATTCCAGCCTGGGAAACAGAGCAAGACCCCATCTCTAAAAATAAAAAAAACAAAAATGAAAAGATAGAAGAGGCAGAGGTTTTTGTGGTACAGTTTCAAATCCAGCAACCACCAGCATCTATGAGATAGGCAAGGAAGAGGTTCTCAGTCAGACTTTCCAGAGGAAGGCCCTGCCCATGCCTCAATTTCACACTTATAGCCACCAGAACTGCCAGAGAATAAATGCTCTTTGTTGAAGCCACCCAGTTTGTGGCAATTTGTTACAGCAGCCTTAGGTAGTCAACAGTGCTAGAACTTCATACTCAAGAAATGCCTCTGAGTTTGTTTCCCTGAAGACATTACCAATGCTGACTGCACACTCAAAAGGGCCTTTTCCCACTCTTTTTTATTTAGCTCACCCAAATCTATCCTTTAAGAAGTGGTTCAGTGTCACTTTCCCCAGGAAAACTTATCTAGCCCCATCGTATCAGGAGAGGCCAGGGACCCTTCACCATGCCCAGGCATATGTCTATGGTAGCACTTATCATGCTGCATTGAGATACAGGGTCTACACATCTGACTTCCCCACTAGATCCTGATCTGTGTTGGGGAAGGTGTCCATGTCCCCCAGCGCTTTGCAGATGCTCGTTATCGTCTTACGATGGGATGTTGTGGAGCTAGTTTACAGTATCAGAGTAGATCTCCTTTTGTTTTCTACTTTTCCAGCCATGTCTCTGTCAAGTACTAGCTGGGTGATCACAGTCAATTACTTAATCTCTCTGTTTGCTTCTCTGCTAAGTGGGGACAGTGACAACTCCTGCCTTCTCCAGGGCTTGTGAAGATGAAAGATCACTCATATATATAAAGCATTTAGAACACGTGTGGAAAGTGCATGATAAAAGCCAGCCACTATTTTTACCCTGCCCAGAACAACAATGCTCCCTGGCTCCAGACCCCATAACAGTTACAAGGCCAAAAAATAAGACACCACTTCAAGATATGTGGGAAAAGACTAGGAATAGCATTTAGGGAAGCAGGATTTTAATCTCAGGTCTGACCACTTTGGTCAAGTCATGGTACTTCTTTATTTTCACCTTTGTAATAAGAAGGGTTTAGATTAGATTGATTCTTCCCCATCTAGACTCTAGGATGTTTAGGGACTTGTAAAAGTGACACTCAGCTTCTCAAGCTATGCAGAATATTTCAGATCTGAAGGAAAGCATGTATATTAAGAGTAGTAACACTGATGACACTAACCAAATGCCAAGCTTCTCTATGTTTAGAGGGAATTATCTTAACCCCACATAAAAATACTGTTTACTTAAAACTGACTTGCGATTTTGGTCAGCAGTTACTTACATTTTGCAAAAATCAAAGTATCACACACACAAAAAAAAAACCCAGGTAAAACTAAATCACCTTTTTTACTTAAAAATGCTGTTTCCCATACAGATCATTTTTTCCCAAAGCATCTGACCCACGGGTCTGAAGATAATAAAAGGGTGAAAAACGGAGACTCTCAATGGACTGCGTGAACACTGAAGTCCTTTCTGTCTCTAACGCTGGAGGGATTACTGAAAATTTCTCTAAGGCAATTGACCATAACAATTTATTTCTCACTTAATTTTACTCTGTGGCCCCAAGGGAAAAATGTCTTCCAGGGGGAAAAAAAATGTAAGATCCGAGTAAGGATTCTAAAGATAAAAGCATGTGAAGAGAAAATTTAAACAGCTGACAATGTCAAAACAGAAGATAGAAATGAATTTGGGTGTTTAAAACAACAACAGCAAAAGCCAAATGGCCTGAAGTAGAAATGGCAACAATAGACCTTAGAAGTATAATAGGCCCTTCACTGCGTTTGTAAGTAAATTTCGAGTTCCTATGAATGGGGTGGGAGCAGGGTTCATACATGGTCAGGGTGTGGGAAATCAGGAACACATTTTCTCTGTTTACAAAGCCATACGCTGGGGGTATTCAGGGCAGATGTGAATGCTCTTCTCAATCAGTTAACACTGGGATGCAAACCTCTCACAGCCCCTGGGAGCACAGAATCTGAGTAGGAAGTGAGGTGAGTAGAATAAAGTGTTATTATATCCTTCTGAGAATACAGCGTGCTAGTGGAGAGAGTATCAGTAATAATAATACATGCAGAAAGTGCTTTGAAAACAAAATGCTAAATAAATATGACTTATGTCAGTTGGGCCTTATGAAAAATCTATACCTTCGATATTATTATTATTATTATTTTTAGAGACAGTGTCTCACTCTGTTGCCCAGACTGGAGTGCAGTGGCACAATCATAGCTCACTGCAGCCTCTGATTCCTAAACTCAAGCAATCCTCCAGCCTCAGCCTCCTGAGGAGCGGGGTCTATAGGTATGTACCACCATGCCTGGCTAATTAAAAAAAAAAAATTGTAGACACAGGGTCTCACTATCTTGTCCAAGCTGGTTTTGAACTCCTGGCCTTAAGTGTTCCTCTTGCCAGCATCCCAAAGTTCCGGGTTTACAGGTGTGAGCCACTGCACCCACTCACCCAGAACAGCAGTCATCCCTGGCCCCGGACCCAGCAATGGCTTCAATGCCCAAAAATAAGACACCATTTCTTATTCTCCAGACAACGTCTTTATATATTCAGTCTCTCAATTCTTAGGTATAAGCCTGTACAAAAGAAAGTTGATTCATATAATTACCAATATACACTCTTAAAGCCCCTGAGAAGTATTGGGGGTGACTTCCACGCTGTGTCCAATAGATCAAAATGCATAGCGGAAAGTATATATTCACCTACAAATGTACACACAGTGTAACAAAAGCATCAACTATCACTCTCAAAAAGTAAGACGATTTTATTGCTTTTTCTGTTTACTGGTTTGCTTTTATATTATGCTCAATAAATTATAGAAAAATGATTTGATAAATAAATCATTGGTAGATCAAGGTTTTTCAAAACCCAGGAAACAGCAGAGAAAAAAGGTTTCCACGGGGACTTTGATAAAGAATGCAAACAGATGCTTCTTGCTCTGAAATCCAAACATCTTTCCCACTGTAAACTGTCCTTGCGGTTATTGGCAGCACCGGAGCTTGATTAAAGGGGATTGTGCACCTGACCAGAGTGGCAAGGACCATCTTGAGCCTGTACAACTACAACACTAGCTTGAGTGCAGTCATCTCTGTTTTTTTGCCACTTTAAGCTAATTGTCAAGTGGCTGTGAACCCCATTGTCTCTGACCATTAGCATAAGACACTAAATGGCTATTATATGAAAGGATTCAGATCTGATTGCTGGATAATTTCAAGAAGTAAAAAACGAATTCTATTCTTTCTGCTAATAGATACTCTCCCAATGGGAAGCACGATTCCAGTAGCCATAGAGTTCGGAGGTTACATAAAAGCTGGTGTAGGCCAACTCTCCCATGGCTTAATAAGTTTTTCTGAGAGGAATGTGCCTACGAAATTGGTATCCTCCTCCCTCCCTCCTGCGGCCTCCATCTGGTAAAATCCATTCATGTCCCCAAGCTCCAGCTCAAATGCCAACTCTTCAGGAGCACCTTCCCTGACCAGAGCCCCTTGGCATGATCCGCTTGCCTTTTGTCTCCATGTTTCTTTGTGCAGGATGTTAATAAACACTTATGCTGTGATATTATAGCTACTCTTTATACAATGTCAATCTCCCATACTACATTATGAATTTCTTTAAGGCAACACTGCGTCTTATTTAGCTGTTTTGTCAGTGCCTGCATGTGATGCTTGGCAAGTCACAGTACGCCTCCTATCTACCACTTCATTTAATGTTCACCATAGTCCAGTGAGGAAAGTAAAATATGATGATTATGGCCTGCCTGACTGAGAAAACTGGGCCTTCAAGAGATCAATTATTTGCCCAGGGTCCTAACGCTAAGGGCTAAAAAAAAACTAGACTCAGTCCCGGCTCTTAGCAGCTTGCAAAGTTTTCAAGACATCTTTTGCTTCCAATAAGCTCTAAAGGCTGCTTCAACAAGGCAGTAAAGACAGATCTGCAGTGTTCCAGATTAGTCTGTGTATGAACAGCTCATTTTGTGACACCAAGAGGCATGCTTAGAATTTGTTAAAAACACCAGCCTTGATGCTCACAACCTCTGCTCATAGGCAGTTCTCTTGCTCCCTCTTTTTATCCCCTGTGAAAAATACACAAGTGAAGGTTTTGTAAAGTTTCTTCAGTGATCATGTATTAATTTTTAATGAGAAAAGAAAACCGTCATCTACATGGCAGCAGAAAGAAAACAAGATCACAAGCACACGGATGGTGTGGGGTATAAATTCTACGCCTGCAGCCTCCTCTTAACTCAAAGGGCGAGGAATTTCTGTGTTTAATCCACAGTGTTTATTAGGAGGAGCCTCTGCAGCTGGTGGATATGAATATTCTACTCATTAGGAAAAGTAACCCCTGCTGGGAGGAAGGAATATTTATTTCATCAGCCTTTGCCTTGGCCTGGCTGAAATAAGCCCTTTGCTCTGACTTGACTCCCTCAAAGCGACTTTATAATTGTCACTTGTCTTCCCAAGCAAATGTTCCTTCAGAGGGAGGGATCAAGAAGCCTGGGTATTTTTATTTGCAAAATATGCACACTCTTCATTATAAATTAACAAACAAGACATTCTGTTTTATACACCAGAGGAAAAATAAAGTATGTAGAAAGTGAAGTATCTAATATTTCTGACAGATTTGCCCCTGAGGTCCTGTCTTCTTAATACTTCATCATGTTGTGGTCCTGCCTCCCCTTACCCAGCCTTGCTCTCTGCCCCACAACCTCTGTGTATTCTCACTGTTTATGGTCCCAGTGCAATGTCATCAAAAACTCCTCCAATACTATATGGGCAAGTTCTGGCAGGAAAATAAAAAAACCTCGATATATATCATAGTACCTGTAATATTTAGTGAGAACTATTTCTACTCACTCAGCTTTTCTATGAATCTGGACTAGACTACAATTCCTACACCTGCAAAGTTCTCAGTACACAGAACAAATCATCTGAGGATATCACGTGGTACCAGATACTCACATTTTCTGACCGGAGCCTCTTGGCAGGACACCCTCCATCCCTGGGGTGAAGCATGTAATACAGTCGGACTTTGCTTGCATGTTTTCGACTCTGGGAAGGAAAAGCATAAGCAGATACTGTAAAAGATAAGCCATTTCAAACCCTTTGAAACCTAGCCAGTGCCCGCAAATGCAAAAAGAAATGTATTTTCAGTAGAAGACACTTCTGCATACTCCTGTGAGGGATGTAGGATGTAGTTTCAGATAGGTTAAGTGGCTTGCCCCAAGTTCTAAAGCCAATGTAATTTCAGGATGAGAAAACACAGTAATGAAGAAGGTGAAGGCATTGAAATCATGTAGCCTAGGGTGGATAATATACTATATTTAATTTTCCTCAAAAATAAAAACAAATAAGCAAAGGAAATAACATAAGCATTAATTGTGATAAGAAGAGGCACAGTGATCTCTCTCACTACTGCTGCCCTGCCCTCAGGGTCTGGGGACAATGCCTCCTTGGGAGCCTGGTGCACCTCACCCCCAATAGAAGCCTTTTCTCATGGCTCTCCCACACACAGACTTCATTAATAAGCTATCAAAAGGGATGGGATTCTCTAAGGTCAGATATCATGAGCAAACTAAAGAGAATTGTATGTCAGTCTGCGGACTGACCACAGCCTAAGCTACCTGCCAGCAGATGATGCAGTTGAGCAAATAAAGACTCATTTTCTTTGGAATTAGCAGGATTGTTGATTTCTGGCTATACTGACTGGTCCATGCCCAGCATGGAGAAACTGATGCCTTCTTTGTTCCCTATTTCCTCTTCTTTGCTCAACTGAGAGTTTCATCCCGGATTCCCATCACGTTTAAAGAATACAGTCAGAACTTCAAGTTTCTACCTGAGGCAGGATGGCGGAGTGAAAAGAACACTAAGAGTCATCACACATTCAGAATCTGGGTTCCAGCTCTACCACTTCCTAGCTGTGTGATATTAGGCCAGTCTCTTATTGGAATGTGTTTATATCAGAATGAGTCACATTTTCTCCATGTACAAAATGAATACCACAACATTTGCTAGGGTGTCATAAGAATCAAATGAGACATTGCATATGAAAAATTGCAATCTGCATAATATTAAACATTTTTCACTGTTGACTGCATCACCTCTCGAATCTATTGTTCCCTAATTCCAATCCCCCTTCCCTTTCCTTTACTCAGAGGTTATTTCCTGCTTTTCCAGGCTTTTGTTCCACTATGACTTTATTTACAGTTGCATCCTAGCCCATCTCCTGGATGGTGGTTTACTTTTATGAATCAGCCATGAAGGCAAAGTGATTTTCAGAGAACACATAGAAAGTTGCATCTTGTTTACAGGATAGATTGTAAATCCTTCCTGTCCATTTTCCTCATTCATCACTTTCTTAATTCCTATATTCTGTCTAGAGCAACAAAAGACCAAGCTTCTAGACAATCCCTGAACACTTTTAAGGCCTTTAAATGGGTTTAAAAGTGCCAATGAAACATGAAAAATTTTTACAAATGTGTAAAAGTACTGAAATGTGACTTAGAAATATATTG